>NC_000010.11:90900671-91203701 GCF_000001405.40 Homo sapiens | reverse complement strand
CCATTAATATAGGTAATTGGTTTATCAGGATGTAGTTTTCAAGAAATTAAAAACATGAGTCTTGTACAAATATATATTAAGCATATGTCAAAAATTTATTTTAACTCAGCAGGATGGCACATCTGGTTCAATGTAATACAGGAAAGACTGAAGTGTATACAGTCAATGAAATACAGAATACTGAAATAAGATTGCTAATTTAGAAATAAAACTAGTTACTATCCTATAGGGCAATAAAACTATAACCTTTGGGGTTATCTTCTTTATCAGACAGAAGTCATTTGCAGGGGATCAATCTACAAATTAACATCTAACTTCATAGAATCTGGATCCTAATAAAAAGTAAGTTAAACAAAGGAACACTTTCCTAGAGAATTACATGATCCTTGGCTGGTGTCTTAAGTGCTCCAAGAAAACGCTAAAAAGACATGCAATCATCCTGTGCCTTATTCCCAAATGTTGGATAATTTTCCTAAACATTTTAATATGCAACAAAACCTTGGCTATACAAAGCCCTGCTGAATGGGTTAGTCTTGATAGTGGCATGCTCTAGAGACCTAAATTAGCCCTTAAAATGCTTAGTACCAAGGGGTTTGCTGGTAGATTGTGGCTGAACACTTCCCCTGCCCCTACCTCCATCAAGGCTGCAAAGTCACCATTTTTGTTTGTTTGCTTTCTTGCTTTTTTAAATCATGTTTGGCCTGTATTCTGCATCAGAAAATTTGCTGCTTACCCTGTATTGTTTTTAGTCATTTTCACAAACACATTTCTTTACTGTTTTTCTTCCTTTGAAAATATCCCCTCATCTGAACATTAATCATGTCAACCTTTTAAGCAAAGAATGATCTAACTCCTTCAACATAAATACATCTAAAAGTTGAGTCACAGTTTGATAGTAAGCATATTATATAGCATAAATGGCCAATCTTTTCGCCTAACTACCCCTTGCCCCAACATTAAGAAGCACATTGAAAATAACTTACTATTTAAGATCAATAATTAGTTAATAACCTCTATTTACTGAAACCAATTAAGTACAAGAAGGAAGTTTTCAAGGCTTCTAAGGAGTCAAATATAGTAACAACTTCTGGCTGTATATTATATTACAGTATCCCTCATTTAGACTCTTAATAATTAACAGTAACGATGACTACTATGCAATGACTACTCACTATGTGCCAAATACTGTGCTAAGAGCTTACAAATTTATCCTATTTAATCCTCACAACAATCCTGTTAACTACTTTGTATTATTTGCCTCATTTTTCAGAAGAATAAACTGAATCACAGGGAATTAAATTAACTCTCTCAAGGTCACAATGGTGGGTTTTACTGAAATCATTAGGTTCACAAAAATTAATCAGCTTAAAACAATCAGATCACAACGGTGGTGGATTCAAATCCAGGTTATTTTGCTTCAGAGTCTATAGGCTTAACCACCATACTACATCAAAAAAGACAGAAGAACCATAAAAACAGATACATCGACCATCATCATCATAGCACTTATACAGCACATTTTATACGAAGGCATGGTTCTAAGCAGTGAACATATAAAAACTTATTTATTTCTCACAATAATCCTAGGGGGTGAGTACAATTATTCTTCTCAATTTGGGAAAGAAGAAATTGAGGCAAACAGTGGTTACACCTGGTCACAATGCTAATAAAATGCAAGGCTTGGATATAATCCTGGACAGTGTAGCTCCCAAGTCCAGGACCCTCCCTTGATGCCACCCTGCTTCTTCTAACAATTTCAAAAGCATAGTGCCAGTAAACAGTCCTAACACTTCAGAAACTCTGAGGTTGGAAATCACCACATTAAAGCACAGAACCTTAACTAAATGTTCATCACTATGATCAAAAGTCATCAAGAACAGATTAAAAGGTTTTCATTCAGCCTTGTTAAGAAGGCAAAAAAGTAACACACTTAAACAAAATTTCATCCAAGATGGGTTTCTTAAAAAAAAAAAAAAAAGGTTTTCTGGAAAATGAACTCAATACAGAACAAATGAGGTGTTACAGTAGTGTTAAAAAATCTTTCTGCAGACATTGTTTTTGTTCTTGCTGCCTTGGGGTTTCTCAGAATTCCCTCAGGGGCTGTGGGTGGAGGGAGGAGGGGAGAAGATAGTTCTCCACTCCACCTTCAAACACATAACTCTGTTTACGTATTTTTTTTACACATTGGGCTTCCTGGTAAGCTTTCACTTTGATGGGACCTAAGCTCCTGTTTATGATTTGAATGAGTTCCCCAAATTTCATGTGCTGATAACTTAATCTTCAAATTCATACGTTGATGGCATTTAGAGGTGGGGCTTTGGGAGGTAATTAAGATTAGTAATGTCACTGGGGGGACCATGATAGGACTAGTGGCTTTACATGAAGAGAGACCTGAGCTGACACACTCAGCCCCTCACCATGTGATGCCCAGCTCAGAAGGTTGCAGAGGGTCTCCACCGGCAAGAAGGCCCTCACCAGATACCTCACCCTTGGATGTCCCAGCCTCCAGATACGTAAGCAATACATTTCTTTCCTTTATAAATTGCCCAGTCTCAGGTATTCAGCTGTAGCAACAGAAAACAAACTAAGACAGCTCCCATGAAAATGTGGTCTAAGTGGGCAGCTCTTCTCACTTTTATAAAACTTTCCCCATCACCTCCCTGGTGTCTCAGGAGTTCCACTTCACACTATTTTTCCATTTGCCTCTTGAATCTTGTGCTTGCCCAAGCTCTGACCATTCTCCCACCTGACCCTCCCCCTTTCCACTTCCCTCTGTCAACAGTAATCACGAACACAGCTAATGTTATCAACCTCCTACACAGCAAGCTCTAGGTTAATATTTTTACATCAATTACTTCATTGAATGCTCTCAACACCCTTATGAATTGGGTTCTATAATTGGCCCCACCGTATACAGGAAGAAACCAAAGCTTAATTTGCCCACTGTCCAATGACCACAAAGTGATGAATATAGGATAAACTAGATTGCCCACTAGAAAGGCCCCCAACTCTTCACCAGTACACAATCCTGCCTCTCAGCCTCTGCCAATTATGTTCAAATCTCCCACTGAGACTGTGTTCAAGACTCAATATCTTAAAAACAAAACAAAACAAACAGCACCTTCCCTTCTGGCACAGTCCCTTATAGCAGCACCTCAACAATGACAAATGCAATGCACAGCTTTCAATGCAATCTCATCCATACCTGTTGATATTAATGCTTATAAAATCTTCTCTTCTTCTTTCAAACATATATGCGCACTTCCCAGAAAGGGGCTACATCCCCTGTTCTTTCTATACCCTCACTCTCTCTTAACTAGATTAGTTGAACAATTTTGGGCACCGAGTAGGAAGATATTAATAATCAGCATAAAGAACCCTGGTCAGTAGTCAGGATACCAGAGTTCTGGTTCAGTTTCAGGCAATCCCCTATAGCAGACACTGTCACTGTCTCCTCCTCCCTCTTATCTCCTCCACGCTCATCTCTACATGCTGAAGGCAGCCTTCTTGAACACCTGTGGCTTTTATTCTGGCTCTGGGAGCAGGCTGGGCCCTCTCCCACAGTGAGGCAAAAATGCAGGGAAGTTAGCATCTCCAGGAAACAGCCCTCAGTCAAGGAGGATGGATAGTTGATGGGCAAGTAACCCAATTTCCCTGTCCTTTGGGTAGGATAGCCTGAAGCGTGTAGACTAGTTCCTAGAGTTCCTTAAACGGATTGAGCTCCAGTTGCCCACAGCAGTAATTCTCTTGAAACTATACCCTTTATTGCTTTCTTTTTCCTCCCTGTCCCACTTCTCTACTTTCCTGTTGATATTTCTTGGGAGAACCTCTCAACTAAACCACTTACTCTCAAATTCTTGTCTTGGGGTCTGTTTCTGGGGAAACCACACTAAAATTTATTCTCCTTTGTTTATTTACTCCACTTCCCTATCTGTCAAACAAGAGGGTTGCATAAAGGATTTTTATGGCCTCTTTGGACTCTAACATCCTAGGATTTCAATGAACTCAATCAAATTTCAGTATTAAACTAAAACTAGCCTTGAATGTTACTTCTTAACTAAAATACTGCATCATATTTTGGAGCCGTGGCTGAATTTCACGTACATTAATGTGGAAGATGCTGGGAAGCAGAGATCAGATCCCTCTTCAGAGAAGCCTTTGGGCTGCACTTGATGGGGATGTTGTTGGCCTCTTGCAGGCATGTCCTCAGCTGCAAAGATCCTCCTTGCCCAAGGTCACTTTCCCAAGGATGCAAGGACTGAGGGATGCTGGAGTATAAAGGCCTGGCCATCTTGGCCCAAGTCAAGACAACTCAGAGGAGTCATTCTAGTTCCAGAGCTCCTGCCATGCTGGCTCTACAGCTCAACTCCTTTTCTGCCCCCCTTGCTGCCTTCCCACCCTTCAAAGGGCATTCCCTAATAAACATCCTGGATACAAAACTACACCTGGGAGTCAGCTTCCCAGGGAACCCAACCTGTGACAAGTACATTTTCTACTTGTTTATTATGTCATAAAATTCACAGACTCTGGAACTTTGCTTGTGGAAGCAGGGATGATCCCTTGAATGCTGTAAGACCCAGAAAGTGGTAGAGACACAGAAGAAAAAACTAGGCTTTTAATAAAATGGGAGAGACAGATACAAACCAGCATGTATGTGATGCAGTTTCAGTTTCTGAACAAAAACAATAAATACATAAAAGGTCAGCATGGCCAGTGAAACTGAAAGCTAAGAACTCAGATGAGGCAATCACAGAGGGTGATGAAAGAGAAGAACATCTGAGAGAGGAGGAGAACAAGAATGGCCTGGCAAGAAAAGGAAGAAGACTAATACGAAACACACTCAGCCAAAGACCATGGGGTAGAAATAACCCATCTGAAGAAGGGCTCTTCATTGCACAAAACTACATCCAATCCTTAAGAGGTACTGCCCCGTGGTATGACAAGGCCAAAACGTCATCCTGGCAATTGCTGCTAATTAAACTCAGGATTGATTCAATGCTACTGAATAGGCCAGGGAGATTCCCATGGTGCTGCCACTAATCAGGGCCTTTACAGAAAACTCCCAAGAAGATCGAAGGACAGAGACAAGCTTGAACTCTGCAGCCCGTAGGCAGGTCTGCCTTCTAGAGAGAAAGCCAGTGATGCTGCTTTGCCAATGGTCATGCTGAAATAGTGGTTTGGGGTGACCTCCAGGAGAGTAGGGGTACTAGGGGTAGGTAAGGAGGGTGACTGAAATTTAAAACAAGGTGTCAGCAAAGGCATTAGTGAGAAGATGGCATCTGGGTAAAGACCACAAAACAGGTAAGGAAGTTGGTCTTATAGTTATCAAAAGGATGAGTGACTACACAGAGAGAAAGGAAAGTGTCCTAAGCAGGAACGATGCTGATGTCCAAGGTTCCCCCAGCAAGGGGGCCAGTGTGGTTGAGAATGAGCAGATGGGACTGAGGTCAGGGAGACAGGATGGGTCTCGCAGGCTCTTCTGGGCCACTGTAAGGACTGTGGGTTCAATTTAGAGAGACGGAAATCCAAGGAAACATAATTACATAAAATGACGTGATCTGACACTTCTCTTCCCCTTCTCTGGGTTTACTTTTCTCCACAGTATTTCTCATTGCCTGAAAAGTAAAAATGTTATATATTTATCTCTACCCATTAGAATGTAAGCTCTGTGAGGGCACGTATTTTTTGTCTGTTTTGTTCACTGATGTGGATTCACTTCCCCAATGTCTGGCACTTAGTAGATAATCAATATTTATTGAATGAATGAAACATCTTGAGAACCAGGAGAACTCTTTCCTAAATGGCAAAATGAATCCAGACAAAGAAAATCTTGTTTCTATTTCCTTGGAACGTCTGTTTTTAAATAAGTGTTTTTAAATAAGTTCACAATGGAAAAGGGCACAGGTAAAATATAATTGAAATTTAATATAACAAAATGAAAGTGTACTGAAAATAGGAAGGAAAAAGGGGAATATGGTGGGAGAGGATGATGTCCAGTACCGGTTGACAGAGGAGTCAGTAAAGAAACCCATTTTCCCTCTGGAAGCAAGGCTCCCACGCACTCTCTACCACCATTAGCCCTTTCCCCAGTAAATTCAAAAGTTCTTTGTGAGCTCATACCAGTCATTTAACTTTGGTGAGTCCCCATTGCTTCACTGTACAAAAGGGCTACCTTACAAATCCCACTCATCAGGGGTTAGATAATATAATACACGGAGAACACTTAGCACAATGCCCGGACCACAGGAAGCCCTCATCCTCAATAAACATCAGCAGTTGTGATAACACTGCCCGTGGAGATTTTATTTTCCAAAGATATACGTCTGTGCAGCCATCCTCAGAAAATAATACATCACGGAGCAGTCACATAGAGAGAGGGACGTGCCCGAGGAGCCCAGGAGTCTCAGACTAGACCCAGGACATGACAGTCAGCTCGCGAGCCTTCAGATGATTTCCCCATACTTCGAGCCTCCCCTGCTGATGCCAAGCGGAATGGAGACAGGCTACGCTGCTGACCAGACTCCAAATTCCTGACTCACAGAAACTGTGAGAGATAAATGATTACTGTTGTTTGAAATCGTTAAGTTTTGGAGTAGTTTGTCACTCAGCTTTAGACAACCAGGACATGCCATTAACTGGCTCACTTGTCCACGTCTAATATAAAAACCACATCATGTTTTTTTTGTTGTTGTTGTTTAAAAAGAGATTTGAATGGTTCCACATCATGCACAGGATAAAAAGAATCTGGAGGCTCCTTGACAGACTGTGAGACTTGAGGTGGGGATTATATCTCGTCCACCAGTGAATTCCCAGTACTTCAGCAGTTCCTCATCTAGTAAGTGATTTCACTGGCTGGGATGAAACCAGATGACAGGGAAAGAGTAAACAAAGAAGATGAATTATGATAACCAGGTATTCAACAAGTATAGACAAGGCTCCTTCCATGCAGTGCTGGGGATACTATTGTCAAGCTGCCCTCATAGAGTCTGTGAGGGGGACCAACAAGAAATACACAAATAGCATTTGTCACCCTCTGAAATACGGAAAAACACATCAGTGTAATGGAAAGGAGCTGGGCAAGTGTGGGTCAGAGGTGGGGGATGGGGTGGGATATTTTGTCAAGGTAGTAAGGAAACTTTCTCTGAAGATACAACATTTCTGCTGAAACCTGCATGACTGTGAAGCCATGGAAAGATCTGGGAGAATAAAGGAACAAGAAGGCTTAGCAAGTGCAAAAGCCCTGGGGTGAGAAGGGACATAAAGCTCTGCTTTGTGCTTCAATGATACTGTGGGGCTTGGGTGTTTCAATGTGCATGCACAGGTTTCTTGCTTAGAAAGTCTAATATATAAACATTTGAACTTTGTAAACTGAAATTAGGGTCTGATTATGGTTTATTGGCCAAAATTTTAGGAGATACTTTTGTAATTAGCACATTTCTGCATTGGACATCTTTGCCTCACATCACTTCTCTTGGCACTGACATTCTAGCCCTTGCTGACAGAATGTCACTTCAGCTGCACTGTCACATGTGCTTTCTACTCTGGGCCTTCTCTGCCACCATGTGAAATATCTGTAGGAAACCAGTGAGCCATTCTGACAAATGTGCAGTCCCATGATAGACTTAACACCCCATGGGGCAACACTTGACCAGTAGGGGATGCGAGAAAGTGGACAAATAATGAATACCACCCACCCCAATTTTATCTAGTAGCCAATTTTAAGGCACATTCTTGGAGGGTGTCCTGTGGGAACAGGTCCCAGTTGCCCACAATAGTGACCAAGTTGATGAACAAACCTTGGATTGGGTTTCCTTTGTTCCCTATTAACTCTTACCAGTCACAAATGCTGTTCTTTGGGATTATTCCTCAAAATAAACTAATTGCCCCTAAGCCCCTGTCTAGGCTCTGCTACTTTAAAGAACCAGTCTAAGATAGCATTTAAATTTCATTAAAAAAAATATGATTTAGGCCAGGCATGGTGGCTCATGCCTGTAATCCCAACACTGGGAGGCCAAAGCAGGAGGATTGCTTGAGCCCAGGAGTTCGAGACTAGCCTGGGTAACACAGTGAGAACCTCATCTCTACAAAAAAATTAAAAAATGAGGTGGAGGATTACTTGAGGCCAGGAGGCCAAGGCTGCAGTGAGCCGTGACTGCACCACTGCACTCCCGTCTGAGTGACAGAGACCCTGCGTCTCTCTCTCTCTCTCTCTCTCTATATATATATATATGCATGCATATATATATATGCATATATATACATATGATTTATATTCAATTATTTAAGAATATTATTAACCCTCTAAGGCAAGTGATCTTCTAGGAGTCTAGACAATGGATAGAAAGGATAACAATACTGGGCTTTTCCTGTCTAATTCCACCCTAAATTTTCTTTTAATATTTGACTTTTTTTTTTTTGAAGGAGGTGATAGCTAATGTTCAGAGGCACTTTTTTCAACGGTGTATGGTGGCATTTACTCCTTTAAATTCATAACCACAAACTTTAAGTGGGCCTTTAATGCTGCAGGCAATCTATGTGACCCTCTTCTACTAATCTCCCAATTTCCCGATGGACTATTTCTCATCTTTTCTCTCTCTTAAACCCTCAAACCACCTTCCCCATCCTCACTCTCAGCTGCTTCCTATTCCACTGAGAAAACTGAGTCATCAGAAGAGAACTCACACACACTCTCACCACATCTACTCCCCCTATACTGTCTGCTTTCACCATAGTGAATCACAAATGCCCCCACACATGGTCTGCATCTCATCTTTATTGCCCTACTTGAGGATAACACCCCAGAAACTCTTTTCTTTCCCTTATATCATCAACTTTTGGTCTCTGAGGGACAGCTCTCATTAGCACACAAACATATCCTTAATACTATCTTTTTTAAAAATGAGGACAATACAAGTTCTCTTGACCCCCACCTTGATCCTCTTCTCTTCTCTATCTCTACTTATGCTCTTGGTGATCTCATTCAGTCTGTGGCTTTAAACCATCTCTATGCTTTTGAATTCGAGACCTTTTTCTCCTCACCTCCAGACTCATATCCAACTGCTTACTCTGTGTATTCATTTTATATTGCTGTGATAACAAATTATGACAAACTTAGTGGCTGAAAACAACACAAATGTATTATCTTATAGCTCTGCAGGTCAGATATCCATCTCCCTGGGCAAAAATCAAGGGTTTGCAGGGTTGTGTTCCCTTCTTGAGGTTATAGGGGAGAATTTGTTTCCTTGCCATTTCCACCTTCTAGCAGCCACCCACATTCCTTGGCCAGTGGCCCCCTTCCTCCATCTTCAAATCCAGCAACCTTGCATCTCTCTGGCCATTCTCCCGTAGTCACCTCAGCCTCTGACCACCATGGGAAAGATACTCTACTTCTAAGGACTTCTGTGACTAGGTTGGGCCCACCAGATAATCTAGGATCATCTCTCCATCTCAAAGTTGTTATCTTAACCATCACATGTGCAATGTCCCTCTGGCTCCCTAAAGTGACACATTCACATTTTCTGGGGATTAGGATGAACATCTTTAGAGGCCATTATTCTGCCTACCACACTCTGCATCTTTAACTGGATGTTTAACAGACATGTCACACTCAGTATGTCCAAGCTGACCTCCAATTCTCCCTCCACCACAGATCTCTCCACCCAAAGTTTTCTGCATCTTGGTTGATAACAACTCCATTTTTCTAGCTATTCAGGCCTGAACCCAAGGAATCATCCTAAACTCCTCTCTCTCTTACATCCCAAATCTAAGTCACAAAGAAATGGACTTCGTCTTTAACACATATCTAGAATCTGATCACTTCTCAACATCTCCACTACTGCTGGTCTAAGCCATCATCCTCTCATATTAGGATTCCTGCTATCACTTCCTAATTGGTCTCCCTGCTTCTCCCCTTCCTCTTTACAGTCTACTAGAGTCTATTTTCTGAGCAGCCTTCAGCCAGTTTAAGCATGATCCTTTAAAAAATTACATCAAATTATATTGCTTCTGTGATCAAAATGCTGCAATGACTCCCTAGCTCACTTGGAACAAAAGCCAAAGCCCTTCATGGTCTCCACCCTCCATCCAGGGTGGAGGGCCTTTCCGACCCTATCTCCTACTCATCCCCCTGCTCTCTCCCCTCCAACTACCCCTCGCCACCCCTCAAACACGCAGGTGTACCTCCCCTTAGGACTTGGCTGTCACTGTTCTCTCTGTCTAGAACACATTCTTACTCCACTATCAGCTTAATGTCCCACCCCCCCATCCCTTTTAGTTTTCTATTGCTGCCATGACAAATTACCACTAATGAAGTAGCTTAAAAACAATACCCACTTAGCATCTCACAGTTGTGTAGGTTAGAAGTCTAAGTACAATTTGGCTGAGCTGGGTCCTCTACTTAGTCTCACAAGGCCAGAATCCAAGTGACAGCAGGGATGTATTCCTTTTGGAGGCTCTAGGGATGGATCTCCTTCCAAGCTCCTTTGGGTCTTTGGCTGGATTCAGTTTCTTGCAGCTGCAGGACTGATGCCCCATTTCATTGGAGGCCATTCTTTGCTCTTCAAGGCTACATGCCTTCCTTCTTGCGTTTGCCATGCACTCTCAGCATGGGTGGGTGGAGTCTCTCTCACATTTTGGATCATTCCAACTGTGGCCACAACTCTCCAACTCTAGCCAGTATAATTTCTTGACTTTCAAGGGCTTATTGATTAGATTGGGCCACCCAGATAATCCAGGTTAACCTCTATATTTTAATATTTGTAACCATAATTAGGTCTGGAAAGTCCCTTTTGCCATGTAATTTAACCTAAATATTTACAGGTCCCAAGGATTAGGGTATGGACTTTTAGGGGTCACTCTGCCTGCCACATCTCCTTTCCTGACCATGGTATTTATACTACAACCCAGCTCCCTTCTTCCTACCCACTTTTGATTTCTCCTTTCTGTGCTCTATTTTAAAATTTTTCCACCACTGCTCTTACCACCTTATAACAAACCATATAATAAATGTTTACTATGCCTGTTTTATTGTATGTCGTTTCCTGATAGAAAACAGACTCCATTAGATCAAGAATCATTGTTTTGTTTATTGATATTCCAAAGACTATCTGGTTGGTAAGCAATAGGTATTTCTTGAATAAATAAATGAACTTATCTTTCCATGGGGTTATTTTTACTTTCAACTGTTTGAAAATGCTAATTAGAATAAAGATTCTTAATTGACGATGAGCAAGATGGATAAATACCAAAGAATTGCTTTCTTAATATTTTCCCATGGCTGTGGTCAATAGCATCTGACTAGCTTAGTTCTTATTAATGAAGACTCACAGCAATGTATTTAATTATTGTTTTTATGAAAATAAGAATGCTTCATTTTTAGACTATTATCCAGGTATACGAGCAAAACACCTTGAGTTGTTGAGTTAATCTTGTCTCAAATGTATAGAAAAATAAACTAAAATAGTCATAAATGCTTTTTTAAAAAAATTCCACAAATGCCTCTGGGGTGGAAAACTGAACCATTTTTGTTTAAGGAAGTACTATCAGAAATGAGTGAGACTTGCTTAAGTTTAAGACTACTAATTGCCTTCAGCCAGTTTAAGGCTGGAAAGAGGATGACAAAACTATAAAGAAAAAAAATAATTTTGGAGCCAAAATCACATTAGAAATAAAATCCAAACTTTATAGAGGAGGAACCTGAGGCTCAGAGAGGGTAAATAACTTGTCTAATCTCACAGCTCACCAGTGATGTGATACTTTGGATAAAGATTACTACAGGAGAGAGAGTGAAAATTAAATTTCTGTTATTCCTTTAAGCATTTAAAATATTCACTTAATGAGCTGATTCTCTACTTCAAAGGGCTGGATCCAACATGAATGCTCACAGACAGTGAGACTTTGCCTACCAGCCTTGTACTTGTCCCAACTAGGTCAAAATGTCTCATTTTGGGTGGAGTGTTCTGGACAGGGGACAATCCCAAAGAAGCATGGCCAAAGATCTTGCAATCAGAGTGATTCTCAGAGGGCTACATAGGACATCACTGTACTGAGGACAAGCTTATGATAACACACACCAAGAAACCAAAAAGCTTATGGGGTAAAACACAATTGTGTCTGACTAGATTACCTACATGTTAGTAGGAAAAAGTGCAGTACTCCCTTCTTATCTGGGGTTTGCTTTCTGTGGTTTCAGTTACCCATGGTCAACTTCAGTCCAAAAATATTAAATGGAAAGTTCCAGAAATAAACAATTCATAAGTTTTAAATTGTGTGCCATCTGAGTAGTGTGATGATATCTCATGTGGTCCCTCTCTGTGGTGAATCATCCCTTTGTCCAGTGTACCCATGCTGTCTGTGCCACCATTCTTAGTCACTCAGTAGCCATCTCAGTTATCAGATTGACTGTTGCAGCATCACAGTGCTTGTGTTCAACTAACCCTTATTTTACTTAATGGCCCCAAAGCATAAGAGTAGTGATGCTTGCATATTGTTATACCAGTTCTATTTTATTAGTTGTTGTTGTTGTTAATCTTTTACTGTGCCTAATTTGTAAATTAAACTTTATCATATGTATGTATACACAGGAACAAAATATAACATACATAGGGTTCAGTATTATCCATGGTATCAGGCACCCACTAGGGGCCTTGGAATATGTTCCCTGTGGATCAGGGAGAACTACTGTAACTGTCAGCGTAAGGATTTTGACAAAACCTGTAAGTATTTATAGATCTGGACTCGTTGCCAGCAGAAAGGCAAAAATGAAGTGAAGCATATTTTAAGGGAAGAATAAATAAGATATATTTTGAATAGGGTTCTCACACAAACACAAAAGACAGCAGGAACTGATGTGAAATAGTTTCTAAATTTACCACATCACAACCTTCTGCTTTTTGAATACCTATAACAGGAATGAAAACCAGCACAATAATCCAGATCTACATTTAAAGCAACAGCTCATTTGTTTGGTATTTAAGACAATCTTTCATTCACTTTTGAGCACTTAGCATTAAGGGGAAAAAAATCAAGAAATTGGTTTATTTAGGCAACATCCAGAGAATGATTCAATGGGAGAGCATCAATGTTACACAGAAGGAGAAAATAAGTCTATTTCTGGAGCCACCAATCAACTTTCCTCACCATGGTTACAGGCTGTGTTTCATAACTTTCCAGAATCACAGATGATTCAAAATGACCTTGGTAATAATTTAGACCAAATCTCATGTTTTATACATGGGGAAACTAAAGCTTAGAGAGGTGGGGCAGATTATCTGACACCACAGACCTTTAGCGACACATCACAACCAGAACTCAAGTCTCCTCACTCCTAAGGAAAAATGTGAAATCACTTACTGCTGTGGTCTGAATGTTTGAATTCCCCCAAAATTCATATGTTGAAATCTTAACCCCCAAGGTGATGGGATTAAGAGGTCAGACCTTTGGAAGGTGACTGGATCATGAGAACATGATTGGGGTTAGTGCCCTTATAAAAGAGATGTCAGAAAGCCAGCGAGTCCCTTCCACTATGTGAGGTCACAGGGATCAGGTGCCACCTGGAAACCAGGAAGTGGGTCCTCACCAGAGACCAATCTGCCCATGCCTTGATGTTGGGTTTTCCAACCTTAAAAACAGTGAGAAATAAATTTCTATTGTATATAAACCATACAGTTTGTGGTGCTTTGTTGTAGCAGCACAAACAAACTAAGATATTAACCTCAGGAAAAAAGATACACTTTAATTTCTGTCTGGCTTTTATTGATTTGTAAACTATTTGAAATTGTTTCAGCAGTTAAAATCTCCGTATGTTTCCACATGGTTGAGGAAAACCTTTCAAAACTACATTTTTATACTCATAACTTCAGTGCAACTTGAAAATATAGACGTGTTCAATATGAAAATATTAATGTGCTCAATACTGGCTCAGATGCTTCTTAGGATTTTAACTGTTTCCCACCAGGCAAGAAGGCCTAAGCGAAAAAGAACAGATAAACCCCATGCATTGTGCAGGGCTCTATGAAGTGTGTTATCCTAGATATTTAATATTTATGTATATTCTTTGGTCTTTTTAACTTTCTTCCATTTTCATGTAGATATGTATGTATATATGGAAAGATCTTATCAGCTTGGATATTTGGTAAGGGTATATTAGAATAGAAATTAAAGCAATACAATTTTTATGTCATATATTACTAAGTAGAATTCATCTTGAACCTCAAACAGCAAGTGTAGATTCTCAATAATTTACAGAGAAATCTTATATTCATTTATCTAGCATATATTATTATGTGTGTCTACTATGTACCAGGCACCATGTTGTAAACTGGGATTTCAAAACATCACCTCCCTGCCTTTGCTGAGTGCACTGTCTAGTGGAGATAGGTATGAACAGACACCTTTCATGGCATGGAAAAATGGGGACAGAACACAGGGAGATGACCAAGAATCATGAGGGTCAAGAGAGGATGTCTGGAAAAAGGAGAAAATTATCAATCAGGGTTGTAAAAGAAGATTTTGCCAGGCAAAGAAGAGAAGGAATGTGTTTCAGATGGAGGCCATGGCCATTATGCAAAAGCACAGATGAGAAGTGGAATGTCTTAGTCAGCCCTGGCAGAATGCAAGACTCCACCTTCTCCACACCTGTATTCCTGCAGCCACATGCTAGCTAATCTTACTTTAAATCCATAATCACCTATCTCAGTAGACCTTAAATGCTGCCCAGCAATCACACTTCATTTCCCTTGTGCTATCTACTCTCCCTTTCTCCCAAACCACTCTGTATGCCTCTTTACCTTTCTCTTCAAGCCTCCAATATTTCTTTCCTGATGCTCCATCTCAGCTAAGGAATGAATAAACTGCTATCTAGGGAAATGACAAGTGACAAGGGTGGAAAAAAGGTTGGGTAGGTCAACAGGCTCCAAATGACACTCTGTAGATCTGGACTTTTTTCTCAGACAAGGAGCCAAAGACCTACTACCTCCATAACAGAGGACTCTGGCAGAAGATTCCTAAGGGGCAAGAGGGGAGGTAGTGAGGGTCAGTGAGGAAATGAACGTGAATGAGAATCCAAATGAAGGCGGTGGCCATGAAGTAGACAAGATAACATTAAGGAAATAAAATCAAAGTCTACTTTATAATAAAATAGTAGGTACATAAGGGAGAAGATTCCAATTTCTTAGCAGCAAAATTATATTTAATTTTAATCCACTGGTTTTAAAGTTTATTGTTCCTAAGAAATTGCAATTAGCATAATTTTAATATACATAAAATTGTATTTTCTGCTTCTAGGGTCTTCATTGTAATAATAATAAAACAACATTTGAACTGAACTAAAGCCTATGATTTTAGAGCCAATAGAATCATCCATCTGCTTTTCCAGGTACTGTCTGTCACCCCTTTCCTTGACCAGGAAAGGGAACTCCCTGACCCCTTGCGCTTCCCGAGTGAGGCAATGCCTAGCCCTGCTTCAGCTCGCGCATGGTGCGCTGCACCCACTGTCCTGCGCCCACTGTCTGGTACTCCCTAGTGAGATGAACCCAGTACCTCAGATGGAAATGCAGAAATCACCCGTCTTCTGCGTCACTCACACTGGGAGCTGTAGACCGGAGCTGTTCCTGTTCGGGGGAGTTAACGGGTGCAGCACACCAGCATGGCACATGTATACATATGTAACTAACCTGCACATTGTGCACATGTACCCTAAAACTTAAAAGTATAATAATAATTTAAAAAAATTAAAAGTTTAAAATAAAAAAAAAAAGAATCATCCATCTGCCATTAGCATGGAAAGAACTTAGGAATAACAACAGTTCTTTCATCAAGATGTCAAGTCACTTAGTTTTTAGGACAAGTAACTGTATAGAAAATACTCTAAGTTTTTTCTAAATAATTAGCAAAGGAAAAATAAATACTAGAATTCTGGCTACACAGACATTTTTCAGGTACATATATTTATAGGTAAACATATACACACAGATAGTAAGAAGTAAATATATAGACTTCTTTGAAGAAAACATGAAGCATTGAAGTTGTGTATATAATACACTTTCCCCATGATCTCTTACTGAAAGGATGCAGAAAACAGAAGGACCCCATGAATCAAGAGATACCAACTTTGCATTCATTTATCACTTCAAACCTCTTTCCTATATCAAGCGATAGCTGGGTTTTTGTTTTTGTTTTTTTTAATGAAAAGACTATTTGTTTTTCCTTAGGTGTGCTTCTCTGATAGCGACCTCTACCTCATCTCTGGGAATCTAGTAGTGAAGAGGAATCCCTTCTCTATGGACTGTATCCACAAAGCAGGTGCATTCACATCATAAAAGCTCAGTAAGGTGCCTGCCAGATCACTACAAAATCTGCACATGAAGATCTTTATCTATCACAGCAAAAGTGTGCAGAGCTTGTAACAGTGGTTCCCAAACCGATTTGCACATTAGTGTCAAATCTTATATATCTATCTTATATATCTATATATCATGCTGAGGCCCCATCCTAGAACAATTAAATCCGAATCACTATAGATAGGTCCCAGATACCAGTATTTTTTACAAGTCCTCAGATAATTCTAATATGAAACCAGGGTTGAGAACTACTAGCCTGAAGCTTCTCTAATGTGGTCTGCAGACCAGTTGCATCTCCTGGGAAACTCAGAAATGCAGAATCTCAGACCCCACCTGAGACTAACTAAACCAGAATCTGCAATGTAATACCATTCCCAGTATTTCTGTGCACATTCAAGTATGAGAATCACTGGCCTAGCGATTTTCACTGGTCTTGCATTGTGTGGGCAAGTTCTAAATGACACTCATAAGATGAAGCAAACCCTCACCTTGAAGATTACACTGATCCAGCAGTATAAATGTATATAAATGTAAAGCAATCCCCCAGAAACCAGCTGGGACAGCTCCCTATACGTGGAAAGAATGTTAGAGGCAAGTCCTATCAATATACGGAGCAGGGCATTGGCTTGAAGTGAAACAGTTACTAGTACATCCCTAGTTGAATCTAGGGAGGCCCGGGATGGAACTGGTGAAAGGTACAAAAGAAACTTTGTAACTTAACATTTTAAACATTTTAATTTGTTACATATATATGTGTGTATATATACACATATATATACACACACATATATATACACACACACACATATATATATATATATACACACACACACATATATATATGAAGTTTTTCCCTGAGGTCTAAAATATTTATTTCATCTACACAATAAACATTTCTTTCAAGTATACAAAATTTCTTTCATTGAAAGTTCAATGCAACAAGACTTCCAACCTTGTGAAATCATGCAGCTTTTATATTCCTTCATCTCTTGCTTGCTAATCACCTAAGAATTCTCGCCATAGACAACTAGTGAGCTATGAAAACTGCTGGTGATCCCAGTTGCAACCTGGCAATACTGCTACTGGTGAATGAACGCCTGGTACACCACAGCTGTGAGAGTCGGGGCAAAATCCAGGTGAGATCAAATAACTTGAGGGCAACCTGAGGGTACAGCTGATTTAGCCCAAGAGGTAATGTTAAAAGTAAAGAAATACCAAAATGATTTTAAGTTAAAATTTACTTGAACTTGAGCTCTAAAATTACTGCACAGGAAATTCAAGATGTCATCAATTTAACTACTGTCTGCAAAACATAAAGAAATAAATATTGAAGCAGGGAGCGACCAAGATGGCTGACTAGAAGCAGCTAGGGTGCGTGGCTCTCAAAGACAGGAATGAAAGGGGCGAGTAAATACAGCACTTTCAATTGAAACATCCAGGTACCTGCATTGGGACTAATCAAGGAAACAACCTGACCCACAGAGAACAGAGAAAAGCAAGGCAAAATGATGGCCCACCAGGGAGCCACACGGAGTCAAGGGAATCTCCCCTGCCCAGGGAAGCAGGGAGTGAATGTGTGACCCAAGGAAACCACACTTGCCCCACCAATCTTTGCAACTCCCGGGTCAGGAGAACCCTTCATGAAACCACTCCACTAGGGCCTTCAGTCCGACACACAGAACTATGTGGAGTCTTGGCAGAGCAGCCACTCAGGCATACACAGAAACCCAGGAGCTTTACATAATCCAGCTCTGGGCTTCCTGGCAAAAGTAACTACAACTCAGGCAAAGAGGGAGGTTAGACCTCCATACATACCCCTAGGAAAGAGGTTGAATCCATGGGGCTCAGCAGTGATGGTCAGCGGGCCTCACTTCCACGGCACCTCACAGGATGACACACTGGCTTGGAATTCCAGCCAGGCACGGACAACAGTGTTGCATGGAGCTGTGACACAGTTCCTGGGGGAAGGGGTGGCTGCCATCTTTCCTGTTCCAGCCTGTGGGCTTTGGAGAGTCCAAACCCACGGGGGCAGAAGGGATCCCCCAGCACAGCACAGCTGCTCTACCAAAACATGGCCAGACTGCTTCTTTAAGTGAATCCCGGATCCATTCCTCCTCACTGGGTGGGACCTCCCAACCCAGGCCTCCAGCCACCCCACTGGTGTTTTCTGGCTGACAGAGATTTAAGAACCTCCTGGGAGAGAGTTCCCAGAAGGAGGGGTGGGCCACCATCTTTGCTGTCTGGGTGACTTAGCTGTTCCAGCTTCATGCTTGGAGAGCCCAAGCCAACTGGGGGCAGAGGGGGTACCCCTAGCACAGTACAGCTGTTCTAAAAAATGTGGCCAAACTGCTTCTGTAAGCAGGTCCCCTGTGTTGTTCCTCCTGACTGGGTGAGACCTCACAACTGGGGTCTCCAGCTACCTCCTACCGCTGCATTCAGGCTGGCAACAGGTCCATAACTCCCTGGGATGGGACTCCCACAGGAAGGGGTACACTGCCATCTTTGTTGCTTTGTAGCCTTCACTGGTGATACCTCCAGATACTGAAAAATCCAAGGCCACTAGGGACTGGAGCAGACCCCTAGCAAACCATAGCAGCACTACAGAAAAGTAGCCAGATTTTAAAAATAGGAAAAAAAAAACAAAACAGCAACCTCAAATACTGAAGGTAGATAAGCCCACAAAGATGAGAAAGAATCAACACAAGAACACTGAAAACTCAAAAAGCCAGAGTGCCCTCTTTCCTCCAAATGACTGTATCACCTCTCCAGCAAGTGTTCAGAACTGGGCTGAGGACAACATGGCTGAAATGACAGAAGTAGAATTCAGAATATGGATAAAACCAAACTTTCTGAGCTAAAGGAGTACATTATAACCCAAGCAAGGAAGCTAAAAATCACGCTAAAACATTGCAGGAGCTGACAGACAAAACAGCCAGTAGAGAGTACTGTAACCAACCTGACAGAGACAAAAAACACACTACAAGGATTTCATAACGGAATAAAAAGTATTAATATCAGAATAGACCACGTAGAGGAATCTCAGAGCTTAAAGACTGTGTTTCTGAAATAAGACAGGCAGAGAAGAATAGAGAAAAAAAGAATGAAAAGAAATGAACAAAACCTCCAAGAAATATGGGATTATGTAGAGACTGAATCTACCACTGACTGGTATACCTGAAAGAGATGAGGAGAATGGAACCAATTTGGAAAACATATTTTAGGATATCATCCATGAGAATGTACCCAACCTAGCTAGACAGGCCAACCTTCAAATTCAGGAAATGCAGAGAACCCCAGTAAGATACTCCATGAGAAGAACATCCCCAAGACACATAATCATCAGATTATCCAAGGTCGAAACGAAGAAAAAATATTAAAGACAGTGAGAAAGAAAGGCCAGGTCACTTTCAAAGGGAAGACAATCAGACTAATAATGGACCTCTCAGCAGAAACCCTACAAGCCAGAAGAGATTGGGGGCCAATATTCAACATTCTTAAAGAAAAGAAATTCCAACCCAGAATTTCATATCCAGCCAAACTAAGCTTCAAGCAAAGGAGAAATAGATTCTTTCAGACAAGCAAATGCTAAGGGAATTCATTACCACCAGACCTGCCTTACAAGACTCCTGAAGGACACACTACATATGGCAAAGAAGGACTATTACCAGCCACTACAGAAACACACTGAAGTACACAGACCAGTGACACTATACGGGAACTACATAAACATGTCTGCAAAATAATCAGCTAACATCATGATGACAGGATCAGATCCTCACATATCAATACTAACCTTAAATGCAAATGGGCTAAATGCCCCAATTAAAAGACACAGAATGGCAAGCTGGAGAAAGAGTCAAAATTCATCGATGTGCTATATTCAAGAGACCTACCTCACATGGAGAGACACACATAGACTCAAAATAAAAGGATGGAGGAAAAAAAAAAAGCAGAGGTTGCAATCTCAATTTCTGCCAAAACAGACTTTAAAACAACAAAGATTAAAAAAGACAAAGGGCATTACATAATGGTAAAGGGTTCAATTCAACAAGATCTAACTATTCTAAATATATATATACCCAACACAGGAACACCCAGATTCATAAAGCAAGTTCTTAGAGACCCTAATAGAAACTTAAGACTCCCACACAATAATAGTGGGAGACTTTAACACCCCACTGACAATATTAGATCATTGAGACAGAAAATTAACAAAGATACTCAGGACCTGAACTCAGCACTGGATCAAATATATACACAACACTGGATCACAGAATATACATTCTTCTCATTGCCACAAAACATGTACTCTTAAAATTGATCATATAATCGGAAGTAAAACACTCTTCAGCAAAAGCAAAAGAACTGAAATAGTAACAAACAGTCTCTTGGACCACAGCACAATCAAATTAGAACTCAAGACTAAGAAATTCACTCAAAACCATACAATTGCATGGAAATTGAATAACCTGCTCCTGAATTACTTTGGAGTAAATAATGAAATTAAGTCAGAAATCAAGAAGTTACTTGAAACTAATGACAGCAAAGATACAATGTACCAGAATCTCAAATAATGAAATTAAGGCAGAAATCAAGTTCTTTGAAACTAATGAAAGCAAAGATACAATGTAACAGAGTCTCCAGGACACTGCTAAGGCAGTGTTAAGAGGGAAATTTATAGCACTAAATGCCCATATCAAAAAGTTAGAAAGATCTCAGGTTAACAACTTAACATCACAACTAAAAGAACTGGAGAACCAAGAGGGAACAAATCCCAAAGCTAGAAGACAAGAAATAACAAAAATCAGAGCTGAACTAAAGGAGATCGTGACATGAAAAACCATTGAAAAGATCAATGAATCCAGGAGCTTGCTTTTGAAAAAAATAATAAAATATATAGACAACTAGCTAAACTAATAAAGAAGATTCAAACAAACACAATCAGAAATGATAAGGAGGGCACTACCACTGACCTCACAGAAATACAAACAACCATCAGAGAATATTATAAACACCTCTATGCTTATAAACTAAAAAATCTAGAAGAAATTGATAAATTCCTGGACCCATACACCCTCCGAAGACTGAACCAGGAAGAAACTGAATCCCTGAACAAACCAATAACGAGTTCTGAAATTGTACAAAGAAGAGCTGCGACCATTCCTACGGGAACTATTCCAAAAAATTGAAAAGGTCAAACAAACACAATCAGAAATGATAAGGGGGACATTACCGCTGACCTCACAGAAATACAAACAACCATCAGCGAATATTATAAACACCTTTATGCTTATAAACTAGAAAATCTAGAAAAAATTGATAAATTTCTGGACACATACACCCTCCAAAGACTGAACTAGGAAGAAACTGAATTCCTGAACAGACCAATAATGAGTTCTGAAATTGTACAAAGAAGAGCTGCTACCATTCCTACTGGAAATATTCCAAAAAACTGAAAAGGAGAGACTCCTCCCTAATTCATTCTATGAGGCCAGCATCATTCTGCTACCAAAACCCAGCAGAAATACAACAGAAAAGGAATTCAGGCCAGTATCCCTGATGAACATTGATGCAAAAATCCTCAACAAAATATTGGCAAACCAAATCCAGCAGCACATCAGAAAGCTTATCTGCCACCATCAAGTGGTCTTCATCCCCGGGATGCAAGGTTGGTTCAACATACACAAATCAGTAAGTGTAATTTATCACATAAACAGAACTAAACACAAACTAAAGACAAAAACCACAATTAACTCAATAGATGCAGAAAAGGCTTTCAATAAAATTCAACATCCATTCATGTTTAAAACTCTCCATAAACTAGGTATTGAAGGAACATACCTCAAAATAATAATAAAAGTGATATATGACAAACCCACAGCCAACATCATACTGAATGAGCAAAAGATGGAAGCATTCCCCTTGAAAACTGGCACAAGACAAGGATGCCCTGTCTGGCTACTCCTATTCAACATAGTATTCAAAGTTCCGGCCAGGGCAATTAGACAACCGAAAGAAATAAAGTGCATTCAAATAGGAAAAGAGGAAGTCAAACTATCCCTGTTTTTAGATGACAGGATCCTATATCTAGAAAACCCCATTGTTTCAGCCCCAAAGCTTCTCAAGCTGACAAATAACTTCAGCAAACCTCAGAATACAAAATCAATATGCAAAAATCACTAGCCTAAAATCAAATTCCTATATACCAACAAGGGTCAGGCCAAGAGCCAAATCACAAATGAACTCCCATGCACAATTGCCATAAAAATAATAAAATAGCTAAAAATACAGCTAACTAGGGAGGTGAAAGATCTCTACAAGGAGAACAACAAACCACTGCTTAAAAAAATCAGAGATGACACAAATTGAAAAACATTCCATGCTCATAGATAGGAAGAATCAATATTGTGAAAATGGCCATACTGCCCAAAGCAATTTATAGATTCAATGCTATTTCTATTAAACTACCATTGACATTCTTCACAGAACTAGAAGAAACTATTTTAAAATTCACATGGAACCAAAAAAGAGCCTGAATAGCCAAGGCAATCCTAAGCAAAAAGAACAAAGCTGGAGGCATCATGCTACCCAACTTCAAACTATACTACAGGGCTACAGTAACCAAAACAGCATGGTACTGGTATAAGAACAGACACATAGACCAATGGAACATAATAGAGAACCCAGAAATAAGACCACACACCTACAACTATCCAATCTTTGACAAATCTGACAAAAATAAGCAATGGGGAAAGGATTCCCTATTCATAAATAGCATAAATAAATGGTGCTGTGATAACTGGCTAACCATATGCAGAAGATTGAAACTGGACCCCTTCCTTACACAATATACAAAAATTAACTCAAGATGGGTTAAAGGCTTAAATGTAAAACAAAAAAATATAAAAACCCTGGAAGACAACCTATCATTCAGGGCATAGGCATGGGCAAAGATTTCATAATGAAGACACCAAAATAACTGCAACAAAAGCAAAAGTTGACAAGTGGGATCTAATTAAACTAAAGAGCTTCTGTACAGCAAAAGAAACTACCAGCAGAATAAACAGACAACCTACAGAATGGGAGAAAATTTTTGCAACCTATGCATCTGACAAATGTCTAATATCCAGCATCTATAAGGAACTTAAATTTACAAGAAAAGAAACAAACCACTCCATTAAAAAGTGGGCAAAGAACATGAACAGACAAATTTCAAAAGAAGACATACATGCCGCCAATAATGTAATGAAAAAAAGCTCAACATCACTGATCATTAGAGAAATGTAAATCAAAACCACAATGAGATACCATCTCACACCAGTCAGAATGGCTATTATTAAAAAGTAAAAAAAAATAGGTGCTGGTGAGTTTGTGGAAAAAAAGAAATGTTATATATTATTGGTAGGGGTGTAAATTAGTTCAGCCACCATGGAAAACAGTATGGCGATTCCTCAAATACCTAAAGATAGAAATACCATTCGACCCAGCAATCCCATTACTGGGTATATACCCAAAGGAATATAAATAATTCTACAAAAAAGACACATGCATGCATATGTTTATCACAGCACTATTCACAGTAGCAAAGACATGGAATCAAACTAAATGCCCATCAATGACAGACTGGATAAACAAAAAGTGGTACATACACACCATGGAATACTATGCAGCCATAAGAAAGAACAAGATCATGTCCTTTGTGGGGACATGGTTGGAGCTGGAGGCCATTATCCTTAGCAAACTAACACAGGAACAGAATACCAAACGCCACATGTTGTCACTTTTAAGTGGGAGCTAAATGATGAGAACATATGGACACACAGAGGGAAACAACACACACTGGGTCCTTTTGGAGGGTGGAGGGTAGAAGTAGAGAGAGGATCAGGAGAAACAACTAATGGGTACTAGGCTTAATTCCTGGATGGTGAAATAATCTGTACAACAAACCCCACGACACAAGTTTACTGATGTAACAAACTTGCACTTGTACCCCTAAAGTTAAAATAAATTTTTAAAAGATTAATTTTTTTTTAAAAAAGAAACAAATATTGGCTCCCTGACAGCCACTCTGATTATTCATGGGTAATCTAACTCACCTCTCCCATGTCTCTCCCTTGCTTTCCTCCTATTCCTCTGACTTAAAAGAGACCACACTAGTTCAGATCTGAGGATAGAGAGTACATGACTTGAAACCAAAGTAATGAGAGAGGACAGGATGGGAATAATACAAAAGATGTTTAGGAAGCAAGCAAAGATGTTTAATCTACCTGGGCTAGAGGAATTAGCCCTAGCTCCTTATCAGAAGCAGCTAGCAAGCTTTTAAAAATTACTAATTCCCTAGGGCTTACCCAAAGTCAAGTAAGTCAGAATCTTGAGATAGGAGAGTCATTTGAATTTTCTAAAAGCTCCCCCAAAAGATGTTGAGATAGAGTGAGTGCTGAAATCAGTTGTAGAGGATGAATCTAACTTCCAAATAATAATGCTTCATGTATTACGTTGGTGCAAAAGTAATTGCAGTTTTTGCCATTGAAAGGAATGGCTCTGGACACAAGTAAATCATTTTCCAAACTACTCATCATCATTACATTTTTTTTTTTACTATTTTTAATCAAAGTAACCCATGAAAATTATGTTTAAACTCAAAGTGTACTACTACGTTTAAAATGAGAAACAGCAGGCCAGGTGCAGGGGCTCACACCTGTAATCCCAGCACTTTGGGAGGCCGAGGTGGGAGGACTGGCTGGCCCAGGGGTTTGAGACCAGCCTGGACAACATGGTGAAACCCTGTCTCTACAAAAATTTTAAAAATTAGCCGGGTGTGGTGAATTGCACTTGTGGTTCCAGCTACTTTGGAGGCTGTGATGGGGGTATTGCTTGAGCCTGGGAAGTCAAGGCTGCTGTGAGCTATAATCACACCACTGCACTCCAGCCTGGGCAACAGAGCAAGACCCTATCTCAAAAAAAAAAAAGAAAAGAAAAGAAAAGAAAGAGAAACAGCAATACCCTGCCTCACCTCTCCAGTCACTCCCAAAGGCAAACTACTTAAAATTTTAGCAATTTCTTCTGACATTTAATTGCATATTCTTAAATGTTTAAACTGCCGTCTTGATTTATTAATTTTAGACATTATTGATATAATTATGGCTGTCCTATTGTACACTAACTTATTTTTTTCCATCTCATAATACTGTACAGTTATGCCAATGTTTTTTCCCAGCCTACATTGCAGTCAGTTATGGCCAGGGTCAACATTTTGTCTGTGTCTTTTGGTACAGCTATACCAATCGTTATTAAAATACTTCCAGGGACAGTTCCAAGATGACTGAATAGGAACAGCTCCAGTCTACAGCTCCCAGTGTGAGCGACGCAGAATATGGATGATTTCTGCATTTCCAACTGAGGTACCGGGTTCATCTCACTGGGGATTGTTGGACAGTGGGTGCAGGTCAGTGGGTGCAGTGCACCGTGCACCAAGTGTGAGCTGAAGCAGGGAGAGGCATCGCCTCACCCAGGAAGCACAAGGGGTCAGGGAATTCCCTTCCCTAGCCAAGGAAAGGGGTGACAGACGGCACCTGGAAAATTGGGTCACTCCCACCCTAATACTGCACTTTTCCGACGGTCTTAGCAAATGGCGCACCAGGAGATTATATCCTGCACCTGGCTTGGAGGGTCCTACGCCTATGGAGCCTCGCTCATTGCTAGCACAGCAGTCTGAGATTGAACTGCAAGGCAGCAGTGAGGCTGGGGGACGGGCGCCCACCATTGCTGAGGCTTGAGTAGGTAAACAAAGCGGCCAGGAAGCTCGAACTGGGTGGAGCCCACCGCAGCTCAAGGAGGCCTGTCTGCCTCTGTAGACTCCACCTCCGGGGGCAAGGCATAGCCAAACAAAAGGCAGCAGAAACCTCTGCAGACTTAAATGTCTCTGTCTGACAGCTTGGAAGACAGTAGTGGTTCTCCCAGCATGCAGCTTCAGATCTGAAAATGGACAGACTGCCTCCTCAAGTGGGTCCCTGACCCCCGAGTAGCCTAACTGGAAGGCATCCCCCAGTAGGGGCAGAGTGACGCCTCACACAGCCGGGTACCCCTCTGAGACAAAACTTCCAGAGGAACGATCAGGCAGCAACATTTGCTGTTCACCAATATTCGCTGTTCTGCAGCCTCTGCTGCTGATACCCAGGCAAACAGGGTCTGAAGTGGACCTCCAGCAAACTCCAACAGACCTGCAGCTGAGGGTCCTGACTGTTAGAAGGAAAACTAACAAACAGAAAGGACATCCACACCAAAACCCCATCTGTACGTCACCATCATCAAAGACCAAAGGTAGATAAAACCACAAAGATGGGGAAAAAACAGAGCAGAAAAACTGAAAATTCTAAAAATCAGGGCGCCTCTCCTCCTCCAAAGGAACACAGCTCCTCATCAGCAACGGAACAAAGCTGGACGGAGAAAGACTTTGATGAGTTGAGAGAAGAAGGCTTCAGACGATCAAACTTCTCCAAGCTAAAGGAGGAAGTTCAAACCTATGGCAAAGAAGTTAAAAACCTTGAGAAAAGATTAGATGAATGGCTAACTAGAATAACCAATGCAGAGAAGTCCTTAAAGGACCTGGTGGAGCTGAAAACCATGGCACAAGAACTACGTGACGAATGCACAAGCTTCAGTAGCTGATTCGATCAACTGGAAGAAAGGGTATCAGTGATGGAAGATCAAATGAATGAAATGAAGCGAGAAGTTTAGAGAAAAAAGAATGAAAAGAAATGAACAAGGCCTCCAAGAAATATGGGACTATGTGAAAATACCAAATCTATGTCTGATTGGTGTACCTGAAAGTGATAGGGAGAATGGAACCAAGTTGGAAAACACTCTGCAGGATATTATCCAGGAGAACGTCCCCAATCTAGCAAGGCAGGCCAACATTCAAATTCAGGAAATACAGAGAATGCCACAAAGATACTCCTTGAGAAGAGCAACTCCAAGACACATAATTGTCAGATTCACCAAACTTGAAATGAAGGAAAAAATGTTAAGGGCAGTCAGAGAGAAAGGTTGGGTTACCCACAAAGGGAAGCCCATCAGACTAACAGCTGATCTCTCGGCAGAAACTCTACAAGCCAGAAGAGAGTGGGGGCCAATATTCAACATTCTTAAAGAAAAGAATTTTCAACCCAGAATTTCATATCCAGCCAAACTAAGCTTCCTAAGTGAAGGAGAAATAAAACACTTTACAGACAAGCAAATGCCGAGAGATTTTTTCACCACCAGGCCTGCCCTACAAGAGCTCCTGAAGGAAGCACTAAACATGGAAAGGAACAACCGGTACCAGCCACTGCAAAAACATGCCAAATTGTAAAGACCGTGGAGGCTAGGAAGAAACTGCATCAACTAACGAGCAAAATAACCAGCTAACATCATAATGACAGGATCAAATTCACACATAACAATATTAACCTTAAATGTAAATGGGCTAAATGCTCCAATTAAAAGACACAGACTGGCAAACTGGATAAAGAGTCAAGACCCATCAGTGTGCTGTATTCAGGAAACCCATCTCACGTGCAGAGACACACATAGGCTCAAAATAAAGGGATGGAGGAAGATCTACCAAGCAAATGGAAAACAAAAAAAGGCAGGGGTTGCAATCCTAGTCTCTGATATTTTTATTTTCTTTTCCTTGCATTTCTGCTTTCTGTGATTTTTTTATTGTTGTTCATTTGTTTTGGGTTTTGCCTTTTTTATTGAAGGCCTTCTTCCAATGTCTCCTATTCATTTACATTTAAGAACAAAGCATCAAAAAGCTGACTGCAAGTTCCATGTTCACAGGGGTAGGGGGAAGAGGGAGGAAGGTTATAGGGTTGTTGAATGATGGGTTCACTGTAGAAAAAATGGGTGGTAAGTCATTTTTTTCATTGTCGGACCTCAAATGTCAGTTTCTGTAAGTCCTTCTAAGGCTGCTCATTTTACCCAGAGAAGAGTCCTCCAGTCCTGACTGAATTACCTATCCTAGGTTTGGGCTTGGGGAGGAGTATGGAGTCTCACTGTTTTGTGAGCCGAATTTCATTAAATTCCTTTTTCAGTCGATCATTGTACCTTTCTCTTCTGTTTTGTCTGGCATCCCTACATCCAGAACCTCTATTTTACTTTAATTTATTCAGAAAAAACATGTCCAGTCTCTGTTAAAGACTTCATCTTGTGGTATGGCATAGAAGAAGTGAAGTGAGGATCTAGTTCCCTTACAGATTTTCCACCTATCCCTCATTTTCAGGCTTATGCCCCACTCCAAAGCCTCTAATTCCAGAAACTTTCTGGAATTCTTAGGGATACAGTGACTGTTTCTTCCCAGCATCTCCTCTCAACCTCAGTTAAAGGCACTTAGGTATCAACTTCCTCTGTTATACTAAGGCAGTTGCCACAGGTCTATTTGCTTTTCATCTTCCAAAAATTTGCTGATGCCTCTTCTCTACTGTTGCCTCTTCTCATATTTACCATGCCTGTAATGGTGTTGCAGGAGAGACTGACAGTAAACACATGCGTTCCATCCACCAAATTCTAATCTGAAGTCCCATGAACTAAATCTCAAAACCAGAGATTGCCACCAAAGATGAATCCTTATCAATTTCTTTTAACAGCCATAATTTTTCTGTATTTTACAGACATGCCTGATTAGATAAGATACTTTCCCAATTAATGTTTATTATCCTTTATTTTTTGATCATAAAAAAATTCAAGAGAATCCTTCTAGATGCCACAAGACTTTTAATCTATTTTTAATCTATTAATTCATTAACTTAGTCTTAAAGCATGATAGGATTTATTACAGTAGATTATAATCAAACAAATAAAAATACAGTTTTTTGTTTTTTGAGACAGTCTCATTCTGTTGCCCATGCTGGAGTACAATGGTGTGATTTCAGCTCACTACAATCTCCACCTCCTGGGTTCAAGTGATTCTCGTGCCTCAGCCTCCCCAGTGGCTGGGATTACAGGCATGCACCGCCACACCTGTCTAATTTATGTATTTTTAGTAAAGATGGGGTTTCACCATGTTGGCCAGGCTGGTCTCCAACTCCTGGCCTCAAGTGATCCACCCACCTTAGCTTCCCAAAGTGATGGGATTACAGGCATGAGCCACTGTGCCCAGCCTAAAAATACAGACTTTTTTTTAATGCAATGAAGCTTTTTCACTGAATCCTTCATGCCACTTCATATCCAACCTACAGTGGCCCAAGTTGTAGCCCAATTACAGTTAAGTAGTAACTTGGGCCACTGTAGGTTAGATATGAAGTGGCATGAAGGATTCAGTGAAAAATCTTCATTGCATTAAAAAAATGCAGTGGCCCAAAGGTATTTACCTTGATAACTATCAAGCATTTTCCAAGAAGATCTTTGCTGCCCAAAATCATCATCAATACTGGAGTCTTAGCTGTTTTACTTCTAAAGACAGGCAAAGGAAGGAAATCAGAACTTTTAACAAATAATCAAGCATGAGGACTTTTCTGACATATGAGTATCACAATTTTTTTTACTTCCATCCAAAGGACACAAATCTGAAGATCCTTAGCCTGAAGAATTTAATCTTTAAGGCTGAAAACCTAGCACTTGTCCTAAATACTAAATTCACAGTTTAAGAAATAAGAAATAAATTACCAGAATAACTACTGAATAAAACACTAATATTATACTTTTGATCTTGCTCCACTTGAAAAAAGCGCATATTTTGGACTTGCCAAAACTTATAATTGCCTCCTGCTACTACTCATGGCTTCTGTGGGAAAAAAAAAAAAAAAAAGCCAACTCCCTCTAGCAGAAGAATAAAAGATTCCCATGGAAGGAAAAACAAATTAAATTGGTCTATTTCTTGAGCTGGGTGGTAGTTACATGGATGTTCACTTTTTAAAATTCATTTAACTGTGTATTTACATTTCAAAACTTTTCTGTATATGTGTTATATTTTACAATACAAAAACTTTTTTTAAGGTTAAAAGAGAAATAAAAAGGCAGAAATTTCATTTGTCATGAAACACACTGCCTTAATCTCACTTGGCCAGAATTATTACACACTATCACAGGGATAACAAGAGAAAAGTTGTCATAATTTACTTCAAGGGCCTAAACCAATCCCCCACCAAATTTCAATAGTCATCTTTGTTGTTTTATTCAAAACACTTTAAAAATTAAGCTCTTAAATATCACAGTGTGTGTTGCATCCCATATGGTAATAGTGATAACTTACCTTTGCATAACACTATTTACTTGCAAAGAGTTTTCACATTGAATACCTAGGAGATAGACCAGATGTAATTTTTTTCCTACACTACAGATGAGGAAACTTAGGCACTTATTATTGATTAGTAAGATCACAAATAGTGACAGAATCAGGACTAATTCCAATTTCCATACATCTAATTAAGGGTTCCTTTAACATTTTATGAGGACAAAGAACTTTCTACTTTTCAAAGTTCTGAGTTCAAAAACAGGATCTCAAAGCTAGTAGTCCCTGTCATGGCATTTGTGAGTTTCCTGACATTCCCAGTGAGGAAGGAGAGATCCACTAAATATAGCTGTGAAAGCAATAAACTAAGGACCTATGCGCAAACCTTTCTCAGTCATTTAATTCACTTCTAGTTGATATAACAATGTGTCTGCGGCCACAAAGGTTAGTTTAACTTGGGGGCAAACACAAAAGTTATGAGTACTCAATAACCTATGTTCAAGGGTAACCAACACCTTTTTGCCATTGAGGAAGTGTTTAAAGGAGAGAGATGACCCATCCATTCCTGGCTTCTTATATGACACCATACTATTCCACACAGATGTGGAGTCATTTATTTGGTTGGTGTATGACAGTCATGGGTCTACTTCACAGTATGGTGAGGAAGTGTTCTAAGATTTTTTTGAGTGGATACTTTAATTACTTCTTCTGCCCTAGAGGGCATTTTTTTTTTCTCTGAAGGGGAGTTTCATTCTGTGGCACAGGCTGGAGTGCAGTGGCACAATCCCAGCTTACTACAACCTCCGCCTCCTGGGTTCAAATGATTCTTCTGCTTCACCCTCCGGTGTAGCTGAGATTACAGGCACATGCCACCACGCCCAGCTAATTTCTGTATTTTTAATAGGGTTTCATCACGTTGGCCAGGCTGGTTTCAAACTCCTGACCTCAAGTGATCTGCCCACCTCCTCCTCCCAAAGTGCTGGGATTACAGGCATGAGCCACCGCGCCTGGCCCTAGAGGGCAATATTAACTGAGATTCAGAGATCCCAGTTATTTCGAGAGCTAGCTCTGCCACACGTCTGTAATCCTGGGCAAATCACATATATCTAAAAATGTTTAAAGGATTTTAAAGCTTCCTCATCTTTAAAATAAAGGAACAACTTCCTTATCTTTAAGGTACTTTCCATCTCTATGGAATAAATGCTCAGAAAAGCTTTAGGAGGTGTATTCCATAGTTTTAAAGACAGACACTGACACTGATACAAAATCATTTTGATATTTTGGCCTCATAGTTCCCGAAGACCAATGATCTTCTACCTCCATTGGCCTGTGTCACTCAACATCCCCAAGCTCAGCCACACTTTGAATTTTTGTCATTACTCAGAACTGATCCCTCCACAATAACCCTGAAAGTTCCTCATGCCCTTCACCACTACCCTCAGAACCTCCCTCCACATTCGTTTTTCCCTTTCCTTCACTCTTGCTGAATCAGCCATTACACACTCTAATCTCATATTCCCTGCTATTCTCCCAGCCCATCGACACTCTAGTGTCACTTGCCTTCCTACTCAACCAAGGGCCCATATGGAGTTGGCAGTTTCAGTGATACTCACAGCATCTCTACTTCCAATTTTCTGAGCATTGCTGGAGAAAGTCATGAAATACAGGAGTGATTCATCCTATCACTAGGCTAAGGCCTTCTAGCAACTTGTCAAGCCCTCATCACCTTTGGCTCCCCACTGCGCAAACCCAAAGTTTACCAAACCTTTTCAACTCTCCTCCACTTCAGCTTTACACTTTACTCTCCACTTACTTTTGGCAAATCAATATAAAAAAACCAACCCATTTCAAATGCAGCCACCTCCCAGCCATCAACTTTCCTCTTCAGAACTCAAAATTTCCTTTTGTTTTCATCTAACTTCTTTCTTCCTCCATGCCACATCTGTATTTTGTATTCTTCTACATTCTAGGGATTTGGACAAATGTATAATACCATGTATGCACTGTTATATCACAGAGTAGTTTCACTGCCCTAAAAATCGTCTGTGCTATACCTGTTCATCCCTCCTCCATTCTAACCCTTGGCAACCACTGATCTTTTTACTCTATGGTTTTGCTTGCCCAGAATGTTGTGTAGTTGGAATCACACAGTATGAAGCTTTTTCAGATTGGCTTCTTTGACTTAGGAATATGCATTTAAGCTTCCTCCATGTCTTTTCATGGCTTGATAGCTATTTATTTTTAGCACTAATATTCCATTACCTGGATGTACCACAGTTTATCCTGAATGACATCTTGGTTGCTTCCAAGTTTTGGCAATTATGAAGAAAGCTACTATAAACATCAGTGTGCAGGTTTCTGTGTGGCCACAAGTTTTCAACTCCTTTGGGTAAATACCAAAGGACACAACTGCTGGATTGTGCAGTAAGAGTATGTTTCGTTTTGTAAGAAACCACCAAGCTGTCTTCCAAAGTAGCTGTACTGTTTGACATTCCCACTAGTAATAAATGAGAGTTCCTGTTGCTCCACCTCCTTGTCAGCATTTGCTGTTGTCAGTGTTCTGAATTTTGGCCATTTCAATTGTGTATAGTGGTATATCATGGTTGTTTTGATTTGCATTTTCCTGATGACATATGATGTGCAGTATCTTTTCATATGCTTATTTGCCATCTGTGTATCTTCTCTGGTGAGGTGTCTGTTAAGGTCTTTGGTCCATTTTGTAAATGGGTTGCATATTCAGTTTTAAGAGTTCCTTGTATATTTTAGATAACAGACTATTATTTGATATATCTTTTGCAAATATTTTCTCCCAGTCTGTGGCTCATCTTTTTATTCTCTTGACAATGTCTTCTGCAGAGCAGAAATTTTTAAATTTTTATGAAGTCCAGCTTATCAATTCTTTCATGGCTGTGCCTATGATGTCATATCTAAAAAGTCATCACCAAACCCAAGGTCATCCAGATTTTCTCCTATGTTATCTTCTAGGAGTTTTACAGTTTTACATTCAGGTCTGTGATCCATTTTGAATTAATTTTTGGGACACGGGTGAAGTCTGTGTCTAGATTAACTTTTTTCTTTTTTTGCATATGGATGTCCAGTTGTTTCAGCCTCACCCATTTGCTGAAAAGACTATCCTTTCTCCACTGTATTACCTTTGCTTCTTTGTCAAAGATCACTTGACTGTATTTATTGGGGTCTATTTATGGGCTCTCTATTCTGTCCCATGATCCATTTGTTTAATTTTTTGCCAATACCACTGTCTTGATTACTATAGGTTTATAGCAAGCCTTGAAGGTAGGTAGTGTCAGTCCTCCAACTTTGTTCTTCTCCTTCAGTATTGTGCTATTTTAGGTCTTTTGCCTCTGCATATAAACTTTAGAGTCAGTTTGCCAATATCTACAAAATAACTTGCTGGGATTTTGATTGACATTACATTAAATATATGAATACAGTTGGGAAGTCCTGACAATATTGAGTCTTCCTACCTATGAAGATGGACTATATCTCCATTTACTTAATTCTTCTTTGATTTCTTTTATCAAAATTTGATAGTTTTCCTCACATAGATTTTATACATATTTTGTTAGATGTATATCTAAGTATTTTGTTTTGTCTGAGGTGCTAATGTAAATGAGATTGTTTTTAATTTCAAATTCCACTTGTTAATTCCTGGTATATAGAAAAGTGATGAACTTTCATATACTAGCCTTGTCTCTTACAACCCTGCTGTAATTGCTTATTAGTTCCAGGAGGTTTTTTTGTTGTTGTTGAGTCTTTCAGTTTTCTACATAAACAATCATGTCATCTTCAAACAAAGGTTTATTTCTTCCTTTCCAACCAGGCTATCTTTTATTTCTTTATATTTTGCCATATTTTCCCACAAGTAACTTCTTTATTTGCATCATGATTAGGGTAATCAATTCAATTATTCAAAAATAGGCTCTCTTTTAAGATTAAAATTGGGCATTATTATCCACTTTTATCCTGTATCCTGTATCCAGATATTATACCGTAAATAAACTGGTGTGAACTAGCACTGCCCTGGGCAATTGCATGTATGGTTACCCTATCCTATCTCTCCTGCTTGAGGAGAGCCTAGTGTATTAATTGCCCTCCTACGTCCTCCCTCGATCTTCATTCCTTTCCTCTGCACTTGCAACCACTCTACGCACAATGCACAAATGTTATCAAGCCTTCTTTTTTTTTTTTTTTTTTTTTTTTTTTTTCTGAGACGGAGTCTCACACTGTCGCCCAGGCTGGAGTCCAATGGTGCAATCTCAGCTCACTGCAACCTCCGCCTCCCAGATTCATGTGATTCTCCTGCCTCAGCAGCCCTAGTAGCTGAGATTACAGACACACACCACCACACTCGGCTAGTTTTTTGTATTTTTAGTAGAGACGGGGTTTCACTATGTTGGCCAGACTGGTCTGGAACTCTTGACCTCATGATCTGCCCACCTCGGCCTCCCAAAGTGCTGGGATTACAGGTGTGAGCCACCATGCCCTGCCGGTTTTGTTTTTAAGAAAGCTTCATTGACACTTTTCTTGCCTCAAGTCATTGCCTTCTCCCTATCCCTAGTCTCTGATTTTCACAGTCCAGTCACAATTTACATTTGCTTTCTCCATTTCCTTCCCAAGCCAGCATTCTTCAGGTAACTAGCGGACTTGTCCCCACTAATCCCCACTGCCCAACTGACTCTGTTCCTCAAAGGCTACTGACGATGGTCTCACTGACAAATCTAATGTCCTTTTCCCAGTCTTCAACTCAGCCCATCCTCTACCCTATCAGGATCCTTCGAAATCTCCTTCCTTATCTTTCTTTGCCCAATCTTTTCCTCATCCCCCTCCTGCTTCTTTCTTCTCAGCATCCTGTCTACCTCCTCCTATCTCCCTCAAGTCCACAAATACTGGCTTTTACAAGGCTCTATCCTAGCCTTTTATTCTGCTCACCACACTCTGAACTTTCTGACAGGTTCACCATCCCCCTCCATAAGGATGCCCCAAATCTTTCTGTATTTTTAATGGCTCTCATCCATCTAGATGGTCCATAGCCACATACAAGTTAACACATCCAAATCCAAACCAATAATCACCTCCATTAATTAGACAAATATTTATTGATTGCAGACTACTTGCAGGTGCTTTACTAGTGTCCCTTCCTATTTCAATCCTTGCCAACATCAACTTAAGTGACTGAGCTTCTGTCTTTGATTTCTTCCTCAACTCCTACATCCAATTGCCAACAAGTTCTGTTTTATTCACTTCTATAGTATCTTGCCCAACTCATCTGCCTCCACCCTAATTTAGGTTCTCATCATTTCTCTTCTGGAGAATATTTCAACAGCTTAAATGGACTACCTGTGGCTCCTGTGATGAAGATTAATCTCTTAAAGCATAGTCTTGATCACATCATTCCCCCATTTAAAATATTTCTGATACTTATCTACTGCCAACTAAACAGTCTCCTTAGCCCAGCATTCAAGATGCTGCACAATATAGTCCTAATTTCCCCTCCCCATGCAGCATTCTCTCCCATTATACTGCCTCCAGGCTCCTCAACCTCCAGTTTAACCACATTCTTCTCAAATCCTGGACATGCTCATATATCCTTACCTTCAAGTCTTAGCACAGGCTGGTCCCTACATTTTTGCCGATTGAAGTCGTCTCAATTTTTTAAGCCTTGCTCAAAATTCCCTAATTAAGTCTTACCTTTTTTCTGGCTAGAAATAGTCTTTTCCTCCTCTGAATTCACAAAGTATTTTCTTTATGCCTCTCTAACAGTTCTCCCATGTAAAACAGCCTTTAGTTATCTGTCTTATGTGCTCTACATGACTCTTAAGCCTCTTAAAGAAAGAGTATCTATGTCTAATTAACCAGTATTCTTCTTATATTGCTTTATATATATAGTAAGCTGGATGAGAGGTTGAAATATTCAAGTTAACTTCATATCCATCATATAGCATATAAAATAATGAAAATGTACTTATCATAAAAGTTAATTTAGACAAACTCTTAAGAAGGTCTAGAAACTAACCATTTTTGTAGTTTTTGTTGGATCAAGGATATATGAATTACCTTTAACTAAAATTGCAGGAGAACTGTATATTTCTTTATTGGTTTCTGAAACCATAGAGCTGGACGAGATCTTAGAAATCGGTCATTCCCCTCCCCCATCCTGACCACCTATTCTCCGATTGAAAAAACTGAAACTTCTGAGAGATTAAGCTGCTCCCATGGTCACACAAATCTGTAGTCATAACTATAGCAGTTACCATTTATTAAGAGCCTTTTATACACCACACACATTATATATATACATTATCTCAGTCTCACACAATCCTTCAAGGTAGATGGCATTATCCCCACTTTAGAGATGACAGAATGCTCCAAAAAGTTAAGTAACTTGCTGTGGAAAGCTCTACTTATTAGGGGCAGAGCTGTGTTTTAGCCCCAAATCTGACTGGCTGCAAAGTCTAGGCTTTTCTATTGGATGCTGTGACAGAGGCAACACCCATCAGATGTCCTGACTCCTGTCTCCTGTTTCTCCAGTAAATAATTATACCAAGTAAGCAAACATGCACACTTACAAGTTTTAAGACTTTAAAAAAAAACTGGAGGCATAAAAATTAAACAGTAGTTTCATTATTGTAAAAGTTCTAAGGTTAATTCTAGGTTATTTACTGCCAATATCTAATTCTGTTGTCAGAAAACTTCTTCAATGTGGAAAGGAGATATGTTTTCCTGCTTTTTCACTTCCTAAATATATTTTCAACTTAAAACCCATTTATCCAACTGCTTTCAATAAGCATTTGTTGAGCCCCTAGATGTTGCAGGCACATGGGAGGATACAAAGGTGAATAAGACATTATTTTTCCCTCTGAGAGTTCACAAGCAAAAGGCAGACAATCAACTAATGATAGAAACCATTCTTCTCCACCTATAGCAGCTCTGGCTAATTCAGGAACTTCCAACCACTTAAGCTCTTTATGAGAGTCAGGACTCTTGGTTCTGACTCTTGCCTTGTACCTTAGGCAAGTCATCTCACTATGCCTTAGTTTCTTTAGTGAAGGGATTGATTAAAAAGGAATGAACTGCGCCAAGTAATTTCAAGGTCTCTTTTAGCTTTAAAATTCTATTGTCTCTGAGCTTACTCTTGAGATTATGCTTCTGCAAGTGATCACAGCTACTATTATGGAAAGGGAACTGCTAGAAGCCCATTCTTCTTCAGCACTAACTTCAGAAGTACTGAGTCCTGAAAATATTGCTACAAGACTGGGGCTAATTAACATGCCTCCAAAGTTGATTTATAATATAAACTTTATCAAAGTTTATCCTCTAAAGGGATATTATTAAATATGACATACACATCCTTTTTACATTATATCACTGACTTATAGCTGTAATTCTTTAGAATCCATTTAAGATGTTTAAAATATAATTTTAAATAACTCCTTTTATGTACTCTTCTGTGGCATTACCGACATGAACAACAACAAATCAGAGTTAAGGCCTCTGCAGCATAAATCCTGTTTTCATTTGATTAAATTAATACTTCATATTGGATCACTTGAGCCTGGGAGGTTGAGGCTATGATTGCGCCACTGCACTCCAGCTTGGGCAACAGAGTGAGAGAGACCCTGCCTCAAACAAAAAACCTTCATACTAAGTGGTATTTATTATGAACCTTCCCAAACTGCAGCTAAACTTCAGGCTGTTTTCCAGGCAGTGGGGAGGGAAGATATGGAAATATTAGTATTCCAAATAAGTGGAAACATAGGACTGTGGGATTTGACTTTGCTGATTCCATTTCAATATCCTGCACCTTTTCTTCAACTAGCACAGATAATATTTTTAATCATCCAGAAGTTACATAGTAACATACTTTCTCTTGACAGAGCTCCACATGCTTTATCTTTTTTCATACTAAGTGTCTTAGGATATGATGCTCAAACCCTTGTTGTGCTGTAGGTTAACATCACAGAGCAGAAAATGAATCAAAAGAAAACCAGGAGGAAAAAGAAGAAAATTAGAACTGCACCAACTTGGTGACTTTCCCACAAAAAAAAAGCACTGAATTTCAACTGTCAAAAACAGTCCTACCAAGAAATCTGGAAAAGAGTTTATTCATTCACGATTCAACAAATACTAAGTGTTTCATATATGCCAGGCACTGTTCTAGGTGCTAGGGTTATAGCAGCGAACAAAACAGCCCAAATCCCTAGCATAGTGGAGCTTACATTCCAGTAAGAAGAGATCAGACTAAAAGAACTCCTAAACAAAGTAAGATCAGATAGCGATTAAGCGCAGTGAAGAAAATAAAATAGTATTATGGGGTGGCTCCTGGGGGAGGGGACAGGAGATAATGAAGGCGATCAAGAAGGCCTGGCTGAGTAGATGCCGTTTGAGGTGAGTCTTAAATGATGAGAAAACTTTATTCAGTCTTACTAATGTGAGGTGGGAATGAGTCAAGTTAATCTTTGAGAGTGATCACATTGGGAAAAATTCTGTATTCATGAATGGCAACCGAGGTTCCTTTTAGGATCTGGCTTTTTAAAAACCCTCAAAAAACTAGTCTTAAGGAGTCTTCTTTTAAGATCCACTTTTAAAATTTTTCTAATTACTTCAGAACCAGTTAGGTAGACGCAATTACTAGGAGGATTCCTTCAGAGTCTGATACCTCCCTCACTTGACACCAAATACTGAATGAGACAGGACCCAGCCCTGCAGCGAACCAGCGCTCCTCAACCGGTTAATGTAGCCAGGTGGAATTTTGTAACTCTTTCGAGAACGCAAAACAAGCCTTGGGGAATGTGTGGACCCTGACCCCCCAAAAGTTAGTGTGGAAGAGGGGACCCCGCTGCCCTTTTGCACTAAGTCTCCCCCGTCCCTCCGGGCGTCCCTGACCCCCCCACAAGTTATTGTGGAAGGGGGGGACCCCGCTGTCCTTTTGCACTAAGTCTTCCCCGCCCCTCCGGGCGTCATCACTGCAGAGGGGCCACTCTCCCTGGGTCAGAGGTACATAGCGAGTACGCGCGCGTGTGTGTACCCCGCATGAATCATCGGGGCCCGGTCCGCGGGGCGATGATTCATTCACCGCCCTGGAGCTCACGGCCACACGTTCCGGGTGTACTATGACGGCCGCACACGCAGCTTTCTTAATATTAAACAAATGTTTCAAAGTACAAACGCCTGGGGCCAGAAACCTGTAGACCCAGGAGAGGTGGCAGCGAAAAAATAGCACGTTTCGGCCGCTGCCCGAGTGTTGGCGGGGAGGGGATGGGAGCAGCGGGCACGTCCGTCCGTGCCCCCCCACCCCACCACCCCGGCACGCGCGCGGGCAGCGCCCGCAGGGGGCGCGGAGGGCGTACAGGTGGGTCCCGCCGGGTCCTGCCTCCTGCCCCTCCCTGCCACTCGCGGAAGGCCACCGCGCCCTCCCCAACGCGCCTCTCGCTCGCCCCTTTCCTCTCCGTGACATCTTATATAATAACCTGAGCTAATCAAAACGGAAGCGACGCGCGCAGCCGGGAGCAGATGCTCGCGCCCCGAGCCAGCGGCCCCCAAACTAGGCGCCGGGGCGCGCGGCTGCCGGCGGGGGAAGGGCCCGAGCGCCGACTCAGGTCGTCCCTCCTCGGCGGAGGCGCCGCTGCTGCCGGTCCCCATCAGGAAGCCGCGAGCGTCACAAACTGCGTCAGCTTCTTCGAACACATTTCATGGTCTCCCTCCAGCCAGGGAGCCGCTGCTCCCGCGGCGGGGCCGCGGCCAGGACTGGAAGGCGCCCCTCTGGGGAAGAGAAAGTTCCTCGGGGCCCTCCCCTTGCCCGCCCGGCGCCCGGCCCCGCCGTGCCTCCAGCCCCTTTCCGCGCGCCGCCAGCCCGGCCGCGCCGCCCACCGGCCCGCACCGAGGTCAGGTTAGGCAACTTGTGACCCCGGGGCGCCAGGCGGCCCCCTCCCGCCCGCCGGGCTCGCCTGGCTCCCGGGGCCTCCCCCCCGGCCCCGCGGAAAACAGCCACGCCAGAAACTTCCCTGGGCCGCGTCGGGCGGGGAAGCCGCCTGGGTCCCCGCGCATCGCCCTTACCTTGCTCTCGAGAGGCCACGATCCGGGCGGGCCGCGCGGGGCGCGTGGTGCGCGAGCGCGCGCGCGTGGGGCGGTAGGTGAGGGAGCCCGCGCCGGCGGGGGCGGGGCGGGGCAGCGGGGGTGCGAGCGGCGCGGGGCGGGGGCTGGGCCGGCCCGGCGGGCGGGCGCGAGGAGAGCAGAGCCCGCGGCGGCGGCGGCGGCGCTGGCGGCGGCGGGCGCGGGGCGAGCGCGCCGAGGGGGCGGAGGAGTTACCGTGGGTTTGTTTACGCATTGCTGCCCGGCTCGGGGCACAGCCCGCACTCCCTGATTGGACACAAACTGGGGCACAGCCTCTCGCCGCCGCCCGCCAGGCCTCCTCGAGCCGCCGCCGCGCAGCTCCCGGAGCGTCCTGCCGGGCACGGCCCACGGCGGTGCCCAGGCCTGGAGGGGACGAGCCGCGGCGGCTGCCCCGGGCGGGCGTGAAGCCAAGCTTTCGCTCGGGGCTCGCAGTCTCCCACCTGTAGTGGCCCGACCTTGGCAAGGAGAAATTCGAAACTTCTCAGGCCGGAGACTTCGAATCGTACAGCCTCTGAGGGGGCACCTTCTCCCCCCACAGACGGAGGAAGCGTGCCCTTGAATAGATGGAAGGCAGCTCGAATGTCAGTATGCCTCCCTGGCGATGGTCAAGTCCAGGCTTCCCGTATAAGCTGCCCTCCACCCGAGAGCTCGCAGTTTCTTTTCCTGCCTCCAGCTTCTTTGCTTCTAATCGCAAAGTCCCCCCACCCCACCCCACCCCCGCCACCCCACCAGAAGTGACCTTGCCGCCCTGATGCTGAAGATCCTCCAGTGACTCACCATGGCCTCGAGCCTTAATGCCTCATTCTCAGAGTCCTCAATAGCTGGGCCTCCATTTTTCAGTCTCCCCTCCACTTCCCTACCCTCACCCCAAAGCCTCCGTTTACAGACAACACCTGAAATGTGTCTGTCCTTTGACACTTTATTTTGATCCTTCTCTGTTCTCTGCCAGAATACCCCTTAGCCGCCTCCACCTGTCAAACTTTGTTGGACTCAGCTCCTGTAGCCGTCTCCTACCATCTCTGTGCAGTCTTCCTGCTCCCCCAAGCAGAATCCCCCCTTGTGGCTGGCATCATTCTGACCTGGGGGTCAGTTGTGTGCATGTGCTGTACCCTCTCTGATCTGTGGATTCCTTAAAGAGGAGTCTGCTTTTAACAGAGCTCTGGTGATGGGAGAAATGAAAGCTGTAAGACTAATATTGCCTCCGAGTGTCTGCAGCTCTGGTGAGACTGGAAAAGTTCAGGAGTCTTTATCAAGAGGCTCTCCTGATAGGTCCGCAAACCTCATCTTGCAGGAAGCAAACACTTCCAAAAACTGAGCATGCCCTCCATTTTTCCTGCGTCTCTATATCTCCTCCCCACCACACCTAGCTATGTGCCCTCCATACTCATAATGGGCACTTAAGTAACCCTTGAGGAATAAAATTGAATTCTACAGAGATGTTCCTTAAGCCAAGGCTGGCGGTGATCAAAGAGAATAGAGTAAATCATGAAAAAGTAGACATGAACCCAGTCATTTTACAGCTAATTCCTAGGCTAAGAGCCTTCCGGCCCTGTTAGGTAGTGTGGGTTTGTCGCTGTCTGATCACACACTGAAGTAGACCCTGACCCTTCTTGACTCCTGGGACTGCTAGATTTTTTTCTCCGATGCGCTGCTTGCAGTCCCATTAGGAAAAGTGTCTTTGAACTCTGCAAGTGAATCCAGCGAAAGTATTCTTTCCCAAGCGAGTCAATAGCAATAATTTAATGCAGCAAATTAGTTACAAGTGTTGAAAGAACTGGACGTTCAACTAGGGTAAGGTGAGGCAATCCTGAGATTAGCAACTGCTGGACGTGCCTTCTCCCCTGAGGCTGGAGGGGCAAAGAGAGGAGACAGCCGGAACCCTGGAGGGCTTGTCCAATAGGAGTTGGAGCCACAAAGTTAGTGCAACTACTGCGGCAGACATCTTCCAAAGTAGGGGATGAGAGTCCCCCTGGCTTCTCCCTGCCTCCCACCCTCCAAGCCCACCCAGTGGTGGAAAGCAGGAGAAGCCAGTGGACAAGATGACAGAGGGCAGGGCTCAGAATCCCTACAGAATATGTGACAGCCGCAAAAGGAGAATGGGTCTGAGAGCCCAGCGGCAAATGACTGGCACCTGGGCTTGGGTGCTGCACCTGGTTGCCTCTTCCTTTAGGCCGGATTCCGCAGTGCAGCAGGAACTTTCTCTTCCCGAGGCCTAGAATTCTCTCCTTCTTACTTGTCCCTCTTTGCCCTTCTGCTTCCATTACCGTTCTATCCTCTTCTTCGCCGTCACTCCCTTACATTTCTTTTTTCTGTCTCGTCTTGTGTACTCTGGCTCTCGTTTTTTCTTTGTGTTCCCATATATCTCCGCCTGACTTCTTTTCCCCCCCAGAGTCTCTTCTCCCCTCTTCTTGTCCTACTCCTCCCTGGGCAGGATGGCAGCTTTCTTCAGCATGAAGGAGATGACCAGTTGCCTATGGAAGGAAGAGATTAGGAATTATCCTGTTGCTGCCCTTCCAGACAGTGTAGTAGATATTTTACAAACGTTCTCATTTAATCTTCATCTCACTCCTACTAGCTGGGCAACATTTAATATAATCTGGTGACTTTGCTATTGCCTGTCACAAGGAAGGCTTTGTGCCCGTCACCAACAACACTGCTGACGGTTCTCTTACCTTTCCTGTACGTGGTTCCCTGCAACCTTTCTTCTTATCCTACATCTTTTCCTTTCATTAGCACAGATACTTCGCCCAAATCCCAACGCCCAACAGTCTAATACATCCGCACTTTAAATCCCCAAAGACTGAGAATGGCTATTTAGAGGAGGTGCATTTCAGCTGGCACTTGAAGGATGGATAGATTTTCAACAGATGGAAATGGAGGAAGGGTATTCTTGGTGGAAGAGTAAATTATGTGGTTTACGTTGACTGAAACAAGGGATAACTAAGAAATGAAGCCATATTTCAGAAACTTGTCTTCAGCTCTCAGTTCTCTGAGACTATTCCGAAACACAGATTAACCATGAGCGTATTAAATATAGATATGATTTATATAATTAGAATCATAGTGTTTAAAGCCAGAAAGAATTTTCAACATTGTTTGGTGCAACGTGTCCAGTTTTAAGTGAGGGAACTGAAGCCCAAAAGACTTAATACCTGGGATATCATAATGATTAAACATGGGCATTAGAGTTTGACTACCTGTATTCAAATCCCTACTTTAACAAATTTTAGTTTATCTGACCTTGAATTATCTGTGGGTAAGTTTTCTTATCTATAAAATAGAGAAAAATGATAGAATCTACTTCAGTGGGTTGTCATGAGAATGAAATATCGTCATATGTAAAACACTCTTGCCCAGTTCAGACTGCCATAACAAACTACCATAAACTGGGTGGCTTAAACAACAAACATTCATTTCTCACAGTTCTGGAGGCTGGAAGTATGACATCAGAGTGCCAGCACAGTCAGGGGTTGGCTGAGGGCCTTTCTTCCTCCTCTGGAGTGCTGACTTCTCATGGTATCCTTACATAGTGAAAAGACACTGAGCCTCGGAGCTCTCTGGGGTTCCTTTTATGAGGGCAGTCATCCCATTAATGAGGACTCCACTCTCATGACTTAATTACTTCCCAAAGGCCCCACCTCCCAATACCATCACACTGGAGGGTAGGATTTCAACATATGAATTTGAGGGGAGCCATGAACATTCAGTCAATTATAGACATGTTATAGGTGCCTGGCATATAGACAGTACTCATTAAATATAGGCAAAAAAAAATTATGACTTCCTGTGGCTATCCAGCTAGTAAATACCAGAACTAGAACTGGTACCCCAAGTTTTTGTGGCCCTAATTGTATGTTCCCTGCATTATTTGAAGCTATGTCTTATGATGCTTGTTTAACACCATCTGTGAAGATATGGTGCTCCTCTAGTCTGCTGTTTAAAGAAGTGCTCAGTTATCTTTCTAGCTCCAATTTCTCTACATTTCCTGCTTCCTGCTTCCTGCTTCTGCTAGCCCTGGATCCCCCCACCAGTCCTCAGCAATCTTAGCATACTGTGAAGTTCCAGGGGAGAAAGGGAGCAGGAAAAATTATCAGCAAACCTGTATTTTATAGTCAACTGTTTAGGTTACAAGTTCTGATATAGTAAAATTTTACTAATTTAAATTTCAAAGGGCCAAAAATATTGAGTTAAAGATATTCAAATTATCTGTTATTCTTCAGCCTACAGGGTGTCAACTCTACCAGCTTAAATTTTAGTAGTTCCTTAGGGGGATTCACTGGGACCAAGAAAAAGCATTGTTTGGGGTATCTAATTCTTCAACAAAGTTGTGATGGAAGAGAACAAATTTCTTTGTCCCTCTTCCTTTTTACCTAGTCGCTGGTCCCACTTTTCAAAACTCCTCCAGCCCCATGACCTTTATGTAGTCCACTCTCTCTTGACCATAAGCATCTTGAGGCAATGAACCACAACTTACTTGCCTTTTAATGTCTAGAACCTAGCTCAATATCTGGAGTATAATAGGCAGCCACATGTTGTTGAACTGACTGACTTGAGTAATGCTGCACCAAATACCAAAGGAATCCCTTCCTCCTCCCCCTTCAAATCTTTGTCTCCTCAGTTCGCCGTAGCTAGTTGTCATCCTGTTACCCTAATGCACCGGAAAGCATGGTAACAGCTGAATGTGAAATAAATGTGCATTTTATATTATGAAGTACATTTAAAGAGGTTTATTTTAATGGTGTAAAGCCAGGCAGTATTTTAAGAAGATCAGGAAGACATTTTTGGGGCAGCTGGACTTTCCCAACACCTTCATATCACACCACACAAACTGAAGCTTATCTCTCCTATAAATAAAGTCTACTTGACTTTCATTGTTACACATTTTACTTTAGATTTCTTAGGTTAATTGTCAACAGCCTGTATTCTACATATGGGTGTATTAATTAATCCTGCCTAAGTCATTTCTTAAAAGGCACCATTTGTCTTAATCTTAAAAAGTAAGTAATTGTCCCACTTCTCTCTTTTACTTCAAGGCCAGACTAATGATCCAATACCTTGATCACTCACTGCCTCTTGAATTCCTGAAATCTACCTTCTACTTCCTCTAATTCATTTACATGCTTCCTCTAGGAAGTTGGAAGGAATCCAAAGGATTAATTCTAGATCAACTTATCATTTTTGAAAGAGGAAATTGAGGAACAAAAATGTTAGTGGCGGAATCTCCAGTTCCCACAGCACTCATCCCATGCTCCATCCTCTTATCATGTGTCCTTAAAACACAGCTAAAAGTGAATTTCCCACTGTCAACTCCCCTCCTGGCTTCCCTGTTTATGCCAATCACCACCATCCATTGGGCTCTTTAGGATTAAAATGGGCGATCTTTGATGACTCCTTCTCTTTAGGCCTCTACTTCCACTTTGGGATGTCTCTCTTGCTTGTCTTTTTTGTCTGAATTTTCCCATGAATCAGGGCATTTTCTCTTTACAACTGTTATTACAATAGGTTGCTAATGGTTTCACTGTCTCCAAATTCTTCCTCTTACAGAGTGAACCCAGCAGAAGAACCAACTTCAGTCAAAAATTTTATAGGCATAGTAAAATGGTGCCATTTTGCCATATAAAATCAAATTCAACATGCATTCAGACTATCAATAAAATATGAGTTTATATTGTCAAGCCTTTCTGGTTCTGAAATATATAGTAATAACTAGCTATGTGATCTTGGGCACATTTAATTCTATGAATTGCAATGTCCTCAGTCTGTTAACTGTTGATATTGTTAGTATATGTGCCTAACTCAAAGGGTTGTTTGAAAATTAAATGGGATAACAAATGTAAAGTACTTAATAGTAATAGTTGCAATAACTATTTGTTGTGGTCCTACTATTGATCAAACATTAGTCTAAGCTATTTAAATGAATTATGTCACATCAACCCTATAACATGGATACCATTATTATTTCTAGATGAGAAAACTGAGGCCCAGAGAAGTTTAAAAACTTGCTTAAGGTCAACTAGCTAAGAAGTGGCTAAACCAGGATTCAAAACTGGGCAGTCTTACTTGGACAAACCTGTACACCATTCTGTTACATGGAAATAACTTAGTATATAGTAGTTAATTTGTTATTTATTATCATTATTACCACTTTAAAGAGAGGAGAAAACCATTTTTCTGCTTTCCTTCAAGATTTGTTTCTGAAGTTGAGCCTTAGCATCACTTTCGGAAGAGATGGATAATTCTTGATAATTAAATGTGGTGGGTACCACTTGTTTGTACTTCCCAAAGAGAGGTAGGAAGGATGGTTAGGGGTTCTTGCACTGCCTGGACCTTGTAATCACCCTGGTCCTCCCCATATCCACTTTGCCTTTCATAATATCCTTAATATTATAAAATGGGAATGACACAGGCAATCTCTGACTCGGGCATAGTTCATAGTGACAGGCCAAAGATTTATTCTCTGATTGCCCCTTACAGTTCCTTTAGGGCTTTCTCGTGGATAGAACCAGAAAATTCTCTGTGTGTAGCTCTGCTTGTTCTACCTCAGACATTTCTGCCTCAGAAGACAATTTAAGAAAGGGAATCTCCCCAGTGGCTTCCCAGCAAATAATTCTTTTGGTTTCTACTACAGTTATTTTATTTCTTGCCCCTAGGGTATCTTTTGCACCACAATCATCAAATGGTCTTATCTAACCATCTTCTGCCTGCTGACGATGCTAAAAATAGAATAAAATGCCTTATTACTGGTTTTGAAGTTCCTTTCTAGGTACCCATGAATTATTATATTTCTGCCTTGTATGTGGCACACCATACCCTCCCTGTTCCTTTCCTTTCCTCAACAGTGTGTTTTCCCCCTGAGCATCTGGCTGTTTATATTTGAACATCTAGTCTTTTGGATTCGTAGCAAAAATTGACCTTGCCCTTCTAATAATGAGATTTTCATAGATCCTAGAATCATAAAATGCTAAGTCTTGAAGGAATTTTATAGGTAACAGAGGCCAACAGATTCCTTTTCTAGTGAGGAACCAAGACCCAAAGAAGCCAAGGGTCAGATGCAAGCTACAAAGCCTATGATGGGAGGAAGCCGGAACCATACCAAAGACATCTGCTCCATTTGTTTCTTATGAGTTGGAGTAGGATACCTGGAAATAATGAGGAATTCACAGTATATTTTCCCCAAATGTTTTAAGTTTTTGTATCAGTGGTTTTCTTAATACATTTTCAGGAGACCTGCAGGAATAGAATTCCAGGATTTAAAAAATTGAGGCATAGAAAGACAAGAATTATAGAGCTGGGATTGTGTCCCTTAAGGATCATCTTTCTTTCCCAGTGGTACTTTGTACAGTGCTTTGCGCACAGCCAACCCTCAACAATGTTGATGACAATGATGGTTAAGGATGACTATGTCTCATATTTCTCTGTTCTCAGTCCTTTTCTACCATTTTGTTCCCCATAGCCCCAGCTATTTCTGTGTTTCAAGCCTTCTAGAAACCTGCCTCATCTTGTTTGGAGTTTAATGAGGGCATTGGGTATGTATTCTGTAGCTGCCTTCCATAGTTATGATGATAGTAATAACTTCAAATGATTAGGGATCTACCCTCAATCACACATATACATTTTGAAACCTTTCTAAACTTGAGGAAGTATGTTCCTAATATGTTACCAGTTATTGCAAAAAAGAAACATTCTCTGGTTAGAATGTTTCTAACCAGAGAATGGAAATACCAGATGAAACAAAATTAAACAATTTAATGTTGATTTGTGTTTATAGAAATTTTCAGGATCTTTAGAACACTAATGTGAACCCTGAATTTCTAAGGGGACAGGGTGATAAAATATGTAGAATTCCCCAAACATATTTGACCATAAAATCATTTACTCATTGAACATCTTTCTAATGGGACTGTTTCAAATGATCAGATACCTTTCCCTAGGGCTTGTTTCCTTCTGAGTAATGTCTAAGACCGTGCCTCTTCTCATTATTTATCATTTCAGGACAGATGCTGTTATTTCTCAGCCTGAATTTCTGTTATTTCTCATCCTGATTTTCTCTAACCATAAGCTGTTTAATTCTGACCTCATATGTGAGCTGCTCAGTTCCCATAATCATCTCAGCTGTCCTGTTCTAATCTACAGTTTTCAAGGTGCAGAATCAAAAAAGTTAACGATAATTACAGTGATGACAACTAATATTTATTGAGTTTATGCTGTGGACCAGACGTTGAGCTAACATGTGTTATAACATCCTACTTAATTGTCACCACAGCCCTATGAGGTAGTTATTAATATTTTCATTTTACACATGAGGAACCTGAAGAGAGCTTATGTAACTTCCCCCAAGAAAGTGGCATGTGGAGGAATTAGAGCTGGGTTTTTAACCTGTGTTCGACTTTTACCTGATACCTGGCATTGCCCTTTCAGTGCTAATTCTCTCTCTCTCTCTCTCTCTCTCTCTCTATATATATATATATATATATATACACACACACATATATATATGTGTGTATATATATGTGTATATGTATATATGTGTGTGTGTGTATATATATATATATATTAATAAAAATGTGCTGCCTCTCCGAGCAGAATCATTTTAAAAGCAAAGGGCCCGTGGTCCAGCCTTCAGTTCACTCTTTTGTGCTTGGCACAGTACTTGGCATTCTGTAGCAAATACTCCTAGGAAAAGAGAGATTAAGGAACTTGCCAAAACCATTCAGGTAGTAAATGATAGACCCACGTTTTGAACACATACTCCGCTCATCACACCCTCTCATGGAGTTCTCATCAGCACCACGCTCAGTGTACCAGGTGAGTCCCCCTTGTTTTTTTAGGCCACCCCCACTCGGCTTCTGAGCATCCCAAACAGGGAGTTTTGTCCACTCCTAACCCCACGTTCATTCTGCCCTCTCCCTAACAGAAAGCATCCTAAACCTTGTGAACTAAATTTACTGGTAAATGGCTAGTGGGCTAATGGCACTTTGGTGGTTCTCCTTTGCTAATTTTATTGTCGTTAGGAAGATGTCCTCAACCCCAGCACTTTCCATTTGGGAGCTTTTCCAGAGGTCAAAATCTCTCAATTTACAACCAAAACGCCAGGGCGGCAGCGAGAGTGCGCGGCCCGGTCGTGGTACGCCCCTGGCAACCCCGCGGCACCGTTACCTCCACGCACGAGCCATTGGCGCGCCCCGTTGTAGCCACTGGAGACGCCACACGGCCTTTTAGGAAGGCGGGCCATCAACTGGTGTTCAGGAGAGAAACGTGGCCACCTCCCCGCGGGCGGGTGCTGATCTGCAGTGGAGACTGCGCCCCCACGCAGAGAGCAACCGAAATCCCCTCGGGCCGCTGGGTCTTGCTTGCATGGCTGGACGCCGCCTGTCCAAGGCTTTAGCGACCGTGTCTCCCTTCATGACCTTGGCCTCTGTGACAGGCGACCGTGTCTCCCTTCATGACCTTGGCCTCTGTGACAGGCAGGCCCGGCAGCTGCCCCAACATCCTGGCCAGCTGGAGCCTGTTTTCCTCACATAGGTTTTCTCTAAACTTCATCACGTCAGGTTCGAAGCGCACTGCTGAGAAGCCCCACGAGAAGGCCCGGACATCTCCGTACCCTGGCTCCAAGGTGGAGCGAAGCCTGGTTCCCCATGAGAAAATGAGCTGGCTGGTCGAGTGGCGAGAGTAACGCCCGTGGAGTACATTGCCAGCTCTGTCTTGCCTGGGCCCGTGTGGGCAGACCCTCAAGTGGGTGAAAGGAACTTCTCTCCTAAGTTTAACGAAAAGGATGGGCATGTGGAGAGAAGGAACCAGCATGGCTTATATGAGATTGAGAAGGGTAGACTTAGAAATCCTGCACCTCGGACAGGACTGGTTGGCCAAGGGCCTTTGGGGTGTTGGGGCCCCAATCATGCTGTAGATTCCATCTTAACCAGATGGAAAAGGGATAGCAAGGGAAACGAAATTATCCACCCTATTTCTGGAAAAAATATCCTGCAATTTGTAGCCATCAAAAGGAAGGACTGTGGAGAATAGGCAATCCCAGGGGGTATGGTGGATCCAGGAGAGAAAATTAGTGCTACATTGAAGAGAGAATTTGGCGAGGAAGCCATGAACTCTTTACAGAAATCTAGGAAAGAAATGCAGGAGTTGGAGAGACAATTGCACAAACTCCTCAGTCAGGAACATTTTGAGGTCTATAAAGGCTACGTGGATGATTCTAGAAACACAGATAACTGCTGGATAGAGACAGAGGCTGTGAACTACCGTGATGAAATAATGGACCATCTTCCTCTGGAAGCTGGCGATGATGCCAAGAAAGTGAAATGGGTGGACATTAATGATAAACTTGAGCTTTATGCCAGCCTCTCCCAATTTATTCAACTTGTGGCTGAGAAACGAGGTGCCCACTGATGTGAGGATATGTATCCTGATTGCCAGGGATAGTAGCTTGGAGTCTCATGTGAGCCAAAGGCCTTCAAATGATCAAGAGTGGATAAGAGGCAAACAGCACATAACTCCCACTAAACAGGACAGGGAGGGTCACCTCTTTGGTGATTACTTCCAAAACTGTGCTGTGTGAAGGCTTTGTATTAAGGAATAATAATAGACAAATACGGGGAAATGGGATCACAGAATTTTTGGCTTTCCTGTTAGAAGAAGAATATACTCATATGCTGTATATATTGTATACATGGTTTAAACTAACTTACACAGCTACTGCTCTTTGGAGAATTGTAAGAAAAACAATGACATCTTCCTTAACAACCATAGCCTCTACTTTTCAGCCAGTTTGCATTTGTCAATTCTTCTTTCTCCTGATGTTTTAATGTGGCATAATCTAATGTATAATCTGACTTTTGAGTTAACATTTATTTTTTAAATTTAGCTTTATGTGGTCTTGTATTCCTTCCTTTTGAGTATGGGAGCTCTCTGGCTTTTCCTTTTTGTTTTTTTAGAGCTTCAGTTTTATGGGAAAAGTTCAATCTCTATTTTGGTCCACAAGGATCAAGTGCTTATGAACCAGACCAAAAAAAAAAAAAAAATGCAGTGACAAAATGAGCTTAGATCCAGCCCTCTGGTTATCAGAACTCTTTCTGTCTGAACAGAATAAACTAAGCTGAAGATACTGATTTCTTCTCATCTCAGGAGAAGACCCTACAAATGCAGATTCTTGTCATGCAGGTGCCTTTATCGGGACATGTATGTAATCCAAGCCTAATGAAAATACAATAATTCACACCTACCTTTTCTCAATTAAAAGAAAAACACAATATGCAAACAGAGAAGATGCTTATAGTCAGGTTGCAAACACAGAGACAGCCTCTCTGACAAGAATGTGGGGATTCCAATAGCAACAAATATGTCAGAAACCTGTTTTCTTCTTCCGTTTCTCATCACCTAAAGCCAGTTAAATTTATTTGCAACATATGGAAAATTAACTCAAACCACTATAACAAGCCTTTTATGACTGAGGGAAAAATAAAGACAATTGCAGGAGTTGATAGCTTCATAAGAGGATTGCTTCAATAATAATAGCTGACACATTCCACTTACTATGTGCAAGCACCCTTTCACATGCTTTATGTATGGTGACTTATTGATTCCTAAGGATCACCCTATAAGGAAGGTACTCTTATGTTGCAGGTCAGGCTCCCTGGGAAGCAGACTCCAAAAGGGAGATTAGATTACAAGATGTTTACTAGGGAGTGGTCTTGGGATCAACACCTGGGGAAAGAAGGAGAAGAAAGCAGGATTGAGCAAAGTGAGCAGTTGAGCTGGAATGCAGGCCCAATGGAAGCCTCAGCCAACTCCATCTGGAACTCTGGAGCTGGGAAGTCCCTTCTAGCTTCCCTGAATTGGAGTGATGGGGCCAAGCCTTTATACCCCATGTTGATCAATCATTAGATATGGCTGTCCCTGGAAGGAGGTGTGACCTTGAGGGAGAGAATTTCTTCAGCCAAGACAATCCACTAAAAAGACTGACAGTTAAGGGCCATCTTCTGGTAATATTCCCAGCCACTGTGAAGTAGAATCTGGGAGGAGGGGGTGTGGGGTGCATTGCAGGGTCTACTACATATTATTATCTCGGTTTACGGATGATATAACTGAGGCACAGAGAGAGGTTACAGAACTTGAACAAAGTTATACAACCAGTAAGTGGTGGAGATAAGAGTAGAGCATAGATCACTGGGCTCCACAGTCCACACCCTTGACCGCAATACCATAATCTCTCAATAATTACCCTCCTATAGTTTCCAGATTCCCTGTGCACTGTTCCTTTAAAGAAAAAGAAAGAGAAGTTGTCATACCATTATATCTCTTCCTACATGCACATTTGAGCAGAGTTCTCTTTTCTAAACTTGAAGGACAGTTGGATGATTTTGTTTTTCTTTTGAAAAATGTTGTGTTTATGTGGGTGATGACAGTTGTAAAAAGTTCACTTATGGATGCTCATCATTGTTCACGCCCAGGAATAAATTTAATACATCACTTGTGCATTCTAAAACTGCTTCTATTTAGGATGGAGCCTTTCGTCCTATATATTAGTCTTCTCTCATTCACTTTTCCAGGTGAGATATACCCCCATCTTTATTTAAATAATTTAAGCACCCAGTTTGCCTAACATTTTTGAATGTTCCCAAAACCAACTTCATTTTTTTCCTAAAATGTAAAGCTCCTAAAAAATACATTTACATATATTTATTACTCAATCATTGCAAAAACATAAAATAATGGTCTTTAAAAAGTCTCAAATTTAATATATTCAGAACAGAATTCTTGATTTTCCCCCCAGAAAACTGTTCCTCCATCACTCTTCCCTGGTAATTGGCACCAAAATCCACCCAAATTGGACAAGAAAACAAGGAATTATCCTAGATTCCTTTATTTCCCTGTACCAGCACATTCAGTCCATCTGTAAAATTTACTCAGCTCTACCTACCACAAAATACATCCAGGGCCAGTCGCTGTTCTGCCACTTCACTGACCACCCTAGTCAAGCCACCAACTCTCCTTCTTTAGACTCCTGCAATGGCCTCCCAACAGGCCTCACTTCTGCTGCCCTCCTCCTCTTGCAGGTCATTTCCCACAAAAAATGAAATGACATTTTAAAAAATCCCAGTCACATCATGTCCCACCCTCTTAAAACCACCCGATCACTTCCTTTTGTACATAAAATGCAAACTCCTGATGCTAGCTACCTGTTCTGGAAGATGCATACTCCTCCAGTCTGATTTGGAAAGCTAGTAACATTCCACTTTTGACTAGGCTGGCCTTCCTCTTCTTAACACGCTTCATACTTGCTTCTGCCCCAGGGCCTTTGCTTTGCTTTTAACCTGCCCAAAATGTCCTTTCCATACAAAGTCAGTTCCTTAGGTCATTCAGGTCTCATTCAATTAACAGCCCCTCAAAGAGAGATGTCCTGACCACTTCAGCTAAAGTGACCCATACCGTCTGTTCCTACTCCCTCACCCTGATTTACTTTCTACACAGTATTTAACACTAGCTCAAATGATCTTACACATATTCTGTTTACCTTATGAAGAAGAGAGCCTTGCATAAGAGCAGGGATTTTTCTGTCTCATTGATTGCTGTAGCCCTAGTACCAAAATAATGTCTGGCATGTCAACAAATTATTTGTGGAAAATAGCTGCTGTAAACATTTTTATGTATACTCTTTCCCCCTTTTTAAAAAATTATAATTGTGGTCTAACTTTAAAAAAAAATTTAGATTTCCAAAAACATTGCAGAACAGTGCACGTGATTCTTGTATAACCCTGAGCCCAGCTTCCCCAAATGTTGACAACTTATTTATTCATAGTAGTGTTATTGAAACCAGAAAATGAACATTGATTTAATACTTTTTACTATTAATTAATCTACAGATCTTATTCAAAATTTTCCAATTATTCCACTAATGTCCCTTTTCTATTCCAAAATCCAACGATTCCACATTTCATTTAATTGTATCTCTTTTATTTTCTCCAATCTTGGAAAGTTCCTCAATCTTTTTTGCCTTTCAGGAACTTGACACTTTTGAGAGTACTGGTCAGTTTTTTAGTAGACTGTCCCACTACTGACATTTTCTCACGAATAAATTGAAGTTATATATTTTTCGCAGATGTGATTTGCTTGGGTAAAGTTGTATATTTAAAAAATTGGCCAGGTGTGGTGGCGCACGCCTGTAATCCCAGCACTTTGGGAGGCCAAGGTGGGTGGATCACAAGGTCAGGAGATTGAGACCATCCTGGCCAAGATGGTGAAACCCTGTCTCTACTAAAAATACAAAAATTTAGCCAGGTGTTGTGGTGCGTGCCTGTAGTCCCAGGTACTTGGGAGGCTGAGGCAGGAGAATAGCTTGAACCTGGGAGGTGGAGGTTGCAGTAAGCCGAGATCATGCCACTGACTCCAGCCTGGCGACAGAGTAAGACTCCATCTCAAAAAAAAAAATTAAGCTTTTTTTTTTTTTTTTTTTAGCGTAATCACTATGAGGCAGTAAATAGAATATGCTATATATTTTTAAATGTCACCGTGGAATTTCCAGTCACCTTGTATTAATTTTGACTCACATTTTTATATTTTTATGCATGCACACACAATATTTAACTTTCCAAGTCCCTTCTCTGTAAAGGACTTGAGGTCTAGGAAGTGCTAAATTTCATTACCTATCCTCTCTATTCTCTTCCTTCAAGTTCCTGAGATGACAGTGAATGCTGTGTTATCCTGCTGTATCAGTTACCTATTTTCATACAAATACTTCAATCCCAAAACACACTGGCTGGAAACAACAAACATGTAATTAGTCTGTAAGTTTAAAATTTGACAATTACGGTTTGACTGGGTGGTTTTTCTGGTCACTGCTGGGCTCATTCACATGCTTGGGAACTGGGTGGCTATTGGCTGATCTAGGATGACCTTAGATGGGATGATTGAAGAGAAACTTCTTTGTGTCGTGTCTCTCATTCTCTATCAAACTAATCCAGGGATGTTCTCATGGCAATGGCAGAGGAGCAAAGGCCAAATGGAAACATGCAAGAGTTCTTAAGTCCCAGGCCTGGAAGTGACAGCAAATCATTTCCCTGCACTCTACTGGACAAAGCTACAACATCAACCTAGATTCAGTGAATAGGGAAATTACTCCATGATATAGTTTGGATATCTGTGTCTCCATCACATCTCATGTTGACATGTAATCCCTAGTGATGAAGGTGGGGAGGTGTTTCGATCCTGGGGGTGTATCCCTCATGAATGGCTTAGCGCCATCCCCTTGGTGATAAGTGAGTTCTCATGAGATCTGATTGTTTAAAAGTGTGTGGCACCTCCCCCAACTCTCTCTCTCTCTCTCTCTCTCACTTGCTCGCTCTGGCCATGTGACGTGCCTGCTCCCGCTTCACCTTCTGCCATGAGTAAAATCTCCCTGAAGCCTCCCCAGAAGCCAAACAAATGTCAACAACATGCTTGTACAACGCAGAACCATGAGCCAATTAAACCTCTTTTCTTATAAATTACTCAGTCTCAGGTATTTCTTTATGCAATGCAAGAATAGCCTAACCCACCCCATGAGAGAAAGTAGAAAGTCACATGGCAAAGGGCATGGATACAGAGGGAGTGAAGAATTGGGGCCATTTGCACAGTCGATAACCCCACATCCATTGTGCCTTTTTTTCTAACAGCTTTGAGATATAATTCACATACTATACAATTCCCCCAATTAAATTGTTCAATTCAGGCTAGGTCTGGTGGCTTATGCCTGTAATCTCAGCACTTTGGGAAGTTGAGGTGAGAGGATCACTTGAGGAGTTCAAGACCAGCTTGGGCAACATAGCAAAACCCTGTCTCCACAAAAAAACAACAACAGCAAAAAACAACATTAGCCAAGCATGGTGGCACGCACCTGTAGTCCTAGCTACTAGGGAGGCTGAGTTGGGATGATCACTTGAGTCCAGGAGTTTGAGACTGTAGTGAACTATGATGTGTACTGTACTCCAACCTGGGTGACAGAGTGAGAACTTGTCTCTAGAAAAAAAAAATTAAAAATGCAGTGTTCAGTTCAGTAGTTTTTACTGTACTCACAGGTTGTGCCACAAAGACCACAGTCTCTTTTGTAGAATATTGTCAAACCCCAGAAAGAAACCCCACACCTATTATTAGTCACCCCCATTTTTCTCCCTCCATACCCTCCAGTCCTGGCAATCACCAATCTACTTTTTGTCTCCATGGATTTGCCTTTTCTGGACATTTAAAATAAATTGAATCATACAACGAATTATCTTTTGTGACTGGCTTCTTTTGCTTAGCATGTTTTCAAGGGTTTTTCCATGTTGTCACATATATCAGTACTTCATTGCTTTTTATTGCTAAATAATATTTATCTGTACTGCTATATCACATATTTATGCATTCATTAATTGGTGGACATTTGGATTGTTTCCACTTTTGGTTATTATTAATAATGCTGTTATGAATATTTACATACATGTTTTTGTGTAGACATATGTTTTCTTTTCTCTTGGGTATACACTTATATCTAGGAGTGGAATTGCTAGATCATATGGTAACTCTTATGTTTAACCTTGAGGAACTGCCAAATTGTTATTCCAAAGTGATTGCACCATTTTACATTTTCACAGTCATGTATTAGGGTTGTAATTTCTCCACATTCTAGTCAACACTTGTTATTGTCTGTCTTTTTTATTAGAGTTATGCTAGTGGGCAAGAAGTGGTGTCTCATTGTGGTTTTGTTTTACATTCCCTTATAGCTAACGATGTTGAGCATCTTTTCAAGTGCTTATTGACCATTTATATATCTTCTTTGGAGAAATGTCTATCCTGATTTTTTGTGCATATTTAATTTGTTAATTATCTTTTAACTATTGAGTTGTAAGAGTTTTTGTTAGTATATTCTGGATACAAGCCTGTTATTAAATATATGATTTGCAAATATTTTCTCCCATTCTGTAGGCTGTCTTTTTACTTGCCTAGTGGTGTGTCTGAGAAAGCACAACAGTTTTTAATTTTGGTGAAATACAATTTTTAAAAATATTTTTGGTCAATTGTGCTTTCAGTTTCATATCTAAGAAAGTGTTGCATAATCTACAATCACAAAGATTTACCCCCATATTTTCATCCAAGAGTTGTAAAGTTTTAACTCTTACATTTTAGGTCTTTGGTCCATTTTGAGTTGACTTTTGTATATGGTGTTAAGCAGGGGTCCAATTCATTTTTTTTTCATGTGGCTATCTGGTTGTCCCGGAACCATTTGTTGAAAGATTGTTCTTTCTCCCATTGAATTGTCTTGGCACTCTTGTCAAAAATCAGTTCTCTAAATGTGAGGTTTATTTCTGGACTCTCAATTCGATTCCATTGATCTGTTATGTTTATCCTTATGCCTATACCACACTGTATTAATTACTGTGGTAAGTTTTCAAATTGGGAAGAATCTGTCGTGCTTTTGCACTTGGTTGTTCCTTATTTTTTTTCTGATAATTTTCGGATTCATCCCATAAAACTCAACTCAGACGTCTCCTTCTCTAAGAAGCTTTCTCTAACTCCCATTGGTAGAGTTAATCTTTTATTCCTTTGTGTGTCCTTATATATTTCTCTATTGTTGAATTCCATTATAATTTATTTTTATTGAAGTCAAAGGCTGTGTCTTACTCATTTTTACATTCCCAGTGTCTAGTGCAGTGTCTGATCTACAGTAAGTGCTCAATAAATGTCTACCAAAAAGCATAGAAGAGATAGAGGTTTTGTCTGCTCAACACCACAGTTTTATCTGTTAACATTGCTGGGGCTTTTTAGCATAAGTCCAAGAGTATTTGTTCATGTTGGTGCAACTTTCTGCCACTTTTCTCATCTAGCAATGGTTGGGCAATTGTTCACTTTGATGAATCGTTCCAGTTATTCTCAGCATGCTGCTGAACATTCTCTTCTTTTTATCAGGGCCTTTATCTAATAGGATGACAAACTGATGAAAGTAAAATTATGGGAATTACAAAGTAACAGGGTGGTGTGGTTTGCTTCATCACTTGCTTAAAGTTTGGTACACACTGTCCCTGTGCACCTCCCTTTTCATTGCTGCACAATAGTAACAATAACATACATTTACTGCATGCCAGGTACCATGCAGGCATTATCATGAATGCTTCTTATCCCGATCAAAGGAAAGTTTTTAAGATTGCTTTTTGTTTAGCAAAGAAAAATCTATGTGTGCCACCTCAAACTCGCAGCTTTTTGAGTCCAGCAGCAATTTTTCTTCTTTCTTGGCATCTACTATGGCTGCATATATATGTAGTAAGAACCCAAGTGAAATAGAAAAGCCAAGAAACATTTTTTCCTTTATCATTAAATAATTTAGAGTGAATAAAGGAGTCAAATACAAATAAAAGCCATTTGATTCAGCTCTGATGAGTTTTATAATGCTAACATTTACATATGGCAGTATACTTTCTAGGTGAGAAAATTGTTGCCTTTTAGGAGTTCTTGAAAGGTTTTGATAGTATACACTTTAAGAAATGGAAGATTGTCAAGACTTTCTCCATGGTTATATGTCACTTGAATGCTAAAAACCACATTTCAGTGTGGTAAGTTTTGTTCCTGGATTTGTCACTAGCTATAGGAACTTGAGCAAGTTGCTTCACCTATCCAAGTTTCCTTAGAACTTATAATTCTATAAGTGTTATATTGACAGATATACACAACAATTTTATGCATTCATAATTGGAGACAGTATATAGACTTACACTTTTATAAATATTATACATTTATAAAAAGTAACCTTTTCAAAACAGGAATAAGGATTTATGTATGTCAGAAACCTGAATCGTATTATAGCTATAGTTTCTTTTAAGAAGGTATTTTAAGAAAATTGGTATATTAGTTATCTATTGCTGCTTAGCGCTATTATCAAAAATGTATGGCTTAAAACAATGCACATTGATTATCTCACAGGTCCTGTGGATCAGGAGTTCAGGGGTAGCTTAGCTGCTTCAGGGTAGCAAAAGGATGCAATCAAGGTGTTGCCTGGGGCTGCTGTCTGACCTGAGGCTTGACTGGGGAGGGATCTGCTTCCAAGCTCATGTGGTTGTTGACCACATTCAGTTCCTGGCAGGCTGTTGCACTAAGGGCCTCAGTTTCTTGCTGGCTACTAATCAAAGGCTGTCCTCAGTTGTGTGCCACTTGGCCCTCTTTGTAGGCCAGCTCACAACATAGCAGCTTGCTCCATTTGTCAGAAGCAAGTCACAAGTCCCATCCCTACTCAAGGGAGAGGAACCACAAGGCATGAGCACCAGTAAGTTAGGATCATGGGGGCCACCAGAGCATCTGTCTACTGCAATCTGAAAACTACAAAAGGTACAAGAGCAGTGGAGTAGGATAACATTCTAGAAGGCACACCATCTCCAACACACACACACACAGAGAAAGACAGAGAAAGAAAGAGAAAGAAACTTTTGCAACAGGGGGAGCATTAGGTTTTTCCCTTATTCTCTATTTCAGGAAATGCTGCCATCCATTGCTCAGTCCTCAAACCCAGGAGATACCTCTGACTCTGTTCTCTAGCCAGCCAACCCCCTAATCCAGTCCACCAATAAGATATTAAAAATGACGGTTCTCTTTATTTTCACCGTTCTTTACCACTCCCAGTCACCACTGTCTTTCCCTGAGATATTGTTCCACCACATCTCTCAACTGGCCTCATGGGTAACACTCTTGCCCTTTCCTTTTTAATCCACCCTTCATATAGCAGCCAGGGTGCTTTTCTTAAAACATAAACCAGAGGATGTTATTCTCCTGCTTAAAATCTTCCATTGGCTTCCCAATGAATATAAATCCAAGCATTTAAATCTGACCTATAGGACCCTATATAAACTGACACCTGCCTATTTCTCTAACCTCATCTGTTCTATTAAATTTTTCTTTACACCCAATTACATTTTTTGATTTGTTATAATTACATAAATTTATTTCATAGTCTAAAAATAATTTTAAATAAATAAAATTAGTATTATTAAGTAATCTAACAAATAATATGGTGTTACCAGTATCACTTGAACAGGGTAAAGTAAATTTTAATAAAGCCAAGCATTTGAGGCAAAGTTGTTGTTGTTGTTGTTGTTGTTGTTGTTGTTGTTGTTTGAGATGGAGTCTCGCTGTGTCACCCAGGTGGAGTGCAGTTGTGCCATCTCGGCTCACTGCAAACTCTGCCTTCTGGGTTCAAGCAATTCTCCCATCTCAGCCTCCCGAGTAGCTGGGATTACAGGCATGCACCAATGCACCACCATGCCTAGCTAATTTTTGTATTTTTAGTAGAGACAGGGTTTCACCACGTTGGCCAGGCTGGTCTTGAACTCCTGACCTCTGATGATCCACCCGCCTCAGCCTACCAAAGTGCTGAGATTACAGGTGTGAGCCACTGCACCCAGCTAAAAGTGTTTTGTTTGTTTGTTTTGTTTTGTTTGTTTTGAGACAGAGTCTCATTCTGTTGCCCAGGCTGGAGTGCAGTGGTATGATCTTGGCTCACTGCAACTTCTGCCTCCCAGGTTCAAGCGATTTTCCTGCCTCAGCCTCCCAAGTAACTGGGATTACAGGCGCACACCACCATGCCTGGCTAATTTTTGTATTTTTAGTAGAGACGGGGTTTTGCCATGTTGGCCAGGCTGCTCTTGAACTCCTGACCTCAGGTGCTCCAACTGCCTCTGCTCCCAAAGTGCTAGGATTACAGGCATGAGCCACCACGCCTGGCCAAAAGTTGTTTTTTTTTTAAATGTAAGAAACATTTAGCAGTTGTGGCTTTGTGATTCATGCATTGCATCATCTGTCACATAATTTGATGCAAAATGAGATAACCTAAGTTAGATAAAGTTTTGAAATAAGATAAAATCCCAACTGAAGCTACTAATATACATTGAAGCTGCAATAAGAGAACAGGTTTATCTACAAAGTAGTGAGTCTAATTCTTTTGAAGGGGACAGGCAAAGTTTGTATTATATATAACGTTATCTGAGGTTAATAAAAATTTGAAGTTAAAAACCATGTCTGACATAAAATCTAAAATTGATTACACATTTACACAAGTTAATTTTCTTATATGGCATATTTGTTAAAGCCAGAAACGTTCACTTTTCAATGATCTGGGTCCACATCATTTATTTATCATAGTCTACCCAAACCAACTTGGAGTATTCACTGGAATGAGATATAGCAGGAGAGAACATCCTCTGGAGGTAGACTGAAGTTGAATCTGAACTCTGTAGCTCAGTAGCTGAATGAACTTGCTCAATATGTTCAAACTTACTGCACCTCAGTTTCCTGGTAAGTAAACAGAGACATTAATACCTACCTCTCAGAGTTACTTTAAAGATTAAACAAGACAACTTGTTTAGTAGCACACTGTGGAGACTTAGTATGTGTTTTTTTTTCTTTTTCCATCACTGCTTGGCTAATCCATCCAAAGTACCCTAAATTTATCTGCTTTCTGTTTCCATTCCCATTATAACAGACAGAGAATCAACATAGGCAGAAGAAAAGAATTATAAAAGTATTATAAAGGTAGAGTCATCAAGACGTGTGTAACATAGAGGAAGAATGAGACAGAAGCCACATATGAAATAAAGATTTCAGCTGGAATTGATAAGTCCCATGGGGATGCTGTAAAGATACAGGAAAAACTAATGTGCTTTTTCTACTCATAAACCACTCACCACTTCTGACACCAAAATGGGTGTGGGAATGTTTCTCTATACACAAAGCAATCAGTGACAGGAAAAACCGAACTGTTTTTTCCTACTCTGTTACATAGTTATATATGTAATACTCAAGAAAGAACACTCGTGTGACCAGATGTGTGGGGATTTCCCCCTACACATGAAGCAATTCTGCAGCAGACATCAGCTGGGTGTCCTACAATTCGATTCAATTCTGACACTATGTACGACGTGGAGATAGAATGAGATCCCACCAGTTGAGGACTCAGTCCCACAAGACTGCCCCCTACTTTAGATGCCAATTTCAAGCCACAGTTGTGGCCTATGCATCTGACTGACCAGCTCTCTAAGTTGGAGTTCCCATGACCTCCTTGGGCTCAATTAATTTGCTAGAGTGGCTCACGAAAACTCAGGGAAACACTTTACTTATGTTTACCATTTATTATAAAAGATACTACAGAGGATATAGGTGAACAGCCAGATGGAAAAGATGCATAGGGCAAAGTATATGCGGATGCATTTGGAGTTTCCACGCGCTTTCCAGGTGAGCTGCCCTCACGAACCTCCATGTGTTCAGCCTGTTCTTTTGGGTTTTGATGGAAGCTTCATTACAGTCATGGTTGATTAAATCACTGGCCATTGATGATCAACTTAACTTTCATCCCCTCTCTTCTCCCTGGAGTTTGGCGGTTGGGGATGAAAGTCCCAGCACTGTAATACTGCCTTGATCTTTCTAATGACTAGTCTCCATCCTGAAGCTGTCTAGGGATACCAATCACCAGTCATATCATCGGCATACAAAAGACACTCTTACCACTCCAGAGATTCCAAGTGTTTTTAGAAGCTGTATGTCAGGAAACAGGGATGATAACCAAATATATGTTTCACAATATCACAGATGCTGAAGAAATTTGTGTTTATTTGTGAATAGGTAAGTCATGGAAAATGACAGGACAATTTTCTGGTAAGCGATATTGTCTTAGTCTGCTCCTGATGCTATAACAAAATACTTTAGACTGGGTACTTTGTAGACAACAGAATTTTATTTTGCAGGCTAGGCACAGTGGCACCCACTAGTAATCCTGGCACTTTGGGAGGCCAAGGTGGGAGTATTACTTCAGCCCAGGAGTTTGAGATCAACCTGGGCAACATAGTGAGACCCTGTCTTTAAAAATATTTATTTTCCACAATTCCGGAGGCTGGGAAGTCCAAGATAAGGCATTGATAGGTTCAATTAGTGGTGAAGGCTCATTCTATGCTTCCAAGATGGTGCTTTGTTGCTGTGTCCTCAGATAGCAGAAGCGACAGAAGGGCAAGGAAGCTCTCTGAGGCCTCTTTTGTTAGGGCATTAATCCCATTAATAAGGGTGGGATTAGTCTCTGATGGCCTAATCACCTCCCATAGCACCACCTCTTCATATCATCATCTTGGGGTTTAAGTTCCAATGTATAAATTTTGGTGGGACACATACGTTCAAACCATAGCAATATTATTTATTTATTGAATAGTCTATGTCACTGTTTCCCTTCTCTGCACTTTGAATGTAATGAATATTAATTTGAAATAGAAAATCTGTACTGTTCTTGAAGGTGTTTTAGAAAAAATAATTTTCAGGTATTAAATGTAATGGAAATTAATTACTTATCTTTCTCATCAGAGTAGTTGTTTGATCAGACAAATACTCTTTCACTGTTATTTTCAGAGTAGCAGAGCCTTTTGATTTTTTCAGGTTCTTTTGGGAGAAAAGATACTGCAGTTACTTGCAATTTAATGAAGACAATTCTTTTATGGCTTCTCACTTTGGAATGCTGTTAGATTGTGTTAGGATGGTGTAGGAAGAATCATATTTATAAGCTCTACATGATCTTGGTGGTTTTAATGGTGTCATAGATTCCAAAATATCACTATACAAGTTTTATTATAGGGAGGCACTGTTTCATACCCCACTCATTCACTTTAGTTTTATTTGGTTAATAACCCGTTAACCCAAAATTCATTCACTTTCTTGCTTTGTTAACCCCGAAAGCAACAACTTATTCCTTGGTTAACCACAGACACTCAGATTTTCCCTTCCATTTGGATTTTATTGACAGGTAGGGTGACCAACTGTCCCAGTTTGCTCAGGACTGTCCTGGTTTTAGCACTGAAATTTCCATGTCCTGGGAAGCCCTCCATCCAGGGAAATCCAGGACAGTGGTCACCCTATCAGCTTTGTTGGTCAAAAATATGTATTGAATATCCTCTACGTGCCAGGCGTTAGAGTCACAGTGGTGAACAACACAGATATCATTCCCGCCTTCATTGAACGTAGAAATATGCAGCTAGTCCATCTGGATCACACGGGAAGGGTGCTGAGGTAGACCGGGCTTTGTGATAATTAATATTCAAAAAACCTTTTTTTTTTTCTAATTAGTTACTGTTGTTATTCAAGAAGATCCCATTGATTTCTATATGCTGGTTTTGTATCCTGCCAACACATTTACATCTTTTAAACTTTTAATGATTTTAGATGCTCTGGGATTTTTCTATATTATGTAATCATATTGTCTGTGAATGACAAGTTTTCTTTCTGTCAAATTTTTTATATCTTTTTTTGATCTTATTGCTCTGACTAGGACTTCCAGAATACTATTGAATAGAAGCAGTGATAACAAATATCCTAATCTTATTACTCAAAGGGAAAGTTCTAAGTTTTACCATTAACTCTGATATTTGATGTGAGTTTTTGGGAAGATAATCATTATAACATCAAAGTTTCCTTCTGTTCCTATTTGCTAATAGTTGTATTAGAAATTGCTTTTGAATTTCATTGAATAATTTTTCTGTATCTATTAAGAGAATTAGAAACATTTTCCCATTTTGCTGTTAATAGAATGATTTATGTGACAAATCTGTATTCCTCCTCCTGCCTCAGCCTCCTGAGTAGTTGGGACCATATGCTACTGGCCCAATTTTTTTATTTTTTGTAAAAAGGGGGTTTAGCCATGTTGTCCAGGCTGGTCTCAAATCATGTGTTTGTAAGATAACCCAAGTTGTTCATGATGCCGTGTGTGTGTGTGTGTGTGTATGCGTGTGTGTATTTTTGGATTCAGTTTGCTAATGTTTATGTATGTTTGTGTTTTTGCATTTTTGTCAACATATAAAGTTAATCTAAAATTATTGTGTCTCATGCCATTTTTTCCAGAAAATTCTTGTGTACAGTTAGCTTTTGCTGCATAAAAAAACACTTCAAAACTTAGTGGCTTGAAACATAAACATATATTATTTCATATAATTTTCTGCCAGCTGTGGGTGGTTTACCTGGTCTGAGCTCAGTCAAGTGGCAGCTTGGCTGGGGTCCAGATGACCTCACGTAATGGCACTAATATGTCTGGTGCTTGGCTGGATGATTGATTTAGGAGGCCTTGGTTGAGAAGCTTATCTCTATTCCATTTGGTCTCTAACCCTCCAATAGGCTAGCCCAAAGTTTAGCTTTTTCACATGGTGGTCCAGGGTTCCCAAGATCAGCTAGAAAAATCAAGCCAAAATATGTAAACTTCTCAAGACTCTGCTTGTGTCACATTTGCTAGTGTCCCATTGGCCGAAGCAAGTTACATGTCCAAGCCCAAAGACACCTGAGAAGATAACACAAAGAATGGGAATTATGGTGGTCCTTTTTGCAAATAACTTACCACATCTTGACTCTTCCTTGATCCTGAGATAGTTCTAGGCCTTCTAAGGACAAGGACAAAAATTTCTTACAATACTTTCCATCCCTTCATAGCCTGGCTCCTAGACCAAACTAAGATCCCTTTAAGCAGCCTACATTCATGGAGAGTGGTAGAAAAGTCACATTAAAGACATACAAATCGCAGTTAATAAAACAACGACTGCGTGGAAGAAACTGCTTCCCTCCCTCTCCCATTCTCTTCCCTTCCCTTCCCTTCCCTTCCCTCTCCTCCCCTCCCCTCCCCTCCCCTCCCCTCCCCTCCCCTCCCCTCCCCTCCCCTTCCTTCCTTCCTTCCTTCCTTCCTTCCTTCCTTCCTTCCTTCCTTCCTTCCTTCCTTCTTCCCTTCCTTTATGCTTATTGGGTTCCTATTAAGTGCCAGGCATTGTGCTAGGAATTAGGGATAAAATGATGACGCGTAGTTCAGATTTTGGGCAAACAAAGGAACAGAGAACTACCAGGCTATGAAAAACTCTTGATGAAGGATGGGAGCCGACATATAGAAGGGGTTGACATATTGTATGTGAGGAGCAGCATGATTGGTAAGAATCTTAAAATCTTGTGATTTTGGAATTATCTATTTTAAATAGATATTTTAAATAAACATATGTATATACATAATTGGTCATACAAGATATTCATTGTAGGCCGGGCACGGTGGCTCACGCCTGTAATCCCAGCACTTTGGGAAGCCGAGGCAGGCGGATGACGAGGTCAGGAGATCCAGACCATCCTGGCTAACACGGTGAAACCCCGTCTCTACTAAAAATACAAAAAATTAGCCGGGCGCCGTGGCGGGCACCTGTAGTCCCAGCTACTTGGGAGGCTGAGGCAGGAGAATGGCGTGAACCCAGGAGGCGGAGCTTGCAGTGAGCCGAGATAGCGCCACTGCACTCCGGCCTGTGTGAAAGAGCGAGACTCCATCTCAAAAAAAAAAAAAAAAAGATATTCATTGTAGTATTGTTTGAAAAAAATGGAAACAATATAAATATATTTGAGTGGAAGAAGGATTATATAAGTTATGGTACTTCCATACTATGAAATTCCATAAATCGGGCACGGACTTGGTGGCTCACACCTGTGTTCCTAGCACTTTGAGAGGCCGAGGTGGGTGGATCACCTGAGGTCAGGATTTTGAGACCAGCCTGGCCAACATGGTGAAATCCTGTCTTCACTAAAACTAGAAAAATTAGCCGGGCAAGGTAGCAGTGAGCCGAGATCCTGCCACTGCACTCCAGCCTGGGCGACAGAGCCAGACTTCGTCTCAAAAAAAAAAAACAAAAAAACAAGAAGCAGAATGATATGAATTGACATGGTAAGAGAGTAACATATTGTTATTGGAAAAAGAGAAGTTTTAAAACAATATGCATATATCATTTTGTTAAAAAAATATGTGAATATATATGTGCATGTGTGTGTGCATGCGTGTGAAAATAGAAAAAAAAAAAAAGACACCAAATTTGAAATAGTAGCTATCTCTAAAACTCCGAGGAGTAAGATTAGTGGGAGGATGTGATGGGACCTTTTTTTTCGCTTTTACTTTATATATAATTTGAGTACAATTTGAATTTTGAAAAATAACATGTATTACTTTTTTGGTAATTTTAAAAATAAACTCTGTTTTAGATTTACAGAAATATTGAGAAGCTGGTACACAGAATTCTCATACACCCCATACCTAGTAGTCCCTATTAACATCTTTCATCCATATGGCAAATTTGCCGCAATTGATGAACCGGGATTGACACATTATTACTAACTAAAGTCCTGATAATTGAAAAATCTTACTAGAAAAGTACAGAGAGGATGGGGTGCGGACCTAATAGGAATGCCTGCCTCAGAAACGCTGGGATAGTCAGGCATCCCTCAAGACACCTATTAGCATGGGGACCTGGGATACATGGTGAAGGCCTCTGAAGCTGATGATCAGATCCTGGGACCCCTGCGTCACACAGCTCAACCGAGAGGACATAAAAAGGTTCACAACCTCGGATCAGTATGGCTCCAGGAAGGCAGATAATTTACCGTGAGAAAAAATATATTTCTGAGTGCTCAACACATGGATGTGGTTGGCGACTCTTAAGCTGGCTCTCCCACTCCATCCCCACACTCCAGAGCTCGTTTCAAGTTCTTCTACAAAGTAGGCTAAGCAAGAGAGGCAGGGCATCCTAAGAGCATAAAAATAACTGTAATCAACGGCTGTCCCAGACCTCAAAAACTGGATGAAAATATTGTCCCAGCTTCTGGAACTTCTTCAGTGATGGCAGCAAGGGCAGCAGAGCCCAGCACCACAGGCTCTGGCAGGCATGGCCACAGCGAGAGTGTGCAGTGGGATCCAGCCACGGGTAGAGGAGGCAGTGCAGACAACAACAATCAAAGTGCTCACAGGAAGAGGATACGCTGGGAAGTTTAGGGCGCCAATATAACCTTTTGAGATGGATAGATGCAAGTGTCTTTGCACTTTTTACCCACGCCTCATGGATGCCAAGACTGGTGTAGCTCAGGGAAACAAGGACTAGACGGAGAGTGATAGAGAACCTCAAGGCACAAGCAGTCACCTTCAGTAATGCAGCCACGGTAAGAGGAGCTCCTGCACCCTCCCCTGTGCTCCCCAAAGCACTGGGTATGTGCCAATTGGAGTTGCTCGTATCGCCTCTATTTCTCCCATTAGACTGAATGCCTGAAGGTTAAAGGCCGAGGCATGTTCAGTCTTTTATATTGTCTTCTATATTTGTGTTTCCTATAGCATTTATTCCAGTATGTGCTTGACACAGGTTTATTGAATTCAGCAATGAGCCTGCACTGATATGTTACAATAAGGAGGGAAGCTACAAAATTAGACCAAGTGATAAGAGCCAGGAACTTACCCCCAAAGAAGGATTTAAACAAATTGTAGCAATTCCTGAATCAGGACCACATACAGAAATAAAAAGTTTGGGATAATACTAATTCTTTCTTAGAAAAGCTAGCCTTTAAATCCGCAAGGAAAGAAATATATTGCATTTTATCCTGAGTGGTGATCAGGAATAGCTACAGAAAGTGGCTGTGGGTGAACTGTTACATAACAATGACAAAATGATTGAATTCAGAATCTGGCAAGGGAGGGGGGAGTTTTTTTTTTAAATCCCATTAAGATGCTTAAGTTTTAAAAGGAAATGAAGCTAAAGTGCTAGATTGAAATAAATACCTGTAGTTACATTTTTAAAATAATACAAAGAGAATCTGAAGACTTTAAAAATACTTTTGTGAGAAATGAATGTCACCAATTTTACAAATTAGATGTTGGAGGAAAAAAATCACATTTTGTTCACTAAAGGAAATCACTGGAGGTAAAATAAAAGGGTTTCATGGGAGAAGGGGAAGATTCTACAAACGAAAGAACAGAAAAGCATATAACTTCCGTCAGATCAAGTTCATATTAGCAATTAGGCAGAAATTAAAGAATCACATAGAACAAAGAATACCATTTTTAATATGAACCAGCTGTGAGTGACTAGGACCCTATGGAATAAGTCACTTGAGCTGTGAGATCAAGGACTACTAAATTAAGCATAAACTACTTGGGGGAAGTTTTTCCGTAAGGAGAAATCATGTTTGAAAAATCCCTTAGGAATCCTCAAGGGGTTACATCTACTTATATTGAAGGGAAACTGTGGATGTGGTAGATTTGGTCTATTATCAGCCTTTGTCTAGATTCACACACTATAGACATGTTGAGATTTTGTGAAACTGAGGACAATGTTTAGTCAAGGGCAGATAGTTGTCTTTGAGACAGGAAACATGTAAAGCTAAATAAATGGATGCCTTTTAGGGGTGATAAATACAGATGGCAATCCTACTCAATTTCTTTATGAATGACCTGGAAAGGCAAAACCTCCAAGTTTTCAAATAACAGTTACTCTGTGAAAATGAAACCTAGGATGTTCTTCAGTTGAGCCCTTGTAACCTGGTGTAAGCACACCACAGGAGCCTCAGGGTAAGCAAGGGTTAGATATGCACATGGGCCAAATAATCTGGTTTATTCTTTAAGGATGTTGGGCTTGTGCTTTAAAGATGTTACTCCCTCCCTGTTAGTCTGATCAAAGAAGGAAACCTACAAATTAAAGTCCCCTGGATAAGTAGTTCTCAAACTTTTTGGTCCCAGAACCAAAACATTAACATTTATTGAGGACTCCAAAGAGTTATTTATTAGTTTATTCAAGAATCACAATAAACCCATTACCTGTTAATGTAAATAAAACAATTTTAATTAACTATATTTTTCAAATGAAAAAATAGTGAGAAGAATGGTATTGTTTTTTGTTTTTATCTTGTGAGATAGGGTTTCACTCTGTCACCCAGCTTAGAATTTAGTGACGCAATTTTGCCTCACTGCAGCCTCGACCTCCTGGGTTCAAGCAATCCTGTCAGCTCAGCCTCCCAAGTAGCTGGGATAGCTGGGACTATAGGAGTGCACCACTCCCTGCTAATTTTTTATTCTTTATGGAGACAGAGTCTTGCCATGTTGCCCAGGCTGGTCTTGAATGCCTGAGCTCAAGCGATCTGCCCACCTCAGCCTCCCAAAGTGCTGGGATTACAGGCATGAGCCACTGCGCCAGGCCCTGTATTGTTTATTTTTGAAAGTCTCTTTAGTGTATGACATGAGTTGTATTTTTGTAGATTTCTTTAATGTATGTAAGAATTGGATGAATACATTTGCTTCTACATTCAAGCTGTTGCGATGCTGTTTTAAATGAAGTATATGAAGAAAATCTGGCCTCATAGAAATGTGTAGTTGGAAAAGGAGTTTATTTTCATAGCCTTTTGAGATAATTGTGGATATTCTTCTTTGATATACACCAAAACTCAACAAGTGGTAGTTTTTTAGTTGCAGTGTAGAATCTGTAATCATATCAATTAACTTTTCATGTTCTGTTATACTAAAATTTATTGGTTTATCTTTCATTTTGAATGTTTTTAAAAATATTTAAATGTGTACATAATTTTTGTAACATAGTGAATTATTCATTTGGAAATTATTGATTACTGAGTTCTATAGGTGTTGCAAATGTTAATATGTTTCATTCTAAAATATCAAAAAAATGCATTTGTTACTACCGTGGATCTCATCAGGAAAGTCTTTAGATATTCAGAAGCTGTTCAGTTGTCAGTGAAGAATACAAGTTTTCCAAAACTCTAATTTTTGCTTGAAAACTAGAATTTTGTCATTGCCAACAAATTCCTTCAGTTTTATTTTTTTCGAAGTGATAGGCTCACTTCCTTCATTCTGGAAAAAATGTGTGCCAGCTCCTATAGTCATATTTTGTTTTTCTTTCAAGTAAAACTTGTGTTCCATAAAGAAAAACAACCAGTGTAGCTCACAATTCAATTGCACGAGTGCGTTTTCTCAAGACAACATTCATATTTCTAATGATGCAGAAGTGATTTATGAGTCGTTCTCATTTTGTCACCCAGGATATTGAAAAGACATGTTCTCAAGGTCAAAACTTAATAAAATTAATTATTTGTACTGCTTAATCAAGGACATCTTAAATGAAATTAGATTTTTTTGAAAAAACTCTGAGTGTATGGTGGTAAATACAATGAGGACTAGTGCTAAGGCACCAGCAGTTTTATCCACCATTGCTTTTGCACCAACTGTATTAATCCAGCACAGCAACAAATACAAATGATTTCTTAGTATCATTATGAAAATACTTTGTACTTTAGTGATCATCTGAGAGGGTCTCAGGGACCTGAAGTGTTGTGTACCACACTTTAAACACTGTGTACATTGCTTCACTTAAGATAGCCAAGAAAATGTTCAGTCTCATCAGACTAGTATTAGAAACTAAATACAAGGAATTTCATAAGAAAAAAAATCTGCTCCTCTAAAAACGTCTCTTCTATAGTTGACATGTCTGTCTTTACACATAGGACAATGATTTGGAGAAAAGTAACTATAATTATTCAGGGTTGGAGGAACCACCTATAAGAGAAGAAAGACTAAAATAATTAAAATGTTACTTCAGAAAGAGAGGGGGTTTGTCTATAGTTTAAAAGGTCATGATTTCATTTGTTTGGTATTTTTCAAGCACTTGTAGAGTTCTATGTATTATATAAAGAGGCATATCCCTAGGGCCCTGCTCTTATAAGAGAACTTGAGTGTAGTTGGTAAGGCAGGATATGTAACTGTAATAAGGGAAATGAGAATCCAAGAACTAAATAGAGACATAAGACAACAATATCAGAATTTGCCACAAGCCAACATGTGATTCAAAGCTTAATGAATGGTACAGATGATCAGGGCTCTGCAGTCCCAGGTGAATCTCACCAGTCCTAGTCTCAAGATAGAGCTGCTGTCTTACTGCCAACAGCCTGCCCTTACCTTCAACCTCCCTTCCACCCAATTCTGCCACCAGTGAGATTTCAGACTAGCAAGGCAAAAGCTTTCTCCAGACTGGTGTGGCAGGGTAATTAGGGAGCTCTGAACATGTGTTTGTTCCTGCTAGGCCTTCCTTGATGGTCCCAGCCTCTAGTGTGTTTGCAGGGCTACACCTCAGAAGCTTCTTGAGGTCACACACTTTTCCTTACTTTTGTGAAAGCCTAAATGTTTAAATTGAGAGGATGATGCCAAGTGGCGTACATAGGGAAGCATGAAGCCAAAGCAGGTGAGAGGAAGCAATTCCTGAATATGGAACAGGGCTTTAGTTGGTGAGGCAGAGCTCCAGGCAGAGGGTGGGACCCCAGAGGGGCTGGCTGTGGGGGCACCGAGGGAGGCTGCCTTGTGTCTGTTACTGAACCAACATTCATGGAGCGACCACTATGAGTCAGGCGCTGTGTGAACAGAACCCTGGTGATGAGGGTCTAGTGGCTGCCCTGAGAACCTGCTTAAACTGTTTCTAAACTTGGTTATTTAACTTTCTCACTCCAGATGTCTTTATGTACTGACAAGCTAGAAAGCTCTTTTAATCCTCTGCATACTCTGCAGTGGCTATACTGCCTCTCCCACCTAGATGGCACTCCCCATATTGTTTTCTAAAAAATATTGTGGGTTCATGGAGAGTTGGTGAGCTTTTAGAGGTAGAGGAGAAAAACCTAAGAATACTCCAAGGTGACCCTGAAGGTCTGCTTGGGAAGGTTCAGAAGGAGATAGAGTATAATGTTCCTTCTGTTGAACATGAAGGAGAAAATAAACAAAACAAGATTACAGACAGGTACTTTCCTAAAAGCAATACTTTGAAAAGGTCTAAGTGAAGGCAGACCTTCAGGCTGTGTGACAGCAGGCATGTCAAAACCTGCTCAATAGTTCCCACCAAGATTTTGGTTGGACACTTGGTTATTTGTCAATGTGATGGAAAAATGCCTTATGCCAGGCTGCTGGGGGTTTGCCATGAAGAAGAAACAGGACTACCCTAATAAAGAGACAGAGAAAAACAACAAAAACAATGGAGACTGAAGAGTGGGAGAGAGAGGTGGTTTTCCAGTGTATGTACCAAACCCATACTTCATCCTTCCAGCTCTCTGCAGGTTGTTGGTCTCCTCATCACTCCAATTGTGGCACTGGAAGGCCTTTTCCATTCACTCACTCCATTCGTGGCTTGTTTGGCCCATTCATGGTGGCACAACTTGGAGAACTAAGGGCCTTTTCCAAGAAACAAGGATTCATAACTTTCTGGGCATGTTGCAGAATGAGTGAACTTACTGGGAGTCTATTTGAATAAGTGTCTCTAGCCTGATGGAGAGGAATTTTTCCCAAGAAAGGGAGTTGAGGTGTACAAACTTGGTTCCAAGACAAGAGATTGGGTTTGGAGAAGTGGGGTCATTCTCAATATAATTAGAGGTATAGCAGGGTGATTTAGGGAAAGAATTTAACAAGTCTAAAAAGATGAGCCATTAACTGGGAGAGAAGCTATTTTCAATACATATAACTAACAAAGGACAGATTCCTGATTATGTAAAGAATTGTTAAAAATAAAAACTCAGCAGAGTTGAGCAAAACATATGCACAGACATTTCACATAAGAATAAACAGAAAGGATTAATAAGCTTAAGAAAATATTAGCAACTCCATTAATGAGTAAAATGCCCATTAAAGCCATAATGAGATAATAATTAATGATCACCAAATTGGAAAAAATTAGCTCAATGATGTCACATGTTGGCCCAGATATGGAGCAATGAGACTTTTCATACAATACTAGAAAGAGGGTAAATTGGAAAATAGTTTGGTATTATCTAGTAAAGCTGAACATTGTGTACACTATGACCCAGGAATTATTTTAGGAGTAGGAATATACCCTAGATGAACTCTTGTGTATGCATACCTGAGAAGATGTTAAAAAATAGTCCATGGCAGCATTGCTCATAATATTTTTTAATAAATTGGAAAAACTTAAAATCCAATAGCCGTAAAATGTATAAATTAATGTATATTCACACAATGGAAAACTCCATAAAAATGAAAAAGCTACAGCTATACACATTAATATGAATGAAACTAAAAAGCAATACTGAGTGATGAAATCAAACCACTGAATGATTTATTTTATGTGAAGTTCAACAAACAGGCAAAACTAAGTAATACATAGTTAGGCATACCAACTCCTGTGGTAAAACCCTGGAGAACACAAGCGCTGGGCACGGTGGCTCGTTCCTGTAGTCCCAGCACTTTGGAAGGCCAAGGTGGGCGGATCCCTCGAGCTCAGGAGTTTGGAAGCAGCCTGAGCAACATGGTGAAACCCCGTCTCTACAAAAAATACAAAAATTATCCAGGTGTGGTGGTGCATACCTGTAGTCCCACCTACCTGGGAGGCTGAGGTGGGAGGATTGCTTGAGGCCAGGAGACTGAGGTTTTATGACCACAGCAGTGAGCTGTGGTCATAAAAACAAGAACACAAGGGAATAACAAGCATGAAATATAGGGTCGTGGTTACCACTAGAGAGGACTGGAGAGAGGGGCATTGATTGTGAAGCATCTAGGTAACTTTCAAGGTATTGGGAATGTTATATTTCTTAAGGTAGGTTAGTTTAATTTTAAAATTATTATTCTTTTTAAATTATACATTATGTATACTCTTACATAATACAGCTTATGATAAAATTATAACTTGGAAAATAATTTGATTAAGAAATTAACAGCATCTTTCTTTGTTGGCTAGAAGTTTATCATGAAAAATTAAGAGATATTTTATATCCCCCCTCCTCTCTAGTAGATTGTTTCCAAACATGGGACAATGCTTTCTATTTTGCATGTCATTTTGCAATATGACTTTGCCATGTCACCCATCAAAAGGTGGAGTCTAGGCCAGGCGTGGTGGCTCACGCCTGTAATCCCAGCACTTTGGGAGGCTGAGGCGGGTGGATCATGAGGTCAGGAGATCGAGACCATCCTGGCTAACACGGTGAAACCCTGTCTCTACTAAAAATACAAAAAATTAGCCAGGCATGGTGGCGGGCGCCTGTAGTCCCAGCTACTCGGGAGGCTGAGGCAGGAGAATGGCATGAACCCGGGAGGCGGAGGTTGCAGTGAGCCGAGATCACACCACTGCACTCCAGCTGGGCAACAGAGTGAGACTCTGTCTCAAAAAAAAAAAAAAAAAAGTGGAGTCTATTTTCTTGCCCCTGGAATATGGGTTGACCCTGTGACTTGGTTTTCTCAACAGGATGTGGTGAAAATAACATTGTGCAAATTCTGAGGCTAAGCCTTAAGAGAACACACAGCTTCTGTTCTCACCCTCTTAGAATCCTGAGCCCACCATGCCATGAATACAGCCAGAGGGAAGATCATGTGGGAAAAGAGGCCCAGTCATCCCAGCTCTCTCATCTGAGCCAGCCCCTAGCCAATGCACCTGCTGAATATAGCCACATGAGTCAGCCCAGGCAAGACCAGCAGAAGAATAATTCAGCCAACCTCCAAAATCATGAGATATAAGAAAATCATTGTTGTTTTCAGCTATTAAGTTTTGGGGAGGTTTATTAAACAACAATAGATAACGAGTACAGTCCCCCATAGTAGAACCTGCGATTGGTGAAGTTCCCCATAAAAGAACATGAAGCCAGCCCACCCAGAGGAGTGCCTTGTGCCAGACAGACATTGGAGAATCAGCACTGGACAGAGGCATCACACTGTAGAAAGACCAATGATAATAATAGCAGCTACCTGGAATTAGATCCAAGTACTGCCACCGTTTTCCAGGTGCTTTATGAGCTTAAGGGTTGTTATATGAGCCTGCTAAATGGGAGCTACCACCACTCACTTATAACAGACACCTCTAGCCTCAGGATATGTAGACTTAGAGTCAGATTTCATTCATTTAGAAAAAGTGAGCAAAAGTGCTATTTCTTTCAGTGAGTGTCATGAACAATTCACGTGTCATATACCAGCATACATGGCTGGGATTATCCCTGATTCCTCTCCTACTTCCTGCCACATCCCAACCCCTTTAGGATTTAGGCCAGAACCTTCATAGAGACGATGACAAGAAGAGGTATCACAACCTCTGAACTAAATGGAGAAACTAGGAACACAAGATGAAACTGCTTATGAGCTGGACACATTAGTTGGGGTTGAGGGAATTTTCTTCAATCCGGGAGTTGACTGTTGCCAAAGCTTGGATTTGGGGATTAAGAACAAAAGTGAACAATGTCTTATACAATGGAAAGGAAAAAGGAACAGTGGTGGAATATCTGGGGTATCACTGCAGTCTGGTCAGTGGGCCTATATTGGGACAGCACTCGGAAAGAGACAATATGGAACCTGTGAGAGCTCTCATTCTGATCCCAAGGATAGATGTCTAGGGGGAAATTAAGTCTGATGAGGCCTGAGGAATCGCAGGAGTCAGCTATGCTTGTGGTAAGGACATTATTGTGGGAGAGCCCTGGAGAGTCAGTAGGATTAATGTAAGCAGGTAGTGAGTACTAAGGGCCAAGATGTGTACAGCAATGTGAGTATCTATCTGTCCGTGACTCAGCAGGAAAGAGATGGCCCACTCAAGCTGGGTAATTAAAGAGAGTTTAATAAAAGGTTGATTTCAGTGGTGTGGACAGGGCTTAGGGAATGTGACAAGGGATGGTGCAGAATCCTGAAGCAATGAGAGAATAGGGAGCCTTTACCAGCCTAAAGGGGAAAGGGGAAAAACCAATTACAAGGGCTTAAGGAATGAGAAGTACAGAGAAAGCTGCCTGACAGGAGCTGTGAAGCTATGGCTTTCCAGAGACCCTGCTGATACACACCACACCTTGGCCAAATCCAACTGATGCCAGAGGGCTGAGGAGCCTGGTTAACGCAGACCTCTACAGATCAGTCTACAGGGCCACAGAGTGGAGTGGAGGGGAGAGTGGAACTGGGGAATCAAGTAGAAGATATCAGCACAGAGTACGTAGCAGGGCCAGACAGTATGGCTTTGCATCTTCCTCCAACAATGAGGCTCTACCTTCTAAAGATAAAAGCAGAGAAAAGGCAGGGTGGAGATGTGGGGATGGGTGGTGGCTTGGGGCCTGGTATGGTCAAGATTATTACGTATTTTTTTGTAAAAAAATACTAATACTTGTATCTTTTTTAAAAGTTTACTGTTTATTATTATAATAAATGCACACTAATTTGTAGATGCAACCAATCAACAAAATACAGAAAAATCGGAAGAAGGAAACAAAATACAATGGTAATCTTTAATCTCATCACCCAGGGATAATAACCATTTGCATTTTGGTGTTTCTCCTTCTAGTGTTTTTGTCCGTGTGTATGTATATGTGTGTGTGTGCAAAGGTGTATATGTAACTTTGTGTTATATATCTACAGGTTACTTAAAAAATAATTGAACACATTACAAAATTCATTGTACTGTACAACTTCTACTTGTAGATATACATCAAAAACTTTATGTTTGTACTGCCTTTTCTTTGTAGACTTAAGGAAACAAAGAACAAATCCTGGCTGTCACTGGTGGTGGCAATATGCTGGGATGAATAGACCACAGAGCTGATGAGTGACATGTGGCAGAAGGGGCACGTATGAAACATTTGTAAGAGGAGAGAAATAACTCTGAGAGTTTCTTTACAAATAGATTTTGATTACATGTTCACATACAACTTAGTTACTGAATAAGTCATTTTGGTAAATATCCATTTCTTTATGAATAACTGTATTTTCAAAGTTAAGATCTATCATATGTACAGTTTATAGCTTGCTCTTCACATCTGCCATTATACTGTGACTGTTTTCCTGTGCCATTAAGTATTATTGTGTGAAAAGTGTTATCACTCTATTCACAGTCCCCGAAAGGGACCACCCTGATTACCGTAAGACGCTTCTCCTCTCCTAACCCTTTCAGTCATAGCTGTTTGGACCAGAGATAGGCCAAGGGAGAAAAAACATGGGCCCAACTATGCCAATCAGTTGGTTTCAAGATTTTAGCCTGAGGCACACAGGCTGTGGTGAACATCTTGTTCATAAATTTTTGTGTTATATGTATGATTATTTCCTTAGGGCACATTCTTGGAAGGTCAATTACCTGGTCAAAAAAAAGGGTGAGGTTAAAAATCTTGATATATATTGCCAAGTAACTGTCCAGGAAAAATGTAGAATGCATATCTTTATGTGTCACAAAATGCCTTGCTGATATCCCTTTTTAAATTTGCATTAGGATAGGAATGTTAATTTATTTCAGAACTCATCCATTAACACGGTTCTGATAAAAAAAGCCATAATAAAAATCTCACAAAAGGGGCTTTATCAGGCTGTGTTTCCCTCTATTGATCAATTTATACTTTTCTAACTTTAATGGAGCCCGTTGCTTGAAAGGTTAGCTTCAAGCAGTTGCCATGGGATCTAGATTGGGGAGAGAATCTTGCAGCACTGGGAAGAAAACAACAGAGTGTGCAGATGCCCTAGTGAGGAGGCAGCCAGGTTCTGATGGATGTGTGTGGAGGGTGGGAGCCAGCGTGATTCTGCAGGCTCTGGCCATCAACTTTCCATCGGTTTGTTCTTTGCCCCTTACCAGGGTTGAAAATGCCAAAGGGGTAGTCTATTTTCCTTGCAAGATTCAGCACAGTAGGGACACTTAGCAAAGATTTTTTTTTTTCATTTTGTAGCTGAAGAGAGAAAATGAGATATTAGAGGGGAAAGGGTATTCTTCTGGGGACAAGGTCTATGGCCTGAGAAGCCTGCCTTGTGGCTATTGTGGAGTGGAGGCAAAGGTTTTCTGAATGCTGGCATGGGGTCAGCAAACTATGGCTCTCAGACTGTGAGCTAAGAATGTTTTTTGTATTTTTATATAGTTAAAAAAAAGAAGAATCTTTTGTGATATGTGAAACTTTTATTACATTCATATTTCATTGTCTATAAATGAAGTACTTGGGCAGTTGAGTAGTTGTGACAGAGACTGTGTGGCTCACAAAGCCTCAAATATTTACTATCTGGCACTTCAAAGAAAACATTTGTCTACCCCTGTGATAGACGAGTAGCTCCCACGCCTTGAGCACTTACTGCATGCCAGGTATTGTAGTAATCACTTTACATGCATTTCCTCATTTAGTTTTCCCAACTTTTCCTATGAAATAGTGGGTATGTAATTTATTTATGTTTTACATCTTGAAAATGAAAAGTTTGAGAAGTTAAATTTTTGATACCTGGTAAAATGGTGAAGCTGAGTTTCAAAGCCAGGTTTCTGACCAGAGAACCTGAAGGTTTAATTGCGTGATCTGATGAATAGTCAATAGACATCTTTCTACAATGTTCTTTAGGCCTTCCCGTCTTCTCAGATTCCTAAACTGTAGTGAATCTGTAGCTGGTGTAGAATAGGATAGAGCACAGAAAATGCCTGGTGTGGCTCCTGTCACTAAGCAGGGATTAATAGATGTTAGCTAAGATTATTATAAAAATATAATGATTTATAATAATGAAGTGTCCAAATAATTTACTTTGTCCTTGATATCCTTAGGTCAAATTATCATTGTTTGTTTCTCTCTCTCTCTTTCTACACACACACACACACACACACACACACACACACACACACACACATAGATACACATGCCTACGTCTTCGAAGGCAACAGTCTTGAGATAAAACTTTGTTCACCATTTCCCCTTCTTAAAGTGCAGCTTAGTACTGTTTTCTTTCTCTGCTCAGCATATCCATTCTTTTTGATTTCTATTGTGGCTCTAATCTCTTCCAGCTGTTGCTGCAAATCTTTCCCTTCCTTCTCCCTCCACCTCACTTCCCTAATCCATCTCCATTTCTGATCTCTCTGTAAAACTCAAAGGGCTTTCTGTCCCGGGAAAAAAGAAGGCTTTCAGCATAGGAGGTTTGCCATGCCCATGCTCCAGTAAGTGGGGCAATATAACGACACAATTACGTTTTTGACATTTAGATGCCTTTTATGAGCCATCTAGCTTTGTGAACTCTGTTTTCTGAAATCAGAGGTTTTCAAAGGTGGAAGAGATTTTATACATTCTTTAAGTCAATCTCATGACTATTATTAGAAACTCTTCTAGCACCTCCTTGACCCATGGGTACCCAGGTTCATTTGGATGCTTCCAGTGTCCAGGGGCTCACTTTTCTCCCAAGGTAATCTATTCCTTTGTGAGAAAGCCAACTATTAGAAAAAGCTCTTCCTTAAGAGTTTGCCACTCTGTTACATCTATCCAGCGGTCTCAGGAGTCAAATAAAAAACCCTACTCCTTCTTCCACGGGATAGTCATTCATACATTTGCAGGTTGTCACTATGTCTTTCTAAACTCTCCCTTCCGCCCTTCCACATAGACATTTGTGTCCAGTCCTCATGACAGTTCTGATAGCTATCATTGGAAGGAGTTCAGTTCATTGTCATGATCTCTTTTAAAGCACCTGGAGCAGTGCTGGACAGAAAATACTTTACATGGTCTGCCCAGCACCAAATTACATAGATTTGGACTATCGGCAGTGTGACCTTGCAGATTGGGATGAAAAGCAAGGCAAAACCTGGAGAGATACCGAGAATTTAGTTGTAAATACAAATTGCAAAAGTTGTGTGATCCTAAAGCAATCACCAGTATATGAAAAAAATTAGGATGTTCCACCAAGTACAAGGACTTTTAGAGTTAGATGAAAAAGCACTTAATTATCTTAAGAACCAAAGAAATGCAAAATCCAGTCAAATGATCAGTTTGGGTAGGAACTGCAGATATCTAGGCGGATAATAAAAACTAGGGATAGTATAGAACTTGGATTCAGGGAAACGGGTTTCTTGTCTTCCCTTCTCCCTCTTCTCTCATCCCATAAACACTCTCACATTATGTAGTATTACAATAAAAACTAATTGGGTACAAAGCATTTCATCGAGTTTTCCAAAAAAGAAAATACAAATGGCTCCCCACTAAAATCTCTGATCATTTTGTAATTTCATTCTGAGAAGGTAATTTTCCACATTATACACATATGAGGGGGTAATCCCAAAATTTGTACAGGATAATAAAATAATTAACTTAAAGGCTAAACACTTTCCTATCTTGGAAGATTTAGAAGTGTGTAGATATGTTTTAAGAAGAATCAAATGTAGTATATTAATATTTTTATATCATGAAATTGGTGTATAGTTAGCAATTTGCATATTTGAAATAATTAGAAAAATTTTTGAGGGTCATTCTTGTTAACCCAATTTAAAATGTGTAATTGAGAACTTGACTTAGACTTACAATTTTAACTGAAAATCTTACTAAATTTACATACAGTATTAGAACATTTAAGAAAATTTGAGACATCATATTTATAAATATATTATTTTAATATTAATTGCCTAGGAAGTTTTGTCTTCTAAATCAGTGGATAAAGATATTTGCCAAAAAATAAGAGCTATATTAAATTTATAAATACAGTTCAAATGTTTTAAGGCCTTTAAGTTTATAAGTAGGGCCAAGTATTATTTCAAAGTCCCTTTAAAAATGATTGTTAAGGCCGGGCGCAGTGGCTCACAGCTGTAATCCCAGCACTTTGGGAGGGCGAGGCAGGCAGATCACGAGGTCAGGAGTTTGAGACCAGTCTGGCCAGCATGGTGAAACCCCATCTCTACTAAAAATACAAAAAAAAAAAAAAGATTGTTACACGAGTTTACCTGTATAACAAACCTGCACATGTACCCCGAACCTAAAATAAAAGTTTAAAACAAGATTGTTTAAATTTACTAGAATTGAGTGATAGACTTTGTCACCTTAACTTAAAAGCTTAAGAAATAGATTTTTAAAATACATATCTTAAAGTATCATATATTAAAATTTAGAACCAAAATTAATCCCTCGAGTAGTCTTTTCAAAAGTCACTTCAAGGGTACTGAAAAACCTCACAGTGAACAATGATCTCCCTGATGGTCAGCAGCCTCCTAGGTTGGGTTGCTAATTTCAGCCCAGGCTGAAAAATTCTTATTCATACTGAGCTTGCAATCAATTGATCCCTAACTTACCCTTTCCTGAATTTTTGTCATATGAACTACTGTCATGTTAGGGTTACCCAGTTCTGAACTTGTGCAGTTCACATTTCGGACATGAGAACAGGACTTTGCATTTATCCTTATCAATTGTCATCTTGCTGGCTTGGGACCATTATTCCTTTCTTGCTAAAATTAAATGCGGGCTGACTGAACTAGTTTTGTTTCTCTCATCAACCTAGCTTTCTATACTAGCTCTTCTTCCCCAGATGCTATGGCTGTGGGTGAAATATGAAAGCTTCCCTGTGTTTAGCTCCTCCCACATTTATCCAAATCAAATTTTCCTTTACAGCATAGCTCAGTTTCCTAGGCCTCAGTTCCTACTGCTTTCCCCTTTTCTAACTTCCTGTAACTTCCTTTCTAATCCATCATTTTGTCCCTTAATTGTATGATAGCGTGCGCTGACTTAACTTTCCCTTTCAGGGCGGTAGCTCCTGGAGTGTAAGAGCTTTGACTTATTTGTTTTTCAACAGCTAGCACAGAGCCAGTGGTTGATCTATAGGCATTTGTTCAATGAAAGAATATCCATAGAAGCGTCATTACATACAGTCTCATTACCACCTGTGTGCAGACACCTTTTCAACCATACAGATATGACTGACTTCTCAGACTCTTGCCAGGGCATCTCTCTAGTTATGTTAGTCATATTAGTAGCAGCAGCAGCATCAATCATAGCAAATAATTCCTAAACACTTAACGTATGTGACAGACATTGTTCTAAGTGCTTTATCTGCATTAACTCATTGATTCCTCACAATATGCTTGTAAGACAGGTACTATTATTATTTCCACTTAGCCAAGGAATGGATGAGTAACATACCCAAGATCACACCCTGGTAATTGGTAGAATACTCTGGTATCTGCATGCAGATTGGTTCCAGAACTTGCACTTTACAGGGTGCCCAGATAGCGCCTTAAATGTGAATTATATGGAATATGAATTATATGGAATTTTATATTAAAAAGAACTTCAATTATCTTCTAGTCCAGTGATCTTCAAACTGGAGCATTTGTATCTCTAGAGGAGTAGAAGTATTTTTCAAAGGGTACTTGAGCACAGATATTTGAAGAGGATCCATTTCTAGATCCTGAACTTCCATATTATTATTATTAAACTTTATGTTTTATTAAATTAGGTCTGCGTAAGAAGTGGTTCCTGTTCACAGTAGTCATTTTCCCACTTTACAAAAGAAAGACATGTTCCTCACCCACCTAAGATCTTACTTTGGTGCCTTATTACAAGTTGTGAAGCTCTCTGGGCACTAAGCAAAAGGAAGGCCTTAATTAACAAAATAGCACCACGAATCCTAGGACATTTGATCTTTGGGGAGCATTTCTATGTAAGCATTTTCAGTAAATTGCCTAAACAGATGGAAATTGAGGGCTTATCTGTGATTCCAAACTAGCTAATGATAGAGCTGAGAGAAAAGCTACATCTCAAATCATGAAAAATGAATTTCAAAGTAGGGGTTTATAGGGAAAGGATAAGTTTGGACGGAAAGAATTGGAGAAGGGATTTCAGTTGGGAGGACAGTAGTATAAAAGAAAGTTTGGGAGAGAAATGAGTAAGCCCTATATCAGGGACCTATGGATTTTTCTAGTTTAGGTCTGGTTTTGAAAAGAATGAGAAAATGGGCTATTTCAATGACAGTGAAGGGATTTCAAAACTATCCTTAAAGAAACATAAAGCTGCTGTAAATTCCTAAACAAAAGAATCCTGAATGCATTTGTAGGAGAACTGGGTGGGATAGAGATCTTACAGAGAATGTATTCAAGAGGCTCTTGCAATAATTTAGGGGTCACATAAAAGTGTCTAGACTCAATAGAGGCTACACAACTGGAAAAGAAAGAGCTGGTCTGAAATACGTTGCAGATAAAATAATCAACAGGACTTTGGAGTAAGTACTGTAGAAAAATCAAAGATGGCACCTGAGTTGTGAGCCTGGTGACTGAAGATAACGGTGGCACATTATACTGACTTTAATAAGGAATGAGTGGGGAGGCAAGAAGAATCATTCACTCACTTTTAAAATCCATTCAACAAGTATTTATTGGGCAAATACTATGCACCAGTCACTACTAGATGGTGAGGTGAATATACAGCGGGGGAATAAAATATATGTTGTTACTATCCTCTTGGAGCTTGGTCCAGGAAGGAAGAAAGATGATAAGCAAGACAAATACCCAAATTCCAGGTAATTGCTATCAAGGAAACAAATTGTGTGTGGATGATAGGGAATAACAAGGGAGGGGTTTCTACTTAGAGCGAGTGGTCAGATAAAACCTATTTAGGTGATATTTAAGATGACATATCTAAAGCATAAACCTAATCTCTTTTTTGCTGTCCAAAGAGGAATAAAATAGGGAAGTAACATTTCTTAAGCACTGAAGACTACAAGGAGTTTGATACCATATGACCACGTTCTTATTTTACGGATGAGGAAAACTGAAGCTCAGTAACAACCTGATCAATGTTACACAGAATTCAACATCATGAGCCCAAACAATGTCAATACCTGTAAGTGATTGACATCACTTACAGGTATTAATCATCTCTAAGGAGATGATTAATAATCATTAATAATCTCTAAGGAGAATTAATCGTCAAAGAAAATAATCTTTAGCAAAGAAGTTAGACTTGATCCTGGAAGGACTATAGCAGACATTATAAAGAAAGAGGACATGTAGCTACTTCAGATGAATTCAGTTCTCTGGCTTGAGACAAGTCCTAGACACTGAAGGAGATTTGGACTGTAATAGACAACCACTGTCAGAACTCTCTGAAAACATGGGGAAAACATTAGTGATGAACAAATGTACTCCCTTTTAACATAGAGATGGGAGTGGTAGCTTATGAAAAGAACAGGTCAATAGAACTGATATTGATCTCCCTGCCAATTTCTGGACTAGTGTGCCAACAGACAGGTTAGGAGCCCAAGCTTAGTGCCAGACATACTGCAAAGGAGCAAATTGGGTTCCTCCACTTCCTAGCTGTGAGCTCTGACCCTGAGCACATCACTTAACCTCTCTGGGCTCAGGTTCTTCATCTGCAAACAGATGAAAATGACCATTTTATAGGGATGTGAAGGTGCAGTGAACTCATGTATATACAGCACTTAGTACAGTGCACAGTAGATGGAGAGCATTCAATAAACAGTAACAATTATAGTTACAATTTCTCAAATTGCTTATTAAGCACATGACTGGCAAGCACTTAGAAAAGGAAGCGGTAATAGCCAATCAGTCCTTCATTCTACAAATAATTCTTGAGTGCCTACCAGGGGTCTTTCCTAGGGGTCTTTCCTAGGGAGAAAAGAAAAGATGCAAAAAGGAATTATGATTTATTTTCTTCCTGAAAAGGAAAGATTTGGCTTCTTCATTAACTATCCTGTTTCCATCACTGGTTATACGGTACACAGTTCTTTCTGCCTGATCTGTCAGGGAGGTTGTAATTCTGCATTTTTGTGTGTGGCATTGCAATCTATCTGTTGCCATGGAGAGATAAAGTGAAAAGAAGGCAAACCCTGGCTTCAATACAAACAGTGTCAAAGAACAAATATAGAAAAAAAGTAATGAAAACAAATGGAAAAAGCGAAATGGCTTTCTGCTTGAATGTGTATATGACAGCATGAAATCTGTTCTGGCATGAGGGAAAACAGGAAATAGAACCAATACCTTATGTTTTAAATATTTGTTTAAATTCATATTTTTAAATGTGAAAGTCGCCATGAAGCTATCATAAGAAGAATGCAGAAAATATTAATTGCAAATCATTTTCGTACTTTATTTTCTTTGTGGTTAGAGCTAATTTTATAGCGATTTTTTACTCTGAGGAACCGACACCTAGGTTGTTTGAATTGCAAAGATGATATAAGGATATGTGGCTCCTTTTCATTTAGACTTGCAAAAAAAATTTAAGAAATTTTAGTTTTATCATTTAATTTCACATTCTCTTTCCCTAAACACATACTCTCCTGGTAGAAAGGCATACTTCTTGGGATGGCATTGGAGACAATGAGGCAATTGATATTTATTAAACACCTACTACACTGTATACATTTTCATATATATTATTTCACTTAATGTACACAACAACAAGGGGCCGAGGATACTCTATTTTTAATAAGGAGCTAAGGTTCAGAGGACCTGTGGGACTTGCCCAAGATCTCACTGCTAACAAGGCAGGTTAGGGATTTTTGACTCTAAGCTTGGAGCTCTGACCACTTTCTGATACTACCTCCTATCAAACTCGGTGGTTTAGAGGCCAGAACACAGGCTGGGAAGAGGAGACCTGGGTTCTCGTTCCCAGTGTTAAAGCTGTGGGATAGTGGGAGAAACTACTCTTCTGGCGTCATTTTCTTATTTGTAAAGGAAGAAACGGAGGGCTACAAAACCTGGGGTCAACCTCCAACTCCATCCCACAGGCCTACAATCTGTGGTCAGAGGTGGATTCACTGTGAAGCTAATAAAGTTTCACCTCCAGAAATCCTTACTTGCACAGCTTCTGTGAATGATAGCTGCTGCAAGGAGCTGTAGAATGTTCTAGATGGAGAGAAAAGCTACATCGCCATCAGGAAACATTCCTATGTACTCATTTCTGGAAAACCACCTAAAAACCATTCTCAGAGGAATGGTTCTGAATTTCTAAGATTCCAGGAATTTGAAAGTCTAAATAAATATTCACTTTTGTACCTGATTTGTTTTCACATTTTTTTAATGCTTTTTTTCTAATGAAGGCCTTACAAATTGTATAAGCATCAAGGTCTGTCTCCTTCTGTCTTGATTCTGTGGAGCAGGTGGAAAAGGGAGCAGAAAAAGAAGGGAAACTGAGGCAGGAGACTTCAGAAGCTTCCTTAAGCTGCCCAAGTGCCCTCAAAGCTGCCGGCCTGCTTTGTACCCCATAGTTCTTCCCTGGAGAGGAAAGTCACATTCCACAGCGATTTTGGGGCCTACGCACCCTCCTGGCCCTTCCTCAGACACGTGACTAGTTCGAACAGCTGCTGTCCTGACTTGTGAGCACCCTGAGATGCCACTCATGCCCATCAAGCATGAGCTCAGATCCTCCCCAAGTAAAAGCTTTTATTGGATAAGCATCAGGGTCTGTCTCTTTCTGTCTTGGTTCTGTGGAGCAGTAGGAAAGGGTGCACAAAAAGGAGGGAAAGTGAGGCAAGAGAGTTCAGAAGCTTCTGCCTCAGTTTGTTTTATTTAAACATTTTTTAAAACAATAATTTAAAAATGCCATACAAAGAAAAGGATAGAAGTACCCACTCATCAGCTCTGTGTGTGGAAACTTCTGAGGGACAGTGGCAGAGAAAGGCCTCCAGGCAGGACGCCCTGCGGAGGAAAGAATGCCTTTGACAGTCAGTGTTGCAGCAGTCTTGGGAATCTCTCAAGAACCAACTGATACTGAGATCTTCCACCATATTCTGCCACCCGCCTGGCCCATGTCTGCTAGCCCATCTTCCCTGCTGTCTTTGCCACTCCCACCGCTTATGGTTCTCACTTCACAGTGTGAAGAAATCACAAGCAAGGGTGGGCAGCAAGTTCTCAGTCTGTGTCTACATGGGAATCAAAGCAGCAGTCCGGATAATTCAGGGCAGAAAACTTTCTTTTGCATCAATCTTGTTCACTTATTTCAGGCATTTTTCTTTTTGAAATGTCCGGATGATTACTTCCAATTTCCACTTCAATTTAAAAGGCAATAAATAACCTCTGAGCTCCTTTCCCAAGCAGCTTAGTTAGAAGAGGCGGAATGGTTGAGGACAGAATGAATCTTTTTGAGGCCTATTGCCTTGTTTCTTGGGAGACCCATTTTGATCTTAAGTAGACTAGAGCTTGCAGAATGTACATGCAGGGCCTGTGTTTGTCCCCATACTCCTTCCTACCATCCTGACTGCCATCCTCACCTTCACCCTAACTTCCAGTTCCAATGATCCTGAACCTCTGGGGGCTCAGCCTTTTTTGTAGGCATGGCCTAGAGGCCTAGGAAGGCCTGAAATGAGGTTCTGTGAATACCCAAGTCAAGCTCTGTTGATCTCTCTGGAGACTGGCACTGCCCAATACAACAACCTGCTGTATCGGGAATATTCCATGTCTGTGCTATCCAATGGAGTGACAATGGACTGGAGTGTATCAGTCGCATGTGGCTATTGAGCACTTAACATGTGTAGCTAAGAACATGAAGTTTTAATATTATTTGATTTTAATTAATTTAAATTTAAATAGGCTCATGTGGCTGGTGGCTATCATGTTGGACAGCATAACTCTAGGTCTCAGATGACATGTGCCCCACTCCCGTGGATCAACTTATGTTCCTGGTTTCAGACCAGAGTCATTGGGCAGGTGAATTAATACACTGTTAATGAGGAGGAATTGGTAGTATCAGACTTTCCATAAATATCTGAAATGGGTCGCTTTGCCCTTGTTCAGTAATTGACATTAAAGTGAGAAGCAGACTCATATTACAGAGTCCCCACCAGGTGAAAGCATCATAATTATATTATGTATATATGTATGTGTCTGAGACAAAAACATTCCACAATCTTCTGCCTCCCCAACCCCTTGATAACTTCTGTTAGGCTGATAGGAGAAAAGGTTGCTTACTAAAGAAACAAGAGAAGTAGAGACCAGGTAAACTATATTATATATGAAAGAGCTTGAGCTTACAGGGATGGGAAATGTGAAGAAGATACCTGAAGGGCAGGTAGAGGGTATCAGCAAAGGAGTCAGGAGTGTTAGGGAGAGAAAGAGATGAGAGGTTGGGGCACCTGCCACCCAACGTGGGACTTTAGGGACTTGGTTGTGTCAAGAGTTTTAAGGATATTTTGCTCTGTATTAGGTACTTCAATAATAATTTTCATAGCAAACACTTTTTAGTACTATGTCCCAGCACTGTTCTTTATATCTATTAATATATTTAATCTTGAGCCTCTAGGCCTCGGCTTTAAGAGAAGCTGAGTCCTCACAGGTTCAGGACCATTGAGACTGAATGTTAGGGCAGAAGTGAGGGTGGTGGTGAGGGTGGTAGGAAGAAGAATGGGCACAAACACAGGTCTTGCATCTAAATTCTGAAGCTCTAGCCTACCTAAAATCAAGATAGGTCTCCAAGAAACAATGCAGCAGGCCTGAAGAACATTCGTCCTAACTTAGCCATTCCATCTCTTGTCATTTCCAGACCTACAGGGTAAATACTATCATTGCCTCCATTTTACAGATGAAGAAACAGAAGCACAGAGATGACCTTGGTAACCTGCTCAAGGGAACACACACAGTAAGTGGGAAAAGCAGGATTTGAACTTAGGCAATCTGGCTCTTAAGTCCATGGCTTAATCACACATGTGTTGCCCCTTCTAAGTCCCGTTTGCCACTTAAAGAGACTTCTTAATATATACGTATTACTTTTCAAAGTATTTTGGAATTGATTTCTGTTTCCTCTGAGTGTGACGCCCTGGCTATACAGGATGGGAGGAAGCTGGCCCAGATTTATTTGAGACCCACACACGATCTCCTAACAGCTCAAAGAGGTTTCTATGATCATCCTTACTTTACAGGTTTGAGAGGATAAACCAAAATTATGGTTTTGGCTTAACCAAGTCATGTCACAAGGATTTGAATAAAAGTCTGGCAAGGCAGCCAGATCACCTGAGGTCAGGAGTTCGAGACCAGTTTGGCCAACATGGTGAAATCCAGTCTCTACTAAAATTAGCTGGGCATGGTGGCACATGCCTGTAATCACAGCTACTTGGGAGGCTGAGGCAGGAGAATTGCTTCAACCTGGGAGGCAGAGGTTGCAGTGAGTGGAGATTGTACCACTGCACTCTAGCCTCGGCAACAGAGTGAGACTCTGTCTCAAAAAAAAAAAAAAAAAAAAAGTCTTTGGGACTTTTCTTCATGTTCTTTCAATTACCAATATTTTTTTAGTCCACAGTTACACTTACTGCCTCCTCTTAGCTTTAGGAAAAATGTCACTGGCTTTTTCACATAAACTTCAAATAAGTGAGAAGATACTGAGGAAGTCTGACAGAAAGGAAGCAAGCCACAATTCTATCATTCTGTCTCCCGGAGCTGGTAGTTTCTTACAGGCCTACTCCACACTAAGTATGAGAAATGGATCCCAAAGGAAATAACAACAAAATGAAGATGGTTTGTAGAAAATGAGATTTATGAGCAGAGGCCAAAGGAATTGGATTCATAGATTTGTAAGTATGTTTTTCAACTCTTTCTACATGAAAATGACTTGAAAAGCTTTTAAAATACACATGCCCAGGGTGCAAGGCAAGGATTCTGCTATGATTTGAATGGTTGTCCCCTCCCAACTCATGTGAAATTTAATTGCCACTGTAACTGTACAGTCTTAAGAGGTGGGACCTTTAAGAGGTGATTAGGCCATGAGTATTTGGCCCTCATGTATGGATTAATGATGTTATGGTGGGAGTGGGTTCATTATCATGGGAGTGGATTCCTTATAAAAGGACAAATTCAGCCTCCTTTTGTCTCTCTCTTACCTTCTCACTTTCTCACCTTCTGCCGTGGGATCACACAGCAAGAAGGCCCTCGCCAGATGCTGGTGTCTTGATCTTGGACTTTCCAGGCTCTAGAACTCTGAGAAACAAATTTCTATTCATCATAAATTACCCTGTCTCAGGTATTCTGTTGCAGCAGCACAGAAGGGACTTGGATTCCAATCAGTAGGTCTGGGAACTTTCCTCTAAGCCCTGGCATAGAGATGAGGCAAAAAGAAGGGATGGGCATGTATGTGGCTGTGCAGCTGGTCACATTTTCACAGCAGCCCCTTAACAAAGTGGGCGTATATTTGGACACTGCAGGCTGAAGGTCTGGGTTCAAATTCTGGTTCTGATCCTTATTAGCTGAATGACTTTAGCCATGTAAATTAATTTTCCCAAAGTATAATTTTATCATCTGGAAAATAAGGATGTTTTTCTACTTTCCTACTACCTGTTATGTGGCATTGGGTTTGAGGATTATTTAAAACAATGATGGGCAAATTAACCTGGCAAACAGCAGGTGCTCAAGGATTTTGATAGATCTGATTTCAGAATGAATGGAGAACATTTGGAATAAAAATATCTGTCAAACATAGGGATATACTACCAAGAGCAAATGAATTTCACTCTGGGGATTTGTGATTTTCTGGGCACTGATTACTGAGTACTGCTGTATACTTTAAAGTCTCCTTATAATTAAACAAATTGGCCATGGAATTATTTTCTGATGAATTATAAGACATACCTTTCATTTTTAAAGGAATTTTTTAAATTAATAGTACACTTTTATCAGTGAGTAATTATATTTTTAATTGCACAAATGTCCATCAAACATGTTCCTTTTCAAATGCTACAAAGCACTGGGCATTTCCAGAAAAGTCTGTTATCTGTTAAATGGCTGCCATGGAAATTCTTTTAAAGGCTGAGTACAAACCAGACCTGCATTAAAGCACTTTAGAAGTATCAACACAAGAGCTAATTAATTTTCTTCAAAGGCATTAAACTAGTTTAGAATTATGACTATAGCATTGAAGGAAATGAATAACTGAAGTTCTAGCAAATAACTGTGTATCTTTCAAGGAAAGGGTAAAGTTGTAGAGTGCTAATCCTCCAACTATTATAGCAGAAATACCAAAATCTGCAAGTGAGCACATACACTCACTCTCTGGTTTCATTCTCAGAAGAAAAAAGAATTCCTAACGTGGAATCATTGTTTCTCCTGCTCTTTCAGAATGTGATCAGCCAATGTCCATAGCGACCATAGGGAAATTCACTTATTTTACCCTGAATTTTTATAGAAAATAGAAGAGACCCTTTTGCGAAGAAGAATATAAATTTAATAGGCCCTGAGTGTATTTGCTTGGCATTCCCTGAGGTCCACTTTAGGGCTGGCATTGTTGCCAATCATCTTCAGTCAGCAGAGCCCCAGTTAAAAATATCTGCCTGCTGTACCAAGAAGGCAAAGATAGTACTGCCTTTTAATGAATCTGCTTGGCTGCCTGTTTCCCCAGTTTCCTCCTTGCTCCAACAAGCATACTATTGCAGGTTGGGTTGCTTGAGTAGGCTCAGCTCTCAGCCTTATTACCGTCTTCTTAGACACCTTTGCTCCTTGAGAGCCATGTGGAGGAAGAAGCGAATACGCAGATTGAAGCGTGAAAGAAGAAAGATGAGGCAGAGGTCCAGGTAAACTGCTAGCATGTGCACCGTGGAGGCCACAGGAGCAGAAACATGGAATGCCGGAGGCTGGGGATTCTGGTAGAAGTTGTTGGACTGCGTGCCACTGTCTGGAACTTGTCTCTCAATGGATCTAGAACTTCCATCACCAACTGATCACCAAGACCACTTCTGTAAGACCCACCCTGCTCACACCAAAACAACTCCTGTTGGTTCTTTGCCCTGGACCTGTGATATTCTAGACTAGTTCTGCTCTCAGTTGTGGCTGAGTGTAACATCTATATAAGTCATCTCTTCTGCTATCTTCGCTGAAGAATTTTTTTAAAAAGTAGGCTAATCAGTAGAGACTTAAATCCTAGGATTGACCTTCTGTATGAGCCTTCATTCGCGACATTCACACCAAATGCTACAGATGGGCCTCATGATAATGGTGGACATGTTCTTTTACTATCTAAATCACATTATCATGGCTGGGCGCGGTGGCTCATGCCTGTAATCCCAACGCTTTGGGAGGTCAAGGCAGATGGATCACCTGAGGTCAGGAGTTCATGACCAGCCTGGCCAACATGGTGAATCTTGGTCTCTACTAAAATTACAAAAATTAGCCAGGTGTGGTGGCGTGCGCCTGTAATCCCAGCTACTTGGGGGGCTGAGGAAGGAGAATCACTTGAACCTGGGTGGCAGAGGTTGCAGTGAGCCAAGCTGGCGCCACTGCACTCCAGCCTGGGCATCAGAGTGAGACTCTGTCTCAAAAAATAAAAAATAAAAAATAAAAATAAATGTAAAAAATCACATTATCAGTATTGTTACCCCTTTTTCCTGCTCACCCCAAGTCAAATTCTATTTCACTGATAGATAAGCAAGTTGGAAAGAGCTAGATTTTGATGTCAGAGAGACCTGAGTGGATCTGCTGCTTTTCAGCTACATGACCTTGGGTGGGTTATTTAACCTCTTAAGCCTGGGTTTCCTTATCTATATGATGAAAGTAATGAAATCAACCTAATGTAAGGATTAGAGGAAATGATGCATGTACAGCTGCCAGTACATAATAGGCTGACCTTCGGTCAGAAACATAATTTTAAAAAATTGATTCTTCTTGCTCCTGACCCACCCATAGTAACTTGTTTGGTAAACAATGCATTAAATTATTATATAAAAAGTTAAGGAAGTATAATATAGAGAAACTTGCATTTCTGTAAAATTATTGAAGTATACCAAGCCATAATAATCAATCCCTTAGAAAAGCAGATTATAAAACTGTATATGCTTGTTATGAAAACACATGCATACACACACACACGTTCGCTTTAATGGAAAAAGCTTTGGGATTATGCAATAAGAGGTTATCAACGGTTCCCTGTATGGTTGGTGAGATTTCATCTTTTTGCACAAATGGATTTTCTAATTTTCTTCAATGAATATGCATTACTTATGAAATTAAAAATCCATTTCTAAAACCATTTTGTAGCACTTAAATGGCATTGTTAATTTAAAATATACCTTTATCCCAGTTCCATCTTTTGCATCAGGACATTGGCAGCCTGGTGCCCTGGAAGGCTTCCTATTTGCACAGTGGCACAGGAACAGCAGGTGCTGAGGCCTGTGTCTTAAGGTCCAGAGTCTGAAAGATAAAGGAGAGAGGACCTAGTGAAGAATCAATGAAGAGTGCCTCTTTATTCTGCAAATGGGGGAAATTGCATTGCTAGATTAAGCACTGACTGGATGTTCAAGATGCAAAACACAGGAACTGTTCCTGAAGAGCATCAGGCAGGAAAAGGAAATGCTAACCTGGGGAATGGTCTTCCAGGCAGGAAATCTATCTGGAAGAAATATAAAGTGTACAAGGGCATCCAGTCAGCATCTGTCACTCCTAGATTTTCTCCCATATCTCTCTTAATTACTCTGTCCCAATAGGACTGCCCCATTCCATGCACCTCCATGCCATTTCACACTTCTAGATCTCCACTTATACTTCTGCAAATACACACATGCACACACAGGCACACATGTGAGTCCATATAAACACATACTTGTATTTTCCTGTTGTTCAGATCCTGTTCATAGAAAAAGGGCAAAAAATGAGATACCATCTCACACCAGTTAGAATGGCAATCATTAAAAAGTCAGGAAACAACAGGTGCTGGAGAGGATGTGGAGAAATAGGAACACTTTTACACTGTTGGTGGGACTGTAAACTAGTTCAACCATTGTGGAAGTCAGTGTGGCGATTCCTCAGGGATCTAGAACTAGAAATACCATTTGACCCAGCCATCCCATTACTGGGTATATACCCAAAGGACTATAAATCATGCCGCTATAAAGACACATGCACACATATGTTTATTGCGGCTCTATTCACAATAGCAAAGACTTGGAACCAACCCAAATGTCCAACAACGATAGACTGGATTAAGAAAATGTGGCACATATACACCATGGAATACTATGCAGCCATAAAAAATGATGAGTTTATGTCCTTTGTAGGGACATGGATGAAATTGGAAATCATCATTCTCAGTAAACTATCGCAAGAAAAAAAACCCAAACACCGCATATTCTCACTCATAGGTGGGAATTGAACAATGAGAACACATGGACACAGGAAGGGGAACATCACACTCTGGGGACTGTTGTGGGGTGGGGGGAGGGGGAAGGGATAGCATTAGGAGATATACCTTATGCTAAATGACGAGTTAATGGGTGCAGCACACCAGCATGGCACATGTATACATAGGTAACTAACCTACACATTGTGCACATGTACCCTAAAACTTAAAGTATAATAATAATAAAATAAAAATAAAAAAAAAAGAAAAAGGGCAAACCTTCCAAGATCCAAGGACCTCCTACAGGCTAGGTTGGATTAGGTGGGGGATCTTCCTTGGGAAAGCTAAGGGCAGCATGGAAAGAGGGAGATTCCTAAATATGGTTGATCAGAAAATCAAAGGTCCGAGTCAGGGAAGGGATACCCCAGTAGCCCAGCCTAGGGAATGAGCCAAGGCCAAAACAGAAACTATAGATCCCAGGCCAGAAGCTAAGAAAATTGGGAAACTGACCAGAAAGAAACAAAGTGGGTGTGCAGATCAGTAAAGGACAAGTGCTTGAAGTCAGGCAAACCTGGACTTATCCGTGCTTCACCACTCCCTAGTGTGATCTTGGGAAAGTCTCCTCACCTCCCTAAGCCTTGGCTCCTCATCTGAAAAATGAGCTTGATTATACAACCTTACAGTGTTGTTGGGAAGATTCAATCAGGGGCAGACATGCATGTTAGTGTAGGCCTGGCTTAATAACAGGCTCAGCTGTGTGGCTCTAGCCTGACCATCTAGCTTCAATGCAATGGAGACTGCAATGGGAGTGGGGAACCCCAAGGGCATATCAAGTGGTGATGGGCCATGGCATTGCTACCCTGGGTGCCCTTTATGTAGAGAATTTAAAAGTAGTAATAAAATGAAATAAAAACTGTTGCTGTACAGGCAAGCTGAGAGCCAAATCATGAATGAACTCCCATTCCCAATTGCCACAAAAAGAATAAAATACCTAAAAATACAGCTAACAATGGAAGTGAAGGACCTCTTCAAGGAGAACTACAAACCACTGCTCAGAGAAATCAGAGATGACACAAACAAATGGAAAAACAGTCCATGCTCATGGATGGGAGAATCAATATCATGAAAATGGCCATACTGCCCAAAGCATTTTATAGATTCAATGCTATTCCCATTAAACCACCATTGACATTCTTCACAGAATCAGAAAAAAAAACATTTTAAAACTCACATGAAACCAAAAAAGAGCCTGAATAGCCAAGGCAATCCTAAGCAAAAAGAACAAAGCTGGAGGCATCATGCTACCCAACTTCAAACTACACTACAAAACTACAGTAACCCAAACAGCATGGTACTGGTACAAGGACACACACATAGACCAATGGAACAGAATAGAGAACCAGAAACAAGATTGCACACCTACAATCATCTGATCTTTGACAAACCTGACAAAAACAAGCAATGGAGAAAGGATTCCCTGTTTAATAAATGGTGCTGGGAGAACTGGCTAGCCATACACAGAAAATTGAAACTGGACCCCTTCCTTACACCATATACAAAAATCAACTCAAGATGGATTAAAGACTTAAATGCAAAACCCAAAACTATAAAAATCCTAGAAGAAATCTAGGCAGTACCATTCAGGACATAGACACAGGCAAGGAATTCATAACAAAGATGCCAAAAGCAATTGAAACAAAAGCAAAAATTGACAAATGGGGATCTAATTAAACTAAAGAGCTTCTGCACACCAAAAGAAACTATCATTGGAATGAACAGACAACCTACAGAAGGTCTAATATCCAACATCTACAAGGAACTTAAATTTACAAGAAAAACCCAAACAACACTACTAAAAAAAAAAAAAGTGGGCAAAGGACGTAACAGATACTTCTCAAAAGAAGACATACATGCGGCCAACAAACATATGAAAAAAACCTCAATATCATTGATCATTAGAGAAATGCAAATCAAAACCACAATGAGATACCATCTCACACCAGTCAGAAAGGCTATTACTAAAAAGTCAAAAAACAACAGATGGCTGGTGAGGTTCTGGTGAAAAAGCAACACTTTTACACAATTGGGAGTGTAAATTAGTTCAACTATTGTGGAAGATAGTGTGGCGATTCCTCAAAGACCTAGAGGAAGAAATACCATTTGACCCAGCAATACCATTACTGGGTATATACCCAAAAGAATATAAATCATTTCATTATAAAGACATACGCACATGTATTCACAATAGCAAAGACATGGAATCAACCTAAGTGCCCATCAATAATAGACTGGATAAAGAAAATGTGGTACATATACACCATGGACTACTATGCAGCTGTAAAAAGGAACAAGACAGTGTCAGTTGCAGGGACATGGTTGGAGCTGGAAGCCATTATCGTTCGCAAACTAACGCAGGAACGGAAAACCAAACACTACATGTTCTCACCTATAAGTGGGAGCTGAACAATGAGAACACATGGACAAATGGGAGGAACAACACACTCTGGACACTGGGGCCTGTCAAAGGGTTGGTGAGGAGAGCGAGCACCAGGAAGAATAGCTAATGAATGCTGGGCCTAATACCTAGATAATCTGTGCAGCAAACCACCATAGCACACATTTACCTATGTAACATACCTGCACATCCTGCACATTTACCCCTGAACTTAAAATAAAAATTGGAAATCAAAAAGAAGAAGAAGAAGGAGAAGGGAGAAGAAGAAAAGTGTTGTTGCAACCAGCAATTCTAAACAATGTCAGTGCTAACACTCCTCCCTGCTAGGGAGCTGCTCCACTCCCACACCCCCTCTCACTCCTACCCCAGCCTATAGAATACTCTGGCCTGAAGAATCAGCAAAGGAAACAGCCACCACCAGATTCTCATCTCTTTCCCAAATGGGCTGCTGCTCCTCTGAGTGGAGGGAGGACACTACACCTTCTCCCTCCCTGCACAGGGCCAGCACTGCAGAGGTGCCCCCTGACTTCAGAGTTTTCAGGGTCTCAGTTCCTCTTCCCTCTTGGCCAAGTTCATCTATTCTGCCTGCAGCACCTCGTCATTCTTCCACACTGGGCGGGCAGGCCTTGGTCCACACTCACAGGTACCACATGGGAGACCATTTCTGGGAAACTGGGGGCTCTAAATTTCTCCAGAGAAGAAGCCTCAGACAAAATCCTGGGGGAAGGGCAGGGAGAACTTCAGCAGAAAGGCTCTGATCTCAAAGATGTTATTATTTTGTTTCAGGTGCCCCTCTCTCTTCCTCTCCTCTGTTAACACACCCACACACCTGGTCTACCATGCCTCACTATTAAAGATACCAAGAATTAGAGTCGGCTTGTGAATTATTCTTCCTTCTCATTCGAAAGCATTGGGAGGGAAACAAATAGTGCCGGCCCTGTGCAGGGAGGGAGAAGGTGTAGTTTCCTCTCTCCACTCAGAGGAGCGGCAGCCCATTTGGGAAAGAGATGAGAATCTGGTGGTGGCCGTTTCCTCTGCTAATTCTTCAGGCCAGAGTATGCTATAGGCTGGGGTAGGAGTGAGAGGGGGTGTGGGAGTGGAGCAGCTCCCTAGCAGGGAGGAGTGTTAGCACAAAGAATAATTCACAAGCCGACTTTAATTCTTGGTATCTTTAATAGTGAGGCATGGTCTAGACTGGGTGTGTGGGTGTGTCAACAGAGGAGAGGAAGAGAGAGGGGCACCTGAAACAAAATAGTAACATCTCCTTTGAGATCAGAGCCTTTCTGCTGAAGTTCTCCCTGCCTTTCCCCCAGGATTTTGTCTGAGGCTTCTTCTCTGGAGAAATTTGGAGCCCCCAGTTTCCTAGAAATGGTCTCCCATGTGGTACCTGCGAGTGTGGACCAAGGGCTGCCCGCCCAGTGTGGAAGAATGACGAGGTGCTACAGGCAGAACAGATGAACTTGGCCAAGAGGGAAGAGGAACTGAGACCCTGAAAACATTGAAGTCAGGGGTCACAAGCTCAGACACGTAAACTAAATAAAGCTGGCTGGTGTCAGAGGGAAAATACTATAGAATCTTTCCTATTTGTTTAGAAATTCTGGCTCTTTCAATGTAGCATTGCATTTTCCCACTTACGGTGGGAATATGGGTCCAGATAAATATTTCTATGCGCGTGTTAGGAAAACAAAACTCTTGGCTTCTGTACTGTGGATCCAAATCCCCAGGGTGGGGAGGCGCTGTGTAGCTCAGAGCAGGCTTGTCCCGAGCGAAGTGTGGGTGGCTGCTGCTGGGCTCTGATCCCTGCAGGAATGGGGGTGAACTGAAGCCAGCACTCCTGATTTGATGAGGGAACCTAGCAGTCTGGACTGTCATGGGAACTCTTCTAATATTTGAATGTTGGTTCAATTAAAAACAAGAGCACAGCATTGGAGACCAAAGAAAATACACCAGATGTGGCCCTTAGGCCACTCTTTTTTGAAGTCTGCATCAAACAAAGTTTCTCCTTTGTTCCCCAAGGGAGGTAAGATAACAATTTCCTGTGTAGGCTGAGCCGTCCTAGAGTGCAGTGGTGCGGACACCTCTCCCTCACCAGGGCTGGTCATACCCCACAGCTGCTCTTGTGAGATAATAAACGCATACAGTCCCCTGGGCAGTTCCTAAGGAGAAGTCCAAGGCTGCAAATGGTTCTGCCATTTCATGCATCCCTTCCACTTCTCCCTAGTTGAAAATTCTTCTTGTCCTGAAGGTACTCATGGCCAAAGGCAGCTCCAGCATTTCTATTTAGAAAGGATTTAGGGCTGACAATCTGGTTGCATGGAAGGTGGAACTTGAAGCTGCCTTTACACAGTGCTTTATAATACTGATTGAGAAAAGGCTGTAAATTGTCCTTATCACACTATGAAGAGAAAGCTGCCTGAGGCCCTCATAATATCTCCATCTCCCCGGTGGAAACATTCTTAGCATGCGATCAGAGACACAGCTGTTCCCACAAGGGCATCAATAAATGAGCAGGCTTTATTGTGGTATCTTTTTCTCAAGAATAGTTGTATCCTTGCAATTCTTTTAAGCCAAATGAATTCATCTTTATTAGTGAAATGCTGCTCAGGGCACTCTGTTTAAATCCTTTTAGGATTAAATACAAAGACCGGAGATCACTCACCAAGCCAGTTGGATCCAGCCTCTGCTTGCCTTGCCGCTCCGACCTCACACAGCTCATCCTTCCCTTTCATTGAGTGGTTTTTAGTTTCTTGAAGGTGTGACACTTTCTCCTTTTAGTGTCCCTTGATTTAGCTGGCTCCTGCCATCGTTCAGGCCACTTGAGATGTCACTTGCTCTAGATTGTCCTCCCTGCCCCTCCACCCTCTGCCTTGGGGCTAGATGCCCTTCCTCCATGCCCTTTCAATCATACCCTCTGATTGTGTTACTGATTGTGATCCTACTGCTCTGATTGTGATCCTACTGCACTGTTCAGCCTGCTGCAAGACAGGTTGCTCCAAGAAGCAGAAACAGAGTCATAGTCAGGAGCAGAAAAGATTGAGGAGAGATTCTGAAAAGAAAAGAGGAGCGCATCCATGTTCTAGGGCTGCCACAACAGATCACTATCACCTTGGTGGCTGAAAACAATAAAATTGATTATCTTGAAGTTCTAGAGGCATTCAGGTTCAGATGTCCATTATCAAGGTATCAGTAGGGCTGCATTTCCTCCAAAGGCTGGGGGTGGGGTGGAGAATCTCTTCCTTTCACTTCTGGCCGCTCCAGGCACTCTTTAGCTTGTGGCTGCATCACTCCAGTCTCTGCTTAGGTGGTCGCATGGCTTTTTCCTCTTCTCTGTGTCTTTTTCCTCTGTGTGTTTATCTTATTAGAATACACGTGATTACATTTAGGGCTCACCTGGGTAATCCAGGATGGTTTCCTCATCTCAAAATCCTCAACTTAATCACATCTGTAAAGAATACCCTTTTCTGAAATAAGGTTATATTCACAGGTTCCAGAAATTAGGATGCAGACATATCTTTTTAGGGGGAGCATTGTTCAGTCTGGTGGAGGGAGGCAACTAGAAACAGCTGCCAGACCATGCGGCAGATCGCTGCCGACCAACAGGGATCTCTGGAGTAGACTACACACTAGAGCTTTGGATGGAATTGGCCAGGCCTTGCTCTGCCTTTGGCTAGGGGCTACCGTGAAAACAGAATCAACTCTGAAGAAGCTAAAAGCTACCAGCCAATGACAGTCCTTAAAACCCAGCTTTTTTTTTTTGAAGGGGGATCTGAGCAGCACATCTCTGCCACATTTCTGCCACAGTCCATCCCTTAAACTGTGCAAGGGGCAGTTTTCCAAGGCTCTGGTGGGCCCTTCTTCCTAAGGGAAAACCTATAAGAAGGAGGGACAAACTGCAGCCCCTCATTGCTGCAGTTGGTCTTGGGGCTACAACCATGCTCACTGTCCCCTCTTTCACCAACCATTCTAAATTCTCTTTGCCCTCAGCTACTACCTTTTCTGGTCTGGGTAGCCTACCCAGTGGTGAGCCCCAGACTCTGAGCCCCTGGTAACTATACCTATTTTAGACCAGCATTGCTGCTTTTGTCCATTCATAGTCACAACTGGTCGAGGGAGTACTAAGAGGTCCCCTGGTCCATCAGGAATATCGGTTCTACACATATTGCCCATTCTAGTTGAATGTGAACTGTTTCTGATGGCCTTTTCTATTGGGGATTGAAAAGCATGCATTTGCCAAATTGGTGGTTGGGTACCATAAACCCAAGGCCATATTTATCTGCTCCCACAATGGCACTATGTTGGACACAGCAGATATGATCAAGGTCATTGCTTGGTTGTACTTGTGGTAGTCTTCAGTCATTTTCTAGGATCCATTCAGTTTCTGAAAGGACCAGACTAGGGAATTCAATGGAGATATGACAGGGACCACCATCCCTGCATCCTTGCCTCTTTAATCTCTACTATTCCCCCAGGGTGTAATACTGTTTTTGATTTACTTATCGTAGCCAGCAATTTCTGAGCCCTACACTTGGCCTTCTCCATTATGACAACTCTTGTCTAAAAGCCAAGGACCTAGTGAGGGAGTTACATCAACTGCCAAGTATAATAATACCAATAATACATTTTTGGACAGGAAAAATGACCCCTGTATGGGCCCATGGACCAGTGGACTCACTATAAACCATTCTTTGGCCAGGAATCTATTTATTGCCTAACATCCATGTCCTCCGCTTCTCACAGGAGCCCATGATCATGCTTCAGGTCTTTACGTATCAATGATGATTCAGACCCTGCCTCCAACAGCTGTTGGAAGGTTTGGCTATTTTTCTTTTCTCAGTGTAAAGTCAATCAAGTCAATGGCAATAGGTTCCTTTGGAGAAGGACACTGGGAATCATCACAGTGTGCACTTGCCAAGGTATTGTAGGGTTCTTCCCCTTGCAGACCTAGTCACCTGGTCACCTAGTCTCCTTGCAGACCTAGCCAACAGGTTTTGAATCTGAAAATCAGCTCAGGCCTGGAAATTTGGCAAAGTTATTATTACTTTTTATTGAGGCAATTGCCCTCAGCCTCCTGCTAACCCATTCTTCCTCTCTTCTGATTACATATATAACATGTATGTAATATATGTCAAACATATGACAAACAGCACTCTTGCTGGCTGTCTAGTTTGTCCCTAAGAATGCTAAGTTCTATTCACCGTCTCCATCTATAGGTTAGGCCCTCTTGACTGCCACTCTGTTCTTATTGTTTTTTATGATAATTACAATCTCCTGGCTTCTGGCAGTTAAGTACCACCACCTGGTGTCAAATTGCTTTGGGAGCACCCAAGAGCCCCACTGTCATCAGAAAGCCAAGTTCTGTGACAGACTCTTCTATTGTCAGCCCTGGCCCCACATTCCTGATGGCCTTGGTAAATGGTGTGTCCTCTGATTGGCTTTCTGGCCTCTCCTAATACACCCATTCCTGCAATCCTACCTCCCCGAGCCTTTTAACCACTTCCCCTATGTCTTCCATGGCAAGCAGGCATTTCAATCTCTCAGTGGGGGCCACCACTTTCTCTAGGCTTCTAGGAGGTACCCTAGCAGCAAGTTCGCAGAAGCAAGTTTGCATCATTTCCTGGGGTGTTAAATCCTGTATCTCAACAAAGTGACCCCAAGTAAAAAAAAACAAAAACAAAAAGCAACTCTCCTTTATCCAGACTTATGTTGCAGCCATCTTGATCAAGCACCCTGATCCCTGATGGCTCACTCTGATGCCATCTTGCAGCTCATTTGTGCCATGGTCACTTTACTCCTTATCAGGCCCAGCATATTCCTGGTTCAGATGTGTTGTGATGTGTGCTGATGTCCAGGAGTGGAGGAGGGAGCCACCTGTTGCCTTTTAGGGGAAAGCCCCTTGTATCATCTTTTTACACAAGGAATGTGCTAGCTCTTAATTGAGAAGGGTGAGCCACCCCTACAGGTTCAGAAGGTTCAGAGGAATCTAGGAATGTTTCAGTCCCATGTGTTAGAGTCCCAGCTGTTGCCAACTGGGGCCCTGACTTTGGTCTAACAGCCCTGCTTTTGTTGAGCATTCAAATGTCTTTGAAATTCAGTAGCTCTATTAAATCCTGTGTTTCATCTTCAGCTTTTGCTGCTCACTCACAGTCATAGATTCTTTGTAGAAACTCTTTGCACACTTAGTTTCAGTGGTTTCTTAAGTATTCTCAGCTTTTCTTTATCCTCCAGTAGGGCATCAATGTAACTTAGTAATAATCAGCAAATTCTATTATTTTCGTACATAGAGATTCCCCTACATTCTAATGCTTGAAACAATGCATTCCTCTTTTCCTACATGCCATCCTGGTCTACCATTGGTGAACCTTTTAAATAACTGGACCTCCATCTCATGCCATGGGCTGTCTGTACACTACCTACCACCAGGCATGATGTCCTTAAAACCAGCGAAGTGGTGAGTGATCTAGTTCCCAAGTCTTTATCTTACCACATCATTTCTCAAACCTTTCTTGGTACCAACTGTTGCAAGTTGGGTGCAGTGCAGTTCTCAGCTCACTGCAACCTCTGCCCCAAGCTCAAGTAATCCTCCGTAATCCTCCTGCCTCAGCCTCCCAAGTATCTGAGACTACAGGAGTACTCCACTACACCCAGCTAAAATTTTTTTTGTAGAAATGGGGTTTCACCATGTTGTCCAGGCTGGTCTTGAACTCCTGGGCTCAAGTGATCCACCTGCCTCAGCCTCCCAATGTGCTTGGATTACAGGTGTGAGCCACTGCACCCAGCCAACAATGAGTTTTTTTTAAAGTATGTCTTTCTCATGCCATATTTGGGACACAATTATAGTAAAAAACATTCATTGTTTATCTGCAATGCAAATTTAACTGGGTGCTCTGTGTTTTTATTTGCTAAATCTGGCAACTCTAGCTGGGGGTCACTCCAAGATGTACATGCTCTTAGATACCACTGCTTTGCCCAGCCATTGTCTAGGAGTCACTGTAAGAATAGTGTGGTCTTGGCTTGAAAGCCAGGGTAGACCCAAAAGTGCTAAGTACTGGGGGCTGTCAGCTAGCCACACTCTTGATAGCTGGGCAGCAAGTACTTTCTTGAAGGCAGAACTGCATCTGCCACATTTATTTTCAGTTTAACTGTTGTCTCCCTTGCTAGATGTAAGCCCAATGAGGCTGAGAATTTTCTTGTTTATTGTCATATCCCCAGTGCCTAACAGGGCTTGGCTTATGGCAGGTGTCCATTGTTACTTCTTAAAGTGAACTGTAATTAGGGCTTCAAGGAGCAGTGGGCATTTAGGGAGAACAGAGAGAAGTCCTCTTGTTGTGTCCCCAGAATCACACTCTGAGTTCTGCTGACTCTTCAATGGGCTTTCCTGCTGAGTGTACAATAAACACAGGTGATATGGTTTGGCTGTGTCCCCATCCAAATCTCATCTTGAATTGTACTTCCCGTAATCCCCACGTATTGTTGGAGGGACCTGGTGGGAGATAATTGAATCATGGGGGCAGTTACCTCCATGCCGTTCTCATGATAGTGAGTGAGTTCTCATGAGATCTGATGGTTTTATAAGGGGCTTTTCCCCAACTTCACTCTATTTCTTTCTGCTCCCGCCATGTGAAGGAGGACATATTTGTTTCCCCTTCTGCTGTGATTGTAAGTTTCCTGAGGCCTCCCCAGCCATGCTGAACTATGAGTCCATTAAACTTCTTTTCTTTATAAATTGCCCAGTATTAGGTATGTCTTTATTAGCAGCATCAGAATGAGCTAATATAGTAAATTGGTACCAGGAGTGGGGTGCTGCTGTAAAGATACCCGAAAATGTGGAAGTGACTTTGGAACTGGGTAACAGGCAGAGGTTGGAACAGTTTGGAGGGCTCAGAAGAAGATAGGAAAATGTGGGAAAGTTTAGAATTTCCTAGAGACTTGGAGGGCTCAGAAGAAGATAGGAAAATGTGGGAAAGTTTAGAATTTCCTAGAGACTTGGAGGTCTCAGAAGACAGGAAGATTTGGGAAAGTTTGGAACTTCCTAAAGACTTGTTGAATGGCTTTGACTAAAATGCTGATAGTGATATGGACAGTAAAGTCCAGGCAGAGATGGTCTCAGATGGAGATGAGGAACTTGTTGGAAACTGGAGTAAAGGTCACTTTTGCTATGCAAAGAGACTGGTGGCACTTTGCCTCTACGCTAGAGATCTGTGGAACTTTGAACTTGAGAGAGATGATTTAGGGTATCTGGCGGATGAAATTTCTGAGCAGCAAAGCATTCAAGAAGTGATAGAGCATAAAAGTTTGGAAAATTGGCAGCCTGACCAGGCAGTAGAAAATAAAAACTCATTTTCTGCAGAGAAATTCAAGCAGACTGCAGAAATTTGTATAAGTAACAAGGAGCCAAATGTTAAATCACCAAGATAATGGGGAAAATGTCTCCAGGGCATGTCAGAAACCTTCACAAAAGTCCTTCCCATCACAGGCCCAGAGGCCTAGAAGGAAAAAATGGTTTCCTGGGCTGGTTGCAGGCCCCCCCTGCTGTGTGCAGCCTTGGGACTTGGTGCCCTGCATTCCAGCTGCTCCAGCAGTGACTAAAAGGGGCCAAGATACAGGCTGTGCCATGGCTTCAGAGGGTGCAAGCCCCAAGCCTTGGCAGCTTCCATGTGGTGTTGGTCCTGCAGGTATATAGAAGACAGAATTGAGGTTTAGGAACCTCTGCCTAGATTTCAGAGGATGTATGGGAAAGCCTGGATGTCCAGGCAGAGGTGTGGTATAGGGGCGGAGCTCTCATGCATAACCTCTGCTAGGGCAGTGCGGAAAGGAAAGGTCGAGTTGGAGCCCCCACACAGAGTCCCCACTGGGGCACTACCTTGTGGAGCTGTGAGAAGAGGGCTATTGTCCTCCAGACCCCAGAATGGTAGATCCACTGACAGCTTGTACTGTGCACCTGGAAAAGGTGCGGACACTCAATGCCAGCCTGTGAAAGCAGCCAGGATGGGGCCGTACTCTGCAAAGCCACAGGATCAGAGCTGCCCAACGTCGTGGGAGCCTACCTCTTACATTGGCATGACTTGGATGTAAGTCATAGAGTAAAAGGAGATTATTTCAGAGCTTTAAGATTTAACTACTGCTCTGTTGGATTCTGGACTTGAATGGGGCCTGTAGCTTTGTTTCCGCCAATTTCTTCCATTTGAAATGAGTGTATTTACCCAATGCCTGTAGCCCCATTGTATCTAGGAAGTAACTAACTTGCTTTTGATTTTACAGGCATATAGGCGGAAGGGACTTGCCTTGTCTCAGATGAGACTGGACTTGAACTTTTGAGTTAATGCTGGAATGAGTTAAGTCTTTGGGGGACTGTTGAAAAAAGCATGATTATGTTTTGAAATGTGAGGACATGAGATTGGGAGGGGCTGGGGTGGAATCATATCGTTTGACTGTGTCCCCACCCAAACCTCATCTTGAATTATAGTTCTCATAATCCCCACGTGTCAACGGAGGGAACTGGTGGGTGGTAATTTAATCATGGGTGTGGTTACCTCCATGCTGTTCTCATGATAGTGAGTGAGTTCTCATGAAATCTGATAGTTTTATAAGGGGCTTTCCCCTGCCTTCACTCTGAACTTCTTCCTGCCACCATGTGAAGAAGTACTTGTTTGCTTCTCCTTCTGTCATGATTGTTAGTTTCCTGAGGTCTCCCTAGCTATGCTGAACTGTGAGTCAATTAAACATCTTTCCTTTATAAATTACCCAGTCTTGGTTATGTCTTTATTAGCAGTATGAGAATGGACTGATACATCAGGTAACGGGTGGAAGATCAACTCTAGGTTGTATGGTCTGAGTTCACAGTCATTGAATTATTCATCAGAGTTAATTCTTTTTAAAATTAGCTAAATGGTTTCTAGTAAACAAACTAGTTTCTAGTTGAGGAATTTCAAGAGAGACCTTGGATGTGAGGTCAGTGCTTATTGCTAATGTGTCCATATTTGCTTACCTCCATATATATGTCCTACAGGGGATTCAACTCAGCAGACCCTGAACAGAACTTGCTCTCTTTTGTTCCACTATGGACTCTTCCATTTTGTCTCTTCTATCATATATTCCAGATTTCCTTGCCCCACTTAGCTGCCATATGCAGCTTCCAGCTTTTGAATAAGGTCTGCAGATTCTGTCCCATTTTCACTCTGATAGCCATCTCTTCCTCTCCACTCCTGTTACACTTTTGTAGTTTTCATCTTCATCATCTCTTACCAGTATACGACTATGTCACTTGGTCTCCCTGCCTTTGGTATTGCCCTCTCTCCAATCCATCTTCCACACTGTTGTCAGGCATTTAGCTTTGAAACATTAAAATAAATTGCATCAAATCAAATCAATCAAATCATGTTATTCTTTCCCCTCAAATCTCCCTTTTATCCGGGATCATGTCCAAACTTCATCTTATTACTCTGCTTGCCAGAAAAGTTTTACTCTACTTTTAAATATACACTCTGATTACATCACACTTTCACTTTACTGGTTCCCCATTACTGGTCGGATAAAGTCCAGTCCTTTCTGCATGGATTACAAGGCTCTCTGTGGTCTGGACTTGCTATAATTTGTGCTGTATCTTCCCTCACATCTTCTGCTGTGACTTACAATCTCATGAATACATCATGCTCTATCAGGTCTGCCAGCCTTTGTTCAAACTCGTCCCTCTGTCTGAAATTACTCTTCTTCTACCCTTCTTGTTGTCTGGATCAGCACTTCTCAAACTTTAATGTGGTACCAACCACCTGAAAATTTTTTTTAATTCAGATGCTGATTCATTACATCTGGAGTGGGGCCCCTATTCTGTATTTCTAACAGGTAATGCTGATGCTGCTGGCTCACAAACCACATTTTGAATAGCAAAGTCCTAGATAACACTTACCATTCAAATGTCAACAAAGGATTATCACCTCTCTGAAGACTTCCCTGAACCTTCCAGAAATAATTGACTACTATTTTTTCCTGTACCTACAGTTTCCTATGACCTTTATCAAAACACTGGTGACCTTTTATTGCATTTTTATCAGTGTCTGTCTTCGTCTTCTAGACTGGGAGCAGGAACCATATTTTATTCATCCTTGGATTGCATACTCTCAGCACAGTGCCTGACATGTAACAGGTATTCAGTAAGAGTGTTGAATGAATGAGTGTTGGGTCATCCTCAGAAAAATGAAAAGTGTATTTACCTTTAGGATTCTCATTCTCCTCAACTTTCTGATGTTAAACTTAAGTATGCTAAATTGGAACATTTTTGGTTGCAAACAGCAGAGACTGATATGGTTTGAATCTGTATCCCCACTTAAATCTCATGTTGAATTGTAATCCCACCCAAATGGTGGAGGTGGGTCCTGATGGGAAGTGATTTGATCATGGGGTTGAATCCTTCATGAACAGTTTGGCAGCATCTCTTTGGTGCTGTTTTTGTGACAAAGTTTTTATGAGATCTGGTTGTTTAAAAGAGTGTGGCAAATACCCCTCTCTTTCTTCCTCCTTCTCTGGCCATGTAATATGGCTGCTCCTGCTTTGCCTTCTGTCATGAGTAAATCTCCCTGAGTCCTCCCCAGAAGCAGAAACTGCCATGCTTCCTGTACAGCCTGCTGAACTGTGAGTGAATTAAACCCTTTTTCTTTATAAATTACTCAGTCTCAGGTATTTTTTTATAGCAATGCAAGAATGGACTAATACCAAAAATTGGTACCAAAGAATGGGGCATTTCTATAAAGATATCTGAAAATGTGAAGCAACTTTGGAACTGGGTAACAAGCAGAAGTTGGAAGAGTGTGGAGGGCTCAGAAGACAGGAAGATGAGGGAAAATTTGGAACTTCCTAGAGACTCGTTAAATTGTTGTGACCAAAATGGTGGTAGTGATATGGACAATGAAGGCCAGGCTGAGAGGGTTTCAGATGGAGATGAGGAATTAACTGGGAACTGGAGCTAAGGTCATGTTTGTTATGCCTTAGCAAAGAACCTGGCAACATTGTTCCCGTGCCCAAGAGATCTATGGAAGTTTGTCCTTGAGAGTGATGATTTAGGGTATCTGGCAGAAGAAATTTCTAAGTGGCAGTGTTCAAGATGTTGCCTGGTTGCTTCTAACAGCCTATGCTCATATGCATGAGCAAAGAAATGGCATAAAACAGAAACTATATTTAAGGAAGAAGCAGAATATAAAAGTTTGGAAAGTTTGAAGCCTGGCCATGTGATAGAAAAAAAAGTCCATTTCCAGGGAAGCAATTCAAGCCAGCTGCAGAAGTCTGTATAACTAAAAGGAAGGCAAATAATGATAGCCAAGACAATGGGGAAAAGTTCTCAAAGGCATTTCAGAGACCTTTGTGGCAGCCCCTCCCAGCCCATCACAGGCCTGAAGGCCTAGGAACAAAGAATGGTTTCTTGGGCTAGGCCCAGGGGCCCAATACCCTGTGCAGCCTTGGGACACTGCTCCCTGCATCCCAGCTGCTCCAGCTCCAGATGTGGTTCAAAAGGGTCCAGGTACAGCTTGGGCCACTGCTGCAGAGGTGCAAGCATAAGCCTTTGCAATTTCCATGTGGCATTAAGCCAGCAAGTGCACAGCATGCAAGAGCTGAGGCTTGGTAGCCTCTATCTAGATTTCAGAGGATGTATGGAAAAGCGTGGATATCCAGGCAGAAGCCTGTTGAAGGGGTGGAGCCTGCATGGAAAACTTCTACTAGGGCAGTGCAGAGGGAAAACGTAGGGTTGGAGCTCCCACTGAGGCACTGCCTAGTGGAGCTGTGAGAAGAGGGCCACCATCCTCCAGACTCTGAAATTGTAGAGCCATTGATGGTTTGCACTGTGCACCAGGAAAAACTACAGGGATTCAATGCCAGCCCATGAAAGCAGCCTTGGGAGCCCAACCCTGCAAAACCACAGGTTTGGAGCTGCCCAAGGCCTTGGGAGCCCATTTCTTGCATCATTGTGCCCTGGATGTGGGACATGGAGACAAAGGAGATTATTTTGGAGCTTTAAGATTCAATGACTGCACTACTGGGTTTTAGATTTGCATGGGGCCTGTAGCCCTTTCTTTTGGCTGATTTCTCCCTTTTGGAACAAGTATTTACCCAATGCCTATACATCCATTGTATCTTGGAAGTAACTAACTTGCTTTTGATTTTATAGGCTCATAGGCAGAAGAGACTTGCATTGTCTCAGATGAGACTGGACTTTTGAGTTAATGCTGAAATGAGCTAAGACTTTGGAGACTGTTGAGAAGGGATGATTGTATTTTGCAATGGGAGGACATGAGATTTGGGAAGGGTCAGGGACAGAATGATATGGTTTGGATCTGTGTCCCCACGCAAATCTCATGTTGAATTGTAATCCCCAGTGATGGAGGTGGGACTTGGTGGGAAGTAGTTGGATCATGGGAATGGATCCTGAATGAATGGTTTGGCACCATCCCTTTGGTGCTGTTCTCATGATAGAGTTCCCATGAGATCTGGTTGTTCAAAAGTGTATAGCACTTCCCCCACCCCTCTTCCTCCTACTCTAGACATGTAAGATGCTTGCTCCTGCTTTGCCTTCCACTATGAGTAAAACTTCCCTGAGGCCTCCCCAGAAGCAGAAGCCACCACACATCCTGTATAGCCTGCAGAACCATGAGCCTATTAAACCTCTTTTCTTTGTAAATTACCCAGTCTCAGGTATTTGTTTTATAGCAATGCAAGCATGGACTCATAAAGAGACCCAACTCACGTTTGCCTTCTCAGATGGGTTCAGGTAGCTGGGAAGGATACTGAGAAGCTCTCAGAATTGAAAAAAAAAAGAGATGAACAATCAGGATATTGGAAAGGGAAGCCTGGGCCCAGATACACCAGAGATATCAGAAACAGGTACTTGTTGGCCTTTTCCTTAGGAGGTGCTATTGGTTGGCTCACACGAGTTGCCTTCTGTGCATCTCTCATTTCTGCTGGTCTCTGCTTCTTTTTTGTTGATCTTTTAATTTCCTGCTACAAACAAGCCTATTTCAGGTTGTTGGACTTTGGGTTTTCAGCAGGCCAAATTTAGTATCACAGCAAAGAAAAGTCATGTGTCCACCTCTGTGGCCGTGACAGGGTATTAATGGTGAGAAGTTGTGTGTGTATGGATGTGTGTATGCATGTGTGTGTATATGTACATATGTGCCTTTGTGGGGTGTGAGGGAGAAGTTCTATTAACAGAAGAAATGAGGTGGATATCTTACTACTTTAATCCCAGCACTTTGGGAGGCCAAAGCGGGTGGATCACGAGATCAGGAGTTCAAGACCAGCCTCGCCTATATGTTGAAGCCCCATCTCTACTAAAAATACAAAAATTAGCCGGGTGTGGTGGCATGTGCCTGTAATTCCAGCTACTCAGGAGGCTGAGGCAGGAGAATTGCTTTAAGCCGGAGGTGGAGGTTTCAGTGAGCCAAGATTGTGCCACTGCACTCCAGCCTGGGTGACAGAGTGAGACTCCGTCTAAAAAAAAAAAAAAAAGAATAGCCACTCTAGTCAGCTAAATTACCTGCAGGTCAGAAAAATTGTTATCAACATAGAGTGGGGAAAAGGGAGAGAGACAGATGGGCTGAGAGGAGGACAAATGCAGGGACACTAAATTCATCTTCTGCTGTCTGCTCCCACTAGTGGCAAATACCGGTGCAGTCTGTTTAGAGTATCTGTGAACCAAATCTCCATGCATGTCAGTATCCTCTCATGAGGGCCATTCAAGCCGTGTGCAGCATTCATTAGTAGCACTATAGAAGGCTTACGGTAGCAAGGCATGACTTTTGAATCAGTAGCTTTGGTTTTCTCATCTATAAAACGTGACTAATAATAATGCCAACCTCACAGAGGTGTCATAAAGCTTAAAAAGAATCATGCATGCAAAGCACTAACTTTTACTGAGCTAAAAGCAAGCAATGCAAAGTAGGACAACAGTTCTTGTTAAAAAGTTCTGAGGAGTTAAGAAATTCTTCCTAGGTCACATAACTTGTGGTTTAGAGAACAGGGTTTTAAACTCAAAGTATGTCTGATTTCTGGGCCTGTGCTCCTTTCACTAGCTCCATAAACATGCAACCTTTTCATATGGAGGTTTGAGGTTAGACAGGAGCAATTTCTCCCTACTTGTTTGTCACAGCCCGTTATTATACAATAGCATAGTTTGACTGCAACTCCCCTGAGAGTCATGGGGAGAGTGGAAAGATCTACAGTGAGAAGTGTTTGCTGAGGACCACACATTGTAACTTTATCATTAGAATTAAGTCTTTAGAAACAAATGAGGAAAAACTGGGAGTTTTTAATACAAGCAATGGTTTACCTAAAAGAAGTGCTTCTTTCATGAAAAGAAAATAATCTAGCAATATTCCACCTTAAAGAAGGAATTTCCTCCTGATTTCTGTTTTTAGGTTATTTGCTTTTAGCTGTTCTGCTGCCACTTTTAACAGTCTGAGCTAACTCCCTCTCCATGTCACTATCTTACTCCAATTGCTTGGCTACCTTAGGAAATGCAAACTAATTTTAATATTAGTCTAAGCAAAAATAGAGCAGGATCAATTGGCTTCTGAAAAGAAATACCATGACACATACTTAAATGAATGAGAAGAACATGGGGGATTATCCCATAGTGTTTATTAGCCCAGCAGGGCTTTCTTAGGGACATGTCATCTATAGAGAAATAATACTCCAATTTTACTTGTCTCTGTTATTATGTATGTCTGCCGAGGGTCTTTGGGTAGAATAGCAGCATAGCTAGTCTACTTTGGCTAATCACTCTATCACACTCTCACCCTTGTGATTAACTCTAAGATAAAAACAAATAAAACCCAAACAAACAAGATGAAACCCTCAAAGCAAAACCCAGAAACAAGACAAAGGAAATGTTCCTTTTCTCTCTTGAACCCTATTTCATGGTTATTTTAACATATTTTATGTCTTTACATATTTTGTAGCCATTTTGTATTTATCATTACTTTACTCTCTGTAGCCATCAAGAAAAAATACTGAAAATGAACAGTACACATCTCCTGCTCAATGTCTTTAGCCACTCTGAAATTGTCTTTGGAACAATCTGAGTGGTTTGCAAGCAGATGTGATTGCCGAGTGAAGAGATTCTTAAGCACCTGAAGAAATAACAAGAGGAACTGCCACACTCTGGGCACACACAAGGACCAGGCAAAAGCCAGGAGCTTTATACCTTTCAATTCATTTGATCCTAACAGCAACTTTATGAGGCAGGACTTTTCCTTATGCCCATTTTGCAGATGAGGAAATCTAGCCTTAGGTCCTCCATCTAGTAAATGGGAATTGTGATTTCAATCCATATAACAATAATAAAACAATGGCCAACATTTGTATTAGGCTGTGTTTGCATCATTATAAAGGAATATCCGAGACTGAGTAATTTATAAAGAAAAGAGGTTTAACTGGCTCATGGTTCTGCAGGCTATATAGGAAGCATAGCGCCGGCATCTGCTTGGCTTCTGGTGATGGCCTCAGGAAGTTTACAATCATAGCAGAAGGGGAAACAGAGCTGGCACACCACATGGTGAGAGGGGGAGCCAGGAGGTAGTGGGGTGGGGACGGGAGGTGCCAGGCTCTTTAAATAACCAGTTCTCACATGAACTAACAGAGCGAGAAGTCACTTATTACCATGGGGAAGGCACAAAACCATTCGTGAGGGGTCCACCCCCATGATCCAAATACCTCCCACCAGGCCCCACCTCCAACATTTGGGATTACATTTCAACATAATATTTGGAGGGGACAAACGTCCAAACTATACCAACATGTATTAAGCATTTATCATTTTCCAAGAGCTCTTCTAACAGTTTGGCATGCATTAACTCATTTAAACTCCATAAAATCTCTGAGAGGTAGGAACAATATATAAACACTTCAATTTAGCAGATAAGGATACTGAGGGACAGTACAACTTAAAGCCTGATCTCTCGGTGGGAGCTGGAGCGGCTTCCTCCTTTGTGATTTTCCTCTGCTTCAGTCGTATTCACCTCCCAGAGACTATCATCTGCCCCTGCTAGTTGTAGAGCAGATAGGATTCAGAGAGTTGGTTGTATAAGCTCTATTGTGACCTCTTCTGGCAATTAGATTAGAAAACAATTACATTTAGCTATAGCATATTCATTGGGGAACAGGGTGTTTCAGGAGTTGAGTAAAAAAAAAAAAAAGCATTTTTTAGGAAGACAAAATAGGATCATACTCAGTATTTCCTTCTAAAACTTTATTCTTAGCTCTTCTGCCTGAGAGTTACACTGTTGAGAGAAAACGAGGCTGCACCTGCCTTAAGGGCTGCAGAATGTTGCTACTTTGCTGTGGCAATTTTCTGTCCAAAGACATGGAAAAGGCCATGCCCCGGGCAGGGGGTCAGGCCAAGGGATCTCCAAGGTCACTTCCAAGGAAAATTAATATGTCTGGGAGACACAGGAAACTAAGGACCCAGGAAGTTCAGTCAATATTGGGCGAGTGTAGGCACTCCTCTGGCTGTTGCAGGACATCATTGACCCTTGTGAATCTTAAAGGCCAGTGCATACCAGTGCTGGTTATATTTACACAACGGGCTAAAATTAGCTGGCATGCTCTCCTGGCAACTGGAAAGATATAAGGCTCCCAATTTATCTAGCAATGCTAATTTGGGCAAAACCAAAAATGGTTCTTTTGCTGTTCTCAGTGCATAGGCATTCCACAACAACAGCCTTTTCCTTCCTCTTCCTCTTCTCTACATTTAAGGAAATTTCAAATATAAATCCAGGCTGACTTTGGTTCTGGACAAAACTACAAATATGGAAACCTAAAAGGGGTCCTATAAACAGAAGGGCTTAGGGATTTCTCTGTGTTCAAAGTAGAACAAAAATAAGGTAAAAACATGTTACTATTTTCCATTAACACTGGAAGACACGAACTTAGAAGGGCACCAGTTAGCACATCAGCATTGTGCAGCTGGAACCTTCAGGGGAGGGGTGAATGAAGGCCTTGAATGTCATGGTAAATGCCACTCAAGATGTAAGCAGCCTAGATCCACCCCTGGCTGGAATTGTGAATGTCTTCACCTCTTTGAAGTGCCTGTAATCTGTCTTGAAGAAGAGTGCAGCTCCACAGGTATAAGTTTCACATGTATACAGCTCCACATGAAAGGGAGATAGAATAAATTATTCATGCCCACTAAAAAGTAATATTAGGACATGAGGCACATATTTGTGATACATCCAACAGACCCGCTGATTGGAAGAGAGAGTGGAGAAATGAGAAGAACCCAGGTTTAGGTGTTAAAGAGACCTGAGTTCAAGCTCCATGGTCTCCTTGGGTAGCAGGTAGTAGACCTGAAATTACTGTTCAAGCCTAGACTTGTCTTTAAAGGGTTATCAGGGAAGCCAGTGATGGTGAAATTTAAATTGAGTATCTGGTGTCTGAGGATGGCTAAATGAAAAAAACAGGGAATATATAGAAGGAAAAGCATTTGAAAGAATAAGTAAGGTTTCAATAAAGTATAACAACTATTATATTAAAGGTGTTATAGAAAGAGACCAGAAAATGTAAAAAAAAAAAAAATTTCATTAGGGAATTTAAAAATATAAGTCCAAATTATAGAACATTCTACCTAACAGCTGCAGAATATACATTCTTTTCATCAGAACATGAAACATTCTCCAAGATAGAACATATGTTAGGCCACAAAACAAGTCTCAACAAATTTTTAAAAATTGAAATCATATCAAGCATCTTCTCAGATCACAGTAGAATAAAGTTAGAGAAACTTCAGAAACTATATAAATACATAGAAATTAAACAGCATGCTCTTGAATGACCACTGTATTCAATGAATACATTAAAACAGAGATGAAAACATTTGGAAGCAAATGAAAATGGAAGTACAACATAACAAAACCTGTAGGATATGGCAGAAACTGTGCGAGGAAGGGAGTTTGTAGCATTAAATGCCTACGTTAATAAAGTGGAAAGATTATAAATTAACAATCTAATCATGTACCTCAAGGAATTAAGGGCAAATCAAACTCATATTAGCAGAAGAAAAGAAATAACAAAGATCAGAGCAGAACCAAATGAAATAGAGACTAAAAATACAAAGGATCAATGATATGAAAAGTTGGTTCTTCCAAAAGATAAAATCATAAACCACCAACTAGACTAACCAAGAAAAGGAGAAGACCCAAATAAACAAAATCAGAAATGATAGCGGAGACATTAAAACTAATACTAAAAAAATATAAAAAAATCAACAGATACTATTATGAACAACTATACACTTATAAACTAGAAAACCTAGAGGAAATGGCCACATTCCTAGAAACATACAACCTCCCAAGATTGAACCAGGAAGAAACAGAAAACCTGAACAGATCAATAACAAGCAGCAAGACTGAATCAATATTAAAATGAAAACAAAATCCTCCCAACAAAGAAAAGCCCAGGGCTATCTGAACTCACAGTTAAAGTCTACCAAATGTATAAAGAATAACTAGTACCAACCTACTGAAACTATTCCAAATAATTGAGGAGAAGGGATTCTACTGTAACTCATTCTGAGGCCAGTATCTCTCTGATACCAAAACAAGAAAATGACACAACAAAAATAGAAAACTACAGGCCAATATCCCTGATGAGCATAGGCACAAAAATCCTCAACTAAATACTAGCAAACCAAATCCAACAACACAATAAAAAGATAATACACCATTAACAAGTGGGATTTATATCAGGGATGCAAGGAAGATTCAACATATGTAAATCAATAAATACGATACATAAACACAAACAGAATCAAGGACAAAACCTATATGATTATCTCAATAGACACAGAAAAAGTATTTGATAAAATTCAGCATCCCTTCAGATAATAACTGTCAATCATCTGAGACCAGCCTGGCCAATGTGGCAAAACCCTGTCTCTACTAAAAATACAAAAATTAGCCAAGTGTGGCAGTGGTCGCTTGTAATCCCAGCTACTCGGGAGGCTGATGCAGGAGAATCATGTGAACCTGGGAGGTGGAGGTTGCTGTGAGCTGAGATCGTGCCACTCACAATTCAGCCTGCGCAGCAGTGTGAGACTCCATCTAAAACAAAACAAAACAGAACAGAACAGAATAAAACAAAATATCAATGTCGTTTTCCACAGAATTAGAAAAAAAATCCTAAAATTCATATGGATCCAAAAAAAAGAGCCAGAATAGCCAAAGCAATCCTAAGCAAAAAGAACAAAGCTAAAGTTACCACATTACAAGTTCAAACTATATTACAAGGCTACAGGAACCAAAAGAGTATGGTGCTGGCATAAAAATAGACACATAGATCAATGAAATAGAAAAGAAAACTCAAAATAATGCCATTTTTTTTTAGCCAACTGATCTTTGATAAAATTGACAAGAACATACACTGTGGAAAGAACACCCTTTTCAATGAATGGTGCTGGAAAAATTAGATTGCCATATGAAGAAAAATGAAACTGAACCCTAACTCTCACTATGTACAAAAATCAATGCAAGATTGATTAAAGACTTAAATATAAGACCTGAAACTATAAAAATACTAGAAGAGGCATGGTACAGTGGCTCACACCTGCAATCCTAGCACTTTGGGAGCCTGCACCAAGAGGATCACTTGAGGGCAGGAGTTCAAGACCAGTCTGGGCTACACAGTGAGACCCTGACTCTACAAAAAATAATAATAAAAAAAATTAGCCAGGCATGGTGGCATGTGACTGTAGTCCCAGCTACTCAGGAGGCTGAGGCAGGAGGACTGCTTGAGCCCTGGAGTTTGAGGCTGCAACAAGCTATGATTCTGCCATTGCACTCCACACTGCCTCTAAACTAAAACAAAAACAAACTGAAAATAACAACAACCAAAACCGAAATACTAGAAGAAAACCTAGGGAAAACTTTTATGGACATTGGTCTAGGCAAAGAATTTCTGACCAAGACCTCAAAAGCACAGGCAAAAAACCAAAAAATAGACAAGTGGTACTTATTTAAACTAAAAAGCTTCTGCACCACAAAAGAAATAGAAGAGTGACCAGACGGCCTATAGAATGGGAGAAAATATTTGCAAAGTATTCATACAACAGGGAACTAATATCTAGACAAGGAACTCAAGCAACTTAATAACAACAAAAACAAAGAATAACATTAAAAAGTGAGCAAAGGACACTAATAGACATTTTTCAAAACAGGACAAATGATCAACAGAAAAATTGCTCAACATCAGTAATCATCAGAGAAATGCAAATCAAAACCACAGTGGGATATCATCTTGCCCGAATCAGAATGACTATTATTAAAAGGACGAAAATAATACAAATTATTTTCAAACAGTACAACCTCTATGACAAACAGTATGGAGATTTCTCAAAGAACTAAAAATTAAACTACCATTTGTTTCAATCCGGCAATCCCACTACTAGGTATCTACCCAAAGGGAAAGAAAACAATACATCAAAAAGATACCCACACTGGTATGTTTATTGCAGCACTATTTACAACAGCAAAGATATGGAATCAACCTAAGTGTCCATCAGCAGAAGATTGGATAAAGAAAATGTCGTATGTCTGTACAATTAAATACCATTCAGCTACAAAAAAGAATGAAATTACATCTTTTGCAACAACATAGATGAAACTGGAGGCCATTATCTTAAGTGAAACAAGCCAGGCATAGGAAGTCAAATATCACATGTTCTCACTCATAAATGGGTGGTAAAAAATGTGTACACATGGATCTAGAGAGTGGAGTGATAGACAATGGAGACTTGGAAGGTTGAGGAGGTGGGAGAAAGATGGGTGAGAAATTAGTTGGTACAATTTACGTTACTTGGGTGATGGATAATCTAAAAGCCCTGACTTGACCATGTACACAATCTATGCAGGTGACAAAATTGCACATAAACCTCATGAGTTTGTACAAATAAAAACAAACAGAAAAATAAAATATATATTTACATAAGTAAACTTTATCCACTTTTCTATTGCTGGCCCCTTTTTAAACTAATACTTACTAATACGAAATCAAGACTTTTGGCTGGGTGCGGTGGCTCATCCCTGTAATCCCAGCACTCTGGTAGGCCGAGAATGGAGGATCACTTGAGGTCAGGAGTTCAAGACCAGCCTGGCCAACATGGCAAAATCCCATGTCTACTAAAAATACAAAAATTAGCCGGGCATGGTGGTGCATGCCTGTAATCCCAGCTACTCAGGAGGCTGAGGCAGGAGAATCACTTGAACCTGGTGGGGCAGAGGTTGCAGTGAGCCAAGATTGCACCACTGTACTCCAGCCTGTGTGACAGAGTGAGACTCCGTCTCAAAAAATAAAATAAAATAAAATAAAGACTGTTAGCCTTTGCCTAAATATAGTTTTCTTTTTTCCTGCAACTTTGCCATTTATATGTTGTCTTTATGGCAGTGTCTCTTGACATGTAAATATACATGTATGTGCTTACGTGCATGTTTTTAAAGAGTTAATTTAAGAACTTATTGTTCATGGTTGGGTTTCTTATCAAACTTACAAAAGTCTATTTTTCTAGTACTTTTATGAATTCATTTTCTCTTTCAACCTTCAGCTATATGGAATTTATTCTGGTGTATGGTATGAGGTCCATGAGTCAATTTATTTTTTCCAGGTAGCCACCCACTTGTCTGAACATTATTCGTTGACTAATAGGTTTTTTTCTACTAATTTGAAATGGTCCTTTAACAATTTACTAAATCTCTCAATTTATTTGGATCCATATCTTGCTTCCTATTCTAATCCACTGTTTATTAATTCATGCATCACACTGCTTAAATTATTGTCATTTCATAATATGCATTAACTTCTACTCATTAATTTTCTTTTTTTAATGTCTTTGGCTATTTTAGATTTATTTTCCCATATGAACTTTAGAATTTGCTTGTCTAGTTTCAAATGATTCCTATTGGTAATTTTATTGAAGAGTATTTCAAAATTATAAATTAAACTTTGGGAGAGTTGACATTTTTATAACCTGAGGATTCCTATCCAAGAACAGGCATGTAGCTCACTTGTTCAAGTCTTCTTTTGTTTCCTCTGTAAAATGTTTCTTACAAACAACATATAGTTGGATCTTTCTCTGAGGACCAATTTGATATAATAGATTATTTTAGTCCATTTCCAGTTTGTATTAGTCTGTTCTCACGCTGCTATAAAAAAACTGCCTGAGACTAGGTAATTTACAAAAGAAAGAGGCTTACTTGACTCACAGTTCCACATGGCTGGGGAGGCCTCAGGAAACTTACAGTTATGGCAGAAGAGGAAGCAAACACGTCCTTCTTCACATGGAGGCAGGAAGAAGTGCTGAGCGAAGGCAGAAGACCCCCTTATCAGAAGAGCCCAGCATCAGATCTCGTAAGAACTCACTCACTATCACGAGAACAGCATGGGGATAACCGCCCCTGTGATTCAGTTACCTCCTGCTAGGTCCCTCCCACAATATGTGGGGATTATGGGAACTACGATTCAAAATGAGATTTGGATAGGGACACAGTTAAACCATATCACAGTTGTTATGACTGACATGTTTGAAATTAGATCCATCATTCTATTTTATATGTGGTAGGCAAGATGACTGCATGCTTTTCCATCCTAGAGCTTAAGTAAAATCTTACACTGTATGAACTCTGTTTTCTTTGCTTTACTCTGTTTGTCTGCCTTTATAATAATGCCACACTGTTTTCATTAAACTTATCAATAAGTTATGATATCTGGTACTGTGAGTCCTCCAACTTGCTGTGTTGTTTTTATTTTCTGTTAAGTAGCTAATGGATTACATCTTAGTTCAAGTGATAGATACATACATGCATGCATACACACACCCATACAAACATAAATGTATCCTGAGTCCCTACTCACATGATTGTTATCATGGTTCTGTGAATTAATGTAGTTAGGATATTTTGCATAAACTTGATCTACACTGATTTTCTTACCTCATGTCCTTACCCCTAATCAAAATAACCTATGGCCAAAGACAGAACAGAGACTCTTTCTCCCCAGAGTTGTGGGCTTCTGAAGAGTTGGAAGAACAGAATACCAGATGGGACAGGAGAACTCTCCTGATTGTGAAAAAGAATCAGCCTCCTAGAAATTTACCATGAGAGGTACAATCTAAAGAGGAGTCAGAATTTTAAAACTCACCCAAGAGTGTGGTCGTTGCCATTATCTCTGCTGCTTTGGTGTAATGAAATTATTTACAGTCAGAACACCTGGGCTTAAATCTCAAGCTGTTCCACTTACTATGTGACCTTGGGTAAATCATCTGACCTCACTCAGTCTTGTTATCTGTAAATGGAGATATTATTTTCTTGGCATATATCATAGAATCATTTTAGTATAATTAAGAGGAACAAGAAAGAAGACAGACCATGGCTGTGGATGGAATGTGCGTGATGTCGGTGAGATTCAGAACTATAGTCAAAATAGCTAGTAGTTAAAGGACAGGACACTCAACAGGAAACCAAGGAGCAAGATTGGCCACAAAATTGGGTCTGCATGGCAAGGGTTAGAAGGAGGTTTATCCTGGCAGGGCATGGTGGCTCACACTTGTAATCCCAGCACTTTGGGAGGCCGTGGTGGGTGGATCACCTGAGGTCACGAGTTTGAGACCAGCCTGGCCAAAATGGTGAAACCCTGTCTCTACTAAAAATACAAAAAATTAGCCGGGTGTGTGCCTGTTATCCCAGTTACTCAGGAGGCTGAGGCAGGAGAATCGCTTGAACCCGGGAGGTGGAGGTTGCAGTGAGTGGAGATTGAGCCATTGCACTCCAGCTTGGGCAACAAGAGCAAAACTCTGTCTCAAAACAACAAAATAATAAAAACAAAAAAGGAGGTTTAGCCCATGATTATGTGGTGGGAAGCAGGGTGCAAAGGAACAATAGACCACACATCTGTGCCACAAAGAATGATATGTTAATGGGGAAGAGACCATGATACAAAAGAAAGAGACAAAGTCCTGGGTAAGATGAGGAGGAGAACGATGGATATTTTTTCATATGAACCAGGAGGCAGGAAGCAGCAGTTAGGGGCAGATGTAGCAGGTTGGTAGAATTGCTCATATGCAGATCAGAGAGTTCCTGCCCAATGTTTGCTATCTTCTTCAATGTCTTAGGAGATAAAGTCACCAGGGAAATGTAGGGGTAGGACAGTATTGAGAAATGAGGAAAGATGTAGTGATTAACTTTTTTTTTTGTATAATCCAAGGGCAAGCTTTTATCATTTTTAAGTGGTAAAGCATAGAAGGTGTCTCAAGCCCCTCTTTCTTGACCTTCCATCTCCCTAATTTTATTTGCATTCTCCTCAGCTTGTTCTATACTCTTCCATACTATTCAGCATCTCTGTTCAGCATTCTCTTCTATCAGTTGATTCCACTCCTTCTCATAGCCCTCCACCCTTCTGTTACTTTCTGGGTCCTGCAAATTTCTGCCTCAATTTTTGGTAGGATTTGTTTTTAGGTTCTTAGACAATATACCTTGGGAATTAATTAAATTTTATGATTTTATTTTATCTCTTTTGTTGGCTTATTAGTTATAACTCTTTGTTTTGTTAGTTTAGTGATTTCTTTAGGGTTTACAAAATTTATCTTTAACTTAATCACAGTCTACATTCAAATGACACTATAATGCTACTTAATGCACACTTAATGAATGGTATAAGAACCTTACAACGATATGCTTCCAATTGTCTCCTCCCAGACTTTATGATATGGTTATACATTTTATACACTTCTAAACACACATGTATGTTATAAATCCCATACTACGTTGTTATGCTTTTTGTTTAAATTGTTATATTTTATAGAGATTTAAATAATAAGAAAAAATCTTACATATTTACCCATGTAGTTACCATTTCTGAAGCTCTTTATTCTTTTGTATACATCCGTATTTCCATGTTGTATAATTTTCCTTAACATTTCTTATAGTGTGGATATGCTGATGATAAATTCTTTTAGCTTTTTTGTTTGTAAAAAAGTGTTTATTTAGCCCTTGTTTTTGAAAAATAAATTTTCTCTCTGAGTATAGAATTCTAGTTTTAATTTTTTTTCAGTAATTTAAAGTGTTTCTTCACTAGATTCTCATTTGTATTTTTTCTGATGAAAAATTTGCTGGTATCCTTTGCTTTGTTCCTCTGATTTTCTCTGTATCATTGAATTTTGAGCAATTTGATTATTATAACCCTATAGCACTTGTTGTTTTTACATTTCTTGTGCTTGGGGTCTATTGACCTTTTTGGATCTGTGGGTTCATAGTTTTTAGCAAATTTGGAAATATTGGCTATTATTTCTTCAAATATTTTTCTGTCTCTTTCCTCCTTCAGGGACTCCAATTATATTAAACTGTTTGAAGTGACCCACAGTTCACTGATGCTCTGCTGATTTCAAAAATTCTCTTTTCACTGGATGTTTCATTTTGAGTAGTTTCTATTGCTCTGTCTTCAAATTCACTGATCTTTTTTTCTGCAATGTCTGATCTGCCATTAATTCCATCCAAAGTATTTTTCATCTCACACATTGTAGCTTTCATCTTTAGAAGCTTAATTGAGAGTCTTTAAAAAATCTTCTAAGTTTCTACTTAATTTTTGATCATAAAGAATGTAGTTATAATAGCTGTGTTAATGTCCTTGTCTGCTAATTCTAATATCCCTTTGAACTCTGGATTAATTTTAATTGATTAGTTTTTATCCTTCTTATGACTTATGTTTTCCTGTTTCTTTGAATGCTTGGTAATGTTTGACTGGGTGCCAGACACTGTGAATTTTACTTTGTTGAGTGATGGATATTTTTGTATTCCTGTGAATATTCTTGAGCTGTTTTTTGGGGTACAGCTAAGTTATTTGGAAATACTCTGACCCTTTTGAGTCTTGCTTTTAAAACTTGTTAAGCAGGACTGGAGCAGTGCACAGTGGAGGTCTAACTTTTCCCCACTACTGAAGTAAATTTCTTTTGTGTACTTTATCCAATGCTTACGAATCATGAGGTTTTTTTCAGTCTGGCTAGCTGGAACAGGTACTATTCTGAGCTGTATGTAATTGCTGGACACTATTACCTCTAATCCTTTCAGGTGATTCCTTCCCCAGCCTCACGTGGTTTCTTCACATGTTTGCACTGATCATTATTCAGCTGAATACTCGAAGGGGACTCTCTTGAGATGTTCAGTGTGCTCTCTGCATGCTGGTCTCTCCTCCCCAGTATTCTGTCCTACAAATTCTAGCTGCCTTGGTCTCTCAGACTCTCAGCCCCATCTTTCAATTTAGGGAGCCCACCATACTCTGCCTGTGTTTTCCCTCCCTGAATTGCAACCTGAAATCTCTCAAGTCAGACAATCATGGTGCTCATCTTGTTTGCTTCTCAGTTCTCAGGGATCCTTTACTGCCTGCTGTTTGGTGTTCGTTATTTCATATATTGTGTCCATATTTTTGTTTTGTTTTTATGTAGGAGAGTAAATCTGATCTCTGTTATTCCATCTTGGCTAGAATCAGAAGTGCAGATCTAATTTTAAAAGATTTCCAAGGGGCAGTTATCATGGCGTATAAATGGCTAAGAACTGTCTCAGATAAAGATTTGAAGGAGCTCTTAGCAGCATTTGTTGGGAGAGGCAACTAATGGTTATTCCAAACCCTTCTCCTAAAGAACTTTGTTTTCCCATATAAGCCATCTCTCTTTTGTGTTTGTTCTGAGCTGGGCTTGGATGAAAGTGATGCCCCAGCTGAGTTGCTGCTTTATTTATAAATGGCAAATTACTGCAGATTTATAGAAATGCACTCTATGAACCACCTTGGGGATTTAAAGGGAATGATAAGATCCAAAGACCATCAGCTGACTTCAATCAGCAAAGCTCTGAGCCATCTCTGGTGTATTGAACTATAAGAGTTGGAAATCCGTAGGCTTCTGAGCCAAAATGAGATTCACATTCAATGTAAATAAGAAATAGTCTGTGATTCTGCAGTTTTGTTTCCTGACCCAGCATGTCCTGCAAAAATAGAAATGTCAGTGCCTGGCAGTGGTGGTGCATGCCATCTGAGATTGCGACCTGAAAGACCAGGAAGGCGCTGGCTTTACAGCCAGCTGGCAGGCTGCCATTGCCAATGGGAAAATCATTCCTGTGTGATAAGACAGCGACAAATGCTTTCCCTGTGGCTGCGATTAAAGCGGGCTCTGCATTATGACAACAGTGCTTCAAGCTTTGCATAGCAGTCATTTTTGCTAAATATTCATACGCTTATTTATACTCTCCCAGGCCTTGCCTGAAATCAGGGAGTTTAGAATTTCAGGCACAAACTATTTCCCTTTTTGGGAAGAAAGATTAGTGGACACAGGCATGGAGGAGTTGAGAAAGGGGTGGGAAAAGGGAAAGACGATTTTGTAATCAGTCTTTAGAACCGTGTATTTCTCTGGATGCTTAGTAGAAGGGAGTTACTAATTGTGTAGGGTGTGTATCCGTGTAAGCTTCAATCCTGGGGGGCCGTATTTGTCCTAACCCAGCGACACTTAAATGTGTGTTGAATAAATAAATGAATAATCTACAAAAATGGTACGATGTCCTCTGGGGCAGAGACTAAAGGTTGTGTTTGTAACCATAGAATCTACTCAGGGTTCCCGGCTCATGGAATAAACTCAAATACATGTTTTTGGATTAGTTAATGGGTGAGAAAAGGAAGGGAGGAAAAGTAGGAGGGAGGGAAGAAGGGGGAGACGGTGAAAGGAAGAGAGGAAGGAAGAGTTTGAGAACAGACAGTTGGGCTGGCTACTTCACTTCTCCGGACCAGTGCACTTGGGTGCCAAGAAGCAGCTTTGTTTGCCTTCTCTAGCTGTTTGTTACACCTGACTTAGGGCCATAAAATCTCAGGCCTTTTTAGTGAGCCTTTTCACAGTTTGTTAGCCCTTTGTAATTTACAAAGCATCTCAGAGGTTTCCAGGAGGCACTGGCCACTAGAAAAATTCTTGTCTTTATTAACCCTAGCTCCTCTTGTACACCTCCCCCAACTAGGAAAGATGTGCATGTCTGTCATTCAGGGAGACAGAGGGGAGAAAGGGAGAGAAGGGACAGAGGGGAGGAGTAAAGGGGGAAGGAGAGAGGGATGGAAGGGGATAGAGGGAGGGAGGAAGAGAATGAAAGAGAGATGCTGGAACACAGCTGGAAGACAGCTCTCCCATGAGTCCTCCGGAAGCCCACCTGTCAGCACTTTTTTGTCTTCCACATGCCCTTCTGCATTCACGTGGAATTTTGTTCCTGCTTATGTCCATTTAAGAGCTTATGGGCTTAAGGCTTCAAGTGTTGAAATAAATACTGAGAATTTATGGCACCTTGGGCAAGACTATGGAGGAGGAATATGGACATTTCATCCTCCTTTAAGTTGCCCCCAGTGAAAGCAGTGGACAAAATTTTCTCCAGGTTCCTCCTATGTGTAACAAATTAGAAACTAGTCTGAGAATCCAGACCACTGGTCCCTGTCTCATGTGTGCCTCCAACCAGCTGTGTAAATGTGGGCAAGTCTATTCTCTCTGGGTCCTGGTTTGCTCATGTGGGTAAAGGACTGGTGGTACTGTAGGATCTCTAGAGTCTTTCTTGGCTACAGCTCATCTGCAATTCTAAGGAAGGCCCTAAAGACCCCCATCCTCTTGTGATGCTTATACCCAGGAGTTCACTGTTCCCAAGGAGCTTTAGATGAAGGACACTGAGTAATCACTGTCCCCAAGCTACCCCTATTTGATTTTGTCAAGCTCAGTACTGTGGTAGAGAGAAAGATAACCTGGTAGACATTAGAGGCACCCAGATATAGAGCCATAGTCATTTGAAAGCATGAGGTTGCCTCCTGCCTTGCCTTCCCTGTCCTCCTCACTGGAGACACAAATGCCTTCACTCTGCAGCTCAGCCTTAGATAGTCCCTGGGCCAAGGCAGGGATTACCCTGGTATAGATACAAAACCTGGTGTGACTCTTGGGTAAAACAACAACGATGATGATGTATTTGATTGACTCTATACCCACAAACTTTGGAGTGCCAGAAATACCATACTTCTGTGTTTATTTAAAAGTAAATTCTATCTCAGTGTTTCCATCCTTCCAGGCAAATGGGAAATCCATCCTACTTAGTATTGAGGCTCCACACTGATAGCTATTGGATTAAATGTTCCTGGATTTTCCAATGGTAGAGCATTAGCATGCACCCTTTGTTAACTGATTGGCTGGTTATTGCTAAGCCTTTCTTTGTTCCAGTTCAAATTCTCCCCTCGCATCTGGCATCTCTGCCCCCACCACCTCCAAACATGGTATTGTACGATGAGGCTTGGAGCTTCCCTGGGGCACAATGCAGTAGTTCCCCCTATGACATACTATTCGTGGGACTCTGCCAGAGAGTGGAGAGAGGGTCCCTTCTGTTTATGGGTTCTGAAATAATCCCTTCTCTTTCCTCTTGTCCAAAGTTCATTTCTTATTCTCTCTTCCTCTCCCAGGAACATCTTTTCAATAAATTTAGGTATTAAAGTCTAGGGGAGACTTCAAGCAGTTTGTGATTTAGGCCTTCAGAAGAAGACCTTAGATACAAGAAAATAGCATGAGTTTTAGTTAGGGTATTAGGCCGAGTAACTGTGTCAAGAAACACAAACGTAAGATGACTCAAAAAGCAGCCAGTCACTGAGCCAGTGAGGCATCTCTTGCTCCATGTGGTCCTGCAGGGACACAGGGCTCCTTCCACCTTCTAGTTCTGCCATGTCCCCATCTTCATGGCCAAAGCTTTGTCACCTTTATGTCTGTGGCACAGCCTGCAGAAAGGGCAAACTTGTCTTTAACAAGATGATCTAGAAGCTGTTGTGTCACTTTTATTCTTGAATCATTGACTGAACTAGTTCACAAGGCCACACCTAGCTCAAAAGAAATACAGTATTGGAGGAAATTCTAGTACTAAGGAGGACCTATTGGGGGACAATTAGGGCAATCTTTTTTTTTAAATTTTATTATTATTATACTTTAAGTTTTAGGGTACATGTGCACAACGTGCAGGTTTGTTACATATGTATACATGTGCCATGTTGGTGTGCTGCACCCATTAACTCATCATTTAGCATTAGGTATATCTCCTAATGCTATCCCTCCCCCCTCCCCCCACCCCACAACAGGCCCCGGTGTGTGATATTCCCCTTCCTGTGTCCATGTGTTCTCATTGTTCAATTCCCACCTATGAGTAAGAACATGCGGTGTTTGGTTTTTGGTCCTTGTGATGGTTTGCTGAGAATGATGGTTTCCAGCTTCATCCATGTCCCTACAAAGGACATGAACTCATCCTTTTTTATGGCTGCATAGTATTCCATGGTGTATATGTGCCACATTTTCTTAATGCAGTCTATCATTGATGGACATTTGGGTTAGTTCCAAGTCTTTGCTATTGTGAATAGTGCCACAATAAACATACGTGTGCATGTGTCTTTATAGCAGCATGATTTATAATCCTTTGGGTATATACCCAGAAATGGGATGGCTGGGTCAAATGGTATTTCTTGTACTAGATCCCTGAGGAATCGCCACACTGACTTCCACAATGGTTGAACTAGTTTACAGTCCCACCAACAGTGTAAAAGTGTTCCTATTTCACCACATCCTCTCCAGCACCTGTTGTTTCCTGACTTTTTAATGATGGCCCTTCTAACTGGTGTGAGATGGTATCTCATTGTGGTTTTGATTTGCATTTCTCTGGTGGCCAGTGATGATGAGCATTTTTTCATGTGTCTGTTGGTTGCATAAATGTCTTCTTTTGAGAAGTGTCTGTTCATATCCTTCGCCCACTTTTTGATGGGGTTGTTTGTTTTTTTCTTGTAAATTTGTTTGAGTTCAATTAGGGCAATCTTAAAAGATAAGGGGAAGTATAAGGAAAAGAAATTATAAGTTAACATTTTAACAAATTTTTCTATTATTTGCATCAACAGCATTATCATTCCCCTCCCATTATTGAGAGCCAGTTTTGTGCATGTCTCTGTGTCAGATTTACTTGCATTATCTCTAGTCCTTTACAATAATTCTGCAAGGAAATTATAGCCCTCGTGTTATTTTGGGGACTCTGTGGTAGCTTTTTATTGTGTACATTTAGAGAAGCAAAATTACATCTTTATATGATTTGGGATTAGGTTTGGCCACAAGAGAAATTTGGATGAGATTTGGAAGACAGAAGTGAAGCAGCCATTTCCACACCAGGCTTGGTGGCAGCTTGCACACATTGTCACTGATCTGCTGGCTCCCTTGTGGGCACGGGCAGCATCCAGGCTCCCAGCTCCTCCATCTCCCACTGGATTTTCTCCTTCAGTTTCTCTGAAGCCCGAGCCAGGCATGTGTGCAGCACCATGGCTAAGGGCATTGGCTTCTCCCACAGGTCACTCATGCTGCCAAGGTTGGAGGTGTTTTGTCCTTGTGTATTCCAGTTTGTCCTCATGAGTTCCATTTGTCTGCATGGGTTCTAGTTTGTCCTTACTCTCCCCCATTTCCTGTGCAGCTTTCCTTCCTGCCAGCCTGGCTGATCTATAGTGGCTTAGGTCCAACGTCAGAAGCAGAGGCAACAGCCTTACATAGACTTCACACATCCCACTATTGTGTAAGATCTAAATCCTATAATAAATCCCTTATCCTACAGCACTCATAGTAGACTGCTTCTCTGATCATATCCTGACTGATAGAGACATTTTTGTTGCAAGTAATAAGAAACCACCTTCACATAGCCTAAGCCTAGAAAGGGTAATTATTTTAAGGATGTGGGAGTATCTCATGGAATCCAAGTGTGGAAAGGCAATTCGGTCACAGGGAGGGGAAGTTCTTCCATATTAAAACAACAACACAAAAACACTTCCTTTATCCCATATTCCATTCTCTAGTCTCTACCCCATTTATGAGCTCCCCTTCAAATGCAAAAATGGTCACACCCTTCTGCATTCCCTCACTTCCAGGACTCCTGAAACCCTCTGAAACCGAGTTCTAGCCAATAATGCCACCAAACTAGATTGTCAAGAGCAACGTATGTCTTCACACTCTCAATGTACCTGAACCTCAGCACTGCTGATGACTTGCTGTCTGGCTGGACACTGTGACTCACCACCCAGATCCCCCTTAGGTGAGGGGCTGTTGCCTCAGCGACTGAGGATAAGGAGGGCTGTGCACCTGTTTAGGGATGACCCCAGCCGCAGACATCCCCTCAGCCATCCCCTCCTCTCAGGCAGCCTACATCCAATATAACTGCGTGTGGGAGGGTAAAGGTCTGGCCACCCCAGCTAATCTCTGAACAGCCATTCTAGCTCCAGACAACCTGTAGGTGGGCCAAGGTGCCTTTAGTTCTGCATCGCAGCTCAACTTCTCTTTCTACCCACGCCTGTCTTCTTCCCTTCCTTTCCATGATGTTGAACCCAAAGACACCCCTGAATAAGGATCCTGGGACACCAAACTTGTCTCAGAGTCTGCTTCCTGAGGAAGCCAGCCCGGACAACCTTCCTCTTCCAGTGCTCCTCTTTTGGTGTCTGTGACTCCACTTTCTTTTGGTCCTTCTCCCGCTTCTCTGTCCTGTCCATATCTGTTTCTTTGCAGGCTTTCACTCTTCTCTCTGCCTTTTCTAAATGGGAGTTTCTCATTTCCCTACCCAGGCAAATTTATCTGCTCTTATGTTTTCAAATGGCATCTCTATGTTGATGACCCCTCGACTTACGTATTTAGCTAAGACTTCTCTTTAGGGTTCTGGTCTCTTATGTCCGATATCCAATTTCCTCCCTGACAACTGCACTTTGCTAACTTATAAGCATCTCAAAATTGATGTTTCTAAAACTAGACAATGTTCTTTCTTCTGAAGTTTGTTTCTCCCCCTAGAATTGTCCAATTCAGTCAACTGTATCCATCCCATGGTTCAGTCAGACACCTGGCTCCATCTATGGTCCTCCCTGTCTTTCATCCCCTACGTATCATTCAGCATGTACTGTCACTCATGTCTAGCCACAGCCATGCAGCTGGTACAAAGGGTCTGGGATTTCTTTAGGTTTCCTTCTTCCTGACTCCACTATAAGAACAGTATGGGAAGATCTGTCTGGAGGCAGGCAGATGTTGAACAATTAGTCATGCATACATCTTAGGTCAACTCCCAAAGTGCCCTTTGTGGGCTGCTTAGTTTCTCACAAAGGCACAGAGAGATGCAACAGGTCTGAGGATCCTGAATTCATTCTTATCATTTTGATAAAGCTATATTCTTTATTCTAGGGCATTGTCCAGGAATTGTTGCCATTAATCACTTTTATTAACTGAATATATCCCTATATGTGTGCACTTTGTATTGATATAAATAGCGTACATTCCTGTTGATGGGGGCAGGTGTTGCTTTGCTTTGTCCACAGTTCTTAGTCCATGGCAATCAAGAATAGGTAAGTATTACAGATTTGCAACAAGAAAGCAAGAAAACAAAGTAGAGTGCAAACCTTTTCTATAAAGAACATAGTCAATCAAATATTTACTGAATATCCACTTCATACCAGGTACCCTGCTAAGTGCTGTGAAAGGGCTCACTGATAAATAAGGCATGGATCCTGTGATTCCACAAAGCACAATATGTGAACAGTTTAATAATAAGGAGGAATTTAGTATTATGACTTTGTTTATACAAAGTAATACAGAGAAATTGTATATTGGAATTGTTTCTAAACAATGCTTTGCAAACAATTATAAGAGTAAGGACTGAGAAGTATTAAAAGATCCTTCAATTGTTTTGGGTCCAGTGGAGTATGTATCTAGGCCTCATCAGCACCTCGTCAGCACCTCAGCTATTCATTTCCACAGTAACTGAAAAGTCTAAGGGAGTAATACCATTAATACTTATCAGGGGAATTAGAATAATAATAGCATATGCTGAGGCTAACTATGTTTCGGGCACAGGCAATGCACTTTGCTCATATTATATCATTTAAATCTCACAACAACCCTATAAAGGAGCAACTATTCCAGAGGCTCAGAGAGCATAGACAGTCTCACATCCTGTAAGTGGTAAGAGCTGGGACTTGAACCCAGGTCTCAGCTTCTAACCAGTAAGTGAGATACCAAAGTCAGGATAGGAACTTTCCTCATCCCTTAGTAGCTCCTTCTGAGAAGAAAGAATGAAGAAAGACAGTGGAATTATATGGAGGAACAGGTTGGCTGGAGACAGAGGAAGCAGCATAAATTCTCTCAGGTACATTCCTCCAACAAACTTAAGGGGAGAAAGAAGACTTTGTAGGTGGGTGTTTACACACAGATTGCTAGAAAGTCAACTTCTCATTTGAAAACACTCCTGGATATAGGGCTGGAGTGTGTCCTAGAATGTGGATAAAGAAAGAAACATGGAGGTTGTTATTCCCGAACCTTGTAGGGAGAATGTGTATAAGGGTGGTCTAATTTTTAAAGATGAGCTCACAAATTCGAGAAATAATCCAGAAAACTGAACTTTAGTTAGAAAAAAAATGAGCAAAACTCTTCCATAGGGGACTCCATTATTCGTCTAGCAGAAAGTCTTAGGAATCCCTGGAACACTGGGGACTTGCACCAGCATGGAGACCTAACTGTTAAATTATCTGGAACTTCCCAAACAGACTGACATCTCATTGGTGGTTGGAAATCAACACGTTGGGAATATTTACACTATGAAAATCAGTAAATGTGTAAATCCCCCAGAGAGCTCATTGTTAAGTATTTACCAGCACACCATTGCCTAGAAGCAACAGGGGTTCTGATTACCACTTCTTCACCTGTACCAGGGACCTTAGTAGAACTAATGTGGTGAAAACTGGGGGAAGAGTAGGTGTAGAGAAGGAAGATGGGGAATACAGAAATGGAGTTAGAGCAAGTAATAAACACGCTACAGATTATGATTCCCACATCTGGCTGCATGTGTGAATTACCTCCGGAACTTTTCTTTTCTTTTTTTTTTTTTTTTTTGAGATGGAGTTTCACTCATTGCCCAAGCTGGAGTGCAATGGCACGATCTCGGCTCACCGCAACTTCTGCCTTCCGGGTTCAAGCGATTCTTCTGCCTCAGCCTCCCGAGTAGCTGGGATGACAGGCATGCGCCACCACGCCCAGCTAATTTTGTATTTTTAGTAGAGATGGGGTTTCACCACATCGGCCAGGCTGGTCTCGAACTCCTGACCTCAGGTGATCCACCCGCCTCGGCCTCCCGACGTGCTAGAATTACAGGTGTGAGCTGTAATTCAGCTTACCTGCTGAATTTTTTTTTTTTTTTTTTTTTTTTTTTTTTTTTTGAGACAGAGTCTTGCTCAGTAGCCCAGGCTGGAGTGCAGTGACTCGATCTCCGCTCACTGCAAGCTCCGCCTCCTGGGTTCATGCCATTCTCCTGCCTCAGCCTCCCGAGTAGCTGGGACTGCAGGCGCCTGCCACCACGGCCAGCTAATATTTTTGTATTTTTTAAGTAGAGACGGGGTTTCACCGTGTTAGCCAGGATGGTCGCCATCTCCTGACCTCGTGATCCGCCCACGTCGGCCTCCCAAAGTTCTGGGATTACATGAATTTTTAAAAAGATAAAGACCCCTAGTACTTAGTACATTTGACACTTGGAGCAGATAAACACTTTTTTCCTCTATGTGACAAAATTATTTAATAGTAATTATGCAATCATCAGTAACCACTAAATATGTTATATAAAGACATATAAATGTTATATCTAATGTGTGTATGTGTTATACACCATGTACATATAATAAAAACAACATAAGTAATGTTATATATGAAATAACATTTCCTTAACTCATTTTTAGTTTATAAATAATTAAAATAAAAATGAGAGAACAACTTTTACGTAGAAATATTATTCGATAAAATAGTTCATGTATGAAACAAAATTCATTCTTTCCAAAATATAACGTACCCATAATTTATGCCTTATTTTGTTATTTTAAATTTGAAACACAAATAAAACCTCCAGATAATTACACAGAATAACAGAATTGAAGTAACTCAAGTTCTGTTTCTTAGTCTGTAATAAGACTGAGACTATTACCACTTGTTATTCTTGTTTATTTAGAACCTACTGTTTGAATGCAAGAAAATGTTGTACCACAGATGTTGAGGACACAAATTAAACCCAAAGCAAATCAAACTCCCAACCATTAAAAACCTTCTCTTCAAATGAACATGTGTAGGTGAGACCATGTGGCTGACTGTATATATTAAACATATATAATACTGGAATTTCCTCAAATTAATTCCATGTTAAATATAATGTTTATGAAAGGATAAGTGATAATGATATGCAATTTAAAACTTGCATACGTATTACTTAAACTCAACAGTAGCAGCTTAGAATGTAGACTCCCCACAAAAAAAAAAAAAAAAGAAAAGATTTTCAGAGCTGGGTGTGGTGGCTTAGGTCTGTAATCCTAGTGCTTTGGGAGGCCGAGGCAGGAGGATCTTTTGAGCCCAGGAGAATGAGACCAGCCTGGGTAACATAGAGGGATCCTGTTTCTACAAAAAAAAAAAAAAAAGAAAGAAAAATCAGCCAGGGGTGGTGGTGCATGACTGTAGTCCCAGCTACACTACTCAGGAGTCTGAGTTGGGAGAATCACTTGAGTCCAGGAGATGGAGGCTGCAGTGAGCCATAATTGTACCACTGCACTCCAGCCTGGGTGACACAGAGTTACCGTCTCAAAGAAAATAAAAAAACACACACAGTTTTCGGCAGGGGAGGGGAGAGGTATTTCATCACTGATATCATTTAGTACTGCTAGCACATAGTGGTAATAAAAAGCAGACTGATTTCAATTGGTTCTATGATTGTTCTTTAAATTCTCAGAGAATGCACCCACTTATTGCCTGCACCTGTGTGTACTGCTCCCATCATCTCTGCCCTTGGCATGCCACTGCCTGGATCCCATCTCAAACCAAAATATTAAGAATCTTCTCGGGGGTGAGGCCCAGGAGTCTATTTTCATGAAAAGCTCTTGCATGTGATTCTAATGATCAGCCAGTTTTGGGAGCTGCTGATATGGGAACAAAAGGGACACAAATAGCTATGATTCAAAGTCAAGAGCGGAAGCTGGGATATCCAAGGAGCTGCTCAACTCTTCAAACCCATTCTTAGTTGTAATCACTGGTAGATGGACTGTCATTGAAGACAATGTTGTAATCATTGGTAGATGGACGATCATTGAAAACAACCCTGTTAAAGGAACCTCCAAGGGCAACTATAGGAAGTTCTCCTATTGTGTCATGAAAAATACTTAGCATGTAGATATTTACGTGTTAAAACAAGAAAACACGACTTTTTATTTAGTAATAAATTAGGAGAGTGTTTTTTAACTTCACTTATCTGTAATTAAAAAAAAACATATCAATGAGTCTTCATCCTTATTGATTCCTCTGCTCCATCTTCAGACCATTTCAGAAAAGTCTATCCTCAAAAAAGGCAGAATTTTAAAACAAATGCAAAACTTAGATGCTATTCCTTTGCCCTTTAATGGGCTTTCCGCCTCACTCAGACTAAAGACCAACTCTGGCTATAGCTACAAAGCCTTATGCCAAGTGGCCTCCCCTCCATCCTGCCACCACCACCTCTCTCAGTGTGACTCCTCACTCAGTGTCTTCCAGCCACATTGGCCTCTTGCTGTTCCTCGAACTCATTGAGCACTCCCACCTCAGGGCCTTTGCACTGTCGGTTGCCTCTGCCTGGAGCACTCTTCCCTCAGGAATTCACAAGGCTTCCTGCCTTACCTCCTTCAAGTCTGTGTCCAAATCTCTTGCCTGATATAAAAGAGCATTATTTTTCTTCATTGCACGTAACACCATCTAACATATCATATATTAATATTTTACTTGTTTATATATTTTATTTCCTCTACTAGATTATTGAGGGCAGGATTTTTGTTTAGATGTTTAATCTTTTTTTTTTTTTCTTTATTGAGGTGACATCTTGCTCTGTCACCCAAGCTGGAGTGCAGTGGTGCAATTTCAGCTCACTGCAGCCTGGACCTCCCGGGCTCAAGTGATCCTACCACCTCAGCCTCCCGAGTAGCTGGGACTACAGGCATTTACCACCACACTCAGCTTATGTTTAGTGTTGTATTTCTAGAACCTATCTTCTGCCTTGCCCATAGTTGACACTTAACAAATATTTGTTGAACAAATAAATGAATCAAAATGCAGATGACCAAACATCAAATAATAAAGAAATAATAATAATAATAATAATAAATGACTTACAAAAAATCTCTTTTTCCCCAAACCTTCTAAGTCATACTTCTAAAGGTAACCACTTGTAATTTTTTAAGCTATGTCTTCTGCTAGTTGTCCTGAGATCTCTAAATGACATACTTCTACTTACATTTCTTGATTTATCAGCTGCCAGCATTATCTAATGATGCCCTGCTATGATAGAGCTGAATGTGACACACTTGCACCTCCACTTTCCTCATCTTTCCAATGTAATCACTATGACTATTTTTAGTTACTTTGATTTTATTTGTACCTTAGTTATATTCTCTGTGTTTATTTTCATGTCTTTGAGACAGTGTCTACTGTCTCCTCAGTTTCTGAGATAAGGATATCAGCCCCTCTTTCTTTCCTTCCACCCTTTTCCTTCCTGGCCACCTCCCAGTTTGCATTGTCTTTCCTGAGCCATTCGTTTATATCATGGCATGTGACTAGGATTTCAAGTCTCATCACTGAAGTCTTCAAAAAGATCTCTAGGAGTCTGTGGCTGTTCCTAACAGACATTTCACTTTCCCCCGATCTCCATTTTAAATTTGGAAAAGAAGTAGTGTAGAGCAAGATTTGGAATGTTGTCTGGAGCATCTGGAGGGCAAAAAATTCTTGGAAGCTTGCCAGGGCAGCCTTCTGTAGGGGAGGCTCTGGCTTCTGGCTGGCCTCAGCTGTACATGCTTTGACACCTGACTCTTGCTGTCCACCTAGCGAGGTGAACCACTCAGGGGAGAACTCAGGTTAACCAAGTTTCCAAGACTGATGTACCAGTGCATGTCTTCCCAATCAGAAACAAAATAGTGATGCCAACAGGGAAGTGCACATTGGCAAGCTGAACATTCCCTCTCCCAGTAGACAGATGCATGTGAGAAACTGAATTATAATCAAAGGTAGCTTGGTGAGCATAGAGTCAAAGCAGGGGGTTAGACAAAATGGATGTTAAACCTCCATAGACACAGGTAGTGATCAATTCACTCATTAGGGAAGAAAAAGTGTTGCCAATGTGACCACAGTCCCTCAAGTTCTGTTGCCTGTGACCTCCTCTGCTGGTGTTTGTTTCTTCCTTTTTGTGTCTGCATCACTGATCAATCCCCTTTGGACCAACATATATTTTACATTTTTCTGTCATTCTCATTACAATCAAGTCTACTGTTCTGTGAGCCATGCTCTTTAAGGTAAGCTAGCACATCTCTATATTAAAATAATCATCTGAGAGCCTTCTTATTTCCCTCACTCCCTAATTCACAGCCAGTCATATTACTATTGCCTTCAGGTAAGAATATAATGTCTATTTTCTATTGATTGAAGGCATCCTGAAAATTCAGTGTCTCATAAATACAGCAAGCTTAGCATCGTATTTCTGTAGTAAGCACATTTCTAAAATGGATGGAGGCATTTCTGTGACAGCCAGAAGACTGGCTGGATGTCAGACCAGGTTCATGCTGGGCCTTAACATGTTTATAGCTGCCGTGACTTAAATGATATACCACCAGATGGTCTATCAGATCTTAAGGGGAACTGAACGAGGAATATCAGAGTTAATCAACTGTGTACAGGGCTTAGGAGTTTTTTTAGTTGTTTACCATTGTGTAGGACTGTATAATAGTATAGCTTATGATACAGAAAAATGGAAGAAAGGGAGGAATTAGATAAATAAAGCTAGAGTGAAACGTTTATTCATTTATTGAACATTTAATTGGTATTTATTGAGCATCAACTATTGGCTGAGTTTTGTATTACATCCTGGGGACATAGTACTGTGATGAATAAGGCAGATTACAATATCTGAACCAAAGTATTCATGGGGTTCACAATCCAGAGAGTGAGATAAACTTAAATAATAAAATTAAATAATAAAGACACAAATAATTCAGTAATTATAACTGTAAAAAAGGGCTATGAAAGAGAAGAACAGGGTATTATGAAAACATAAAACAGGAAGGACTGATCTAATGTGGGACAGGTAGGGTAGGTTGGAGATGACATTCCTAAGGATGGTAAGATGAGACCTGGAAGATCTGCAGAAGTTAACTCAGTAAGAGTTTGGGAAGAGCGTTTCATGTACAGGGGACAGCATGGGCAAAGACTAAGAGGCAGGCAGGAGCACAGCATATTGAAAGACCTGCAAGGCAAGCATTAGTAAACGGTATACATCAAGAGACTGAGATGGATAATATGAGAACTGGAAAGCAAATCATAATATTTCTAGCTGGCAACAATTATACCACTTCTGGGTGGAGGAATTATTGTTTAGTTCATATGGGTAGAATTCAGTTACCTGTTCAATAGGGAAAAAGTTAATATTATAGTCCATGAATTGGTATAACTTTTAGGTAAACTAATAATTCTGACAACTGGAAATTCATCTAGTCCATCTCATACAGTTTTAATAACTTTGGAATAAATACTTCTCCTGGAAACAAGAGTGCCTAAAATGTTTTTGGTGAATGAATATCATTTAGAGAATTTGGTCATCCTTGTTAAGAAGTGCTTTCTTCCCTTTTCTATCTATGCCCTTTGGAGTTCTTCCCAGTTATCAGGGCAATCCTTGACAGTCAAGTCCACCTTTGAAGGATGTATGTCATTTGTAAAGGTCTTTTGCTGAAAGATTAAAAGATCAAGGGAAACAAAGCTGCTTGTATTCCTAAACCACTGGTGGTCTCACAGGATTTTCTTTCCTTCATTTTTTGTTATCAAAGCATCATCCCAAATTCATCCTGTTGTCCAACACACCCATGTGCTTTTTGCTCCAATTCTTCTTGTGTCAAATCTCCCTACATGGACCCATGCAATAATTCCAATTTTAATTTTTATTCTTTTTATCTTTCCACAAGACTAGGTGTCTTGTTTTTGCAATTGTGTCTAGTTGTGTCTGTATGTATATTCTTGAGATATGAGGGTATATAATTATGTGCAAATACAAAACCATTTATGTAAGTAGGTGTCCATACATGCATAAACAGATAGGTGTGTGTCCTGTGATTAAGCACTGTAGGCCTGCACTGTTCAGTATGGGTAGCCACTAGCCACATTTGCCTATTTAAATTAGCTAAAACCAACAAAATGTGAAAATGCAGTACCTCTGTTGTACTAGCCACATTTTGAGTGCTCCAGTGGTGGACCTGCCCACTCAGTGCATTCATGCAACTCACATAAAGGCATGACCCTGCCATCCTGTCCAGAGGGTGGTTAGAGTTCAGTAGCATGGCCTACACAGCAGGTTTAGTCTTTACACTTCGCACTCTCAAAAACATGTAAATGAGTCCAAACACTTAGTCCTTAGAAATTCATTAAAATCTCTTGTCTGCTTCTATCTTTAGCACCCCTATATTCCTTTGGGCTTCTATTTCTTCTGCCATGTCTCTGCCCCCTTGGTCCCTTGATCCCTTCTCTTCTCTGGGCCATGTGTAAGTCTACACAGGCTCTAGATGAATCATATCCCCAGCTCCAAGAAGCACCCTGGAGATTGAGGGTTGGTTCTATGCTAATTGTTCACGAGCATCTGACTTTTTCCCTTTTATTAATAGAAAGTGAAGGAGAAATAAGGAGCTTAGTGGGCAAAGATGGAGGGAGAAAGCTGCGAACCTCCAAACATTAACAATTTTATCTCATCGCATGTAAATTGAAGTGTGTACATTAAACTTTGTAGAGTTCATCTATGGAATGGCTTCAGTTCCCAAATAGTCTTACTGTCACTGTTCTTATAAAAAATTATACTAAAGGCTTCCCTTTAGGTATTAAGGGGATAGCTTAAGCAAGTGAGTGCAAAAAAAAAAAAAAAAAAAACATTTTTTTTCTTATTTTCCTAGTGCCCCGACCATATAGAGTAAATAATGAGGGCTTATAAAATTGCTTCCCTTCCAGGGTGTAGGCTTGGCCATGTAAAGTGGATAACATTTTACATCAATAAATTGAAGGAAAAGACATTGCCCCATATAACGCCGGCACATAGTAGGGCTCAAGGGGAGGAAGAATCTAGAGCAGTGGTTCTCAGCCTTGGCTGCATGGTGGAAGCACCAGGGGTACTTGAAAAAATAATTCCCTGGTTCGCTTCCCTAGAAATTCTGATGTAATTGGTCTTAGGTGTGGTCTGAGTGTTGACATTTTTAAAAGCCCACCAGGTGATTCTGTTGTAAAGCCAAGGTTTCGAAACACATGCTAAAAAAAAAAAAAAAAAAAAAGAAAGAAAAAAAAAGAAACACACCCTGGTTTAGAGGGAAACTCTGGGTTCTTCTCTACTATTTTCCTTCTGATCTTTACAGGGATGCCATATCATCTTTAACTCAGCCATGGGCTTGGAGGGTCAAGAGCTGATTGTTTGCGATAGAAATTTTATATTATTCTAGATGTGGTCTACTACATGTTACAAAGTTGAGTGTGTGTGCCATATGCATGTGCACACATATGTGTGATAAATTTCTTGTGAGCCCTTTGAAGCTCCATGTCCTTAGCAGGGTTCCCTACACTTAGAAATTTGGAAGCCTTCCTTTAAGTAACACTCTTGTTTTCTGTCCAAATCCAAAATAAAAGTGACAGTAATTAGTAGCATAAATCAACAAGCAGAATGTAGCAACCAGTACAGAGAGGCTGGCCTGACAGTCCTCAACGATACTTTTATTTTTATATATCCACTATGCTCAAGATTAGTTTATTAATTCTGTAGCAGGTTAAGGGAGTGGAGGCAGCTGGTAATCGTTGATTCATTTATATATTTTCATTCAATAGCCATCTGCTGAATGTCTTGTATGTGCCAGGTCCGGGTTAGGGTTGGGGACTCAATATTGAATATGACTGCACAGCCCCTGTTCTCAGCCTAGTGGGAGAAAACATAAGTAAATGAGCAATTGCACTCTGTGTGAATGTGCAGTAATGCGGGGACACAGGATGCTGAGAGAGCACATAGTTGGGACATCCAACCCAGACATGGTTGGTAGGTTAGGGGGTGGTTATGGGGAAAGTCTCTTGGGAAAAATAACTTTTGGGAGAGTGGCAGCCATGGAAATAAACCACTTGGATTTCCCTTCAAGAAAGAACGTGCTGTTCAGCTTCTAGAAATGCAGTTATCTGATAGCATCCAGCTGTTAGGCTCTCAGGATTAGCCTTAGCTTTCAAGCTGACCCCACATTCTTATAGGCAGGGGGAACAACTTTGTTCCACTCTCTGTCATTGTGCAGAGTGGAATGGATAGTAGAAGGAAAGGGAGGAGAGAGAGGTAAGCAGGGAGTATTGTAGCCCAGATCATGGGGGACCTTGTAGGCCATTGTAAGAACACTGGCTTCTACTCAAAGTGATATGAGGTGAGAGGAGGGCATTGAGTGGGCACTGGCATAAGCTAATTCATGTTTGATTCAAGTTCTCAGCCTTTGACTTTGCTCCAGCCCACTTCCTTCCTTTCAGTCAGTGACATCCATCCCTCCAGGGGACTGCCAGCCCTCCAGGGTACTTGCACCTAGCAAAGCAATACACCTTCAGAGTGACTCCTAGTCTGACAGATTAGAGCAGCTTCTGTGCAGTGGGAGTTCTAAAGAAGCTGAAGATTTCATTTCTAAGTTCAAGAGTGTTATGTCCTTATAGATGAGACTATGTGAATTTTTTTTGTGTGCCCAAAAGTTGTAGAGGTTATGAAACATCAAGGCTAGGACATATGCCAGATGACATCCCAGAAACTTTTTAGGGTGACAGGTAAAATAACTGGTTTTTATCCTTGGAGAAAGAACCAACATCTCTAATTGTCCTCCACGTTAGACTTGCCTTCCCTGACTTGTGAAACCTGGTTATCAGTGAGCCTGGCAGGAAGGTGGCCGTGAAAAGGTCCTGGTTGGTGTACAAGCCCAAATTTGGAGCATGAGTGTTTATTTTCTATTCTCTGTCCTCTGAAGATTTCCATGTAGAGAGTTGACCTGGGCCTTAAGGTAACAATCCAGGCAAAAAAGGAATAATTTAGAAGAAAATTAATTCCTCCCTTGAGGAACAATTTCTGTTTATAAATTTTAAAATATGTTTTGTGTTTTATTTCACTATTTCCTAGGATTTCATTCCTCTAGCTGAACTTAAAGCTGTCTTCAGAAGACCCATGACTTGCTCAGCTTCTCATCCAGCTGCAGAATACACACCAGGACTGGGTGTGCTTGGAAGTCCACTTTCCAATAGATTTCTGTGGCATCAAAAACAACTCTTTTCAAAACCACCTGGTGCCAGGGAATGCCAGTTTCGGGAAGGTCAATGCTGGGAATGAGAGCAAATCTGTTCCTGTCTGCAATTCTTTTCTTCATCTGGGTCTCTGAGCTAACCTGGCCTTGATAATTCCTGGTCCCAAGTGCCACAATGAAGACAGTGATTATGGCCACCACCATCATTATAAAAATAAATAAAAGAGATACTTAAAATGCTCAGAACTGATGATTCACACATGTTAATGGTGAATAAACACAGAAAAGTATTTTAGCATCGCTAATTATCAAAGAGGAAGAAGGAGAAGCAATGTAGGGCAGGCAAAAGCAATAAAGTTGAAAACAACCAAAATGGCCCCCAACAGGCAATTGGTTAAATCTGGATACTATGGAATATCTTGGAAATTTCTGTTAATAAAAAAATTGTATTGGCATCATAAAATATCAAGAAATCAGGTCACAAACTATATATGCAAATATGTTCTTAGCTTTCAAAATAAAAGCATTTAAAAAGAATACTCTCCAAATATCAACAATATTTATTTTTGGAAGTATAACTATGAATAATTTTAATTCTTCCAAATATTTTTCTGTAATTTCCAATTTTCTAGAATAAACATGAAACAGGAAAGCCAAATCAAAATAAATTATAAGAAAAAATAAAAGAGATATTAAAATTATACACAAATTTTTCCTATAGTATAATTTTCACAGAAAAAATGTTTGAGAAAATATTTTCAGGAAGTCATCTAATATTGCTGTTGGCTTTTCCTCACAAGAATATGATGTGATGGCAATAAAAAGTTGTTCATAAAGTTATGATTTAAATGGTTAGACTGGTCTCAGTGAAATTCAGGGTCAGCTCTACAGTTTAATCATATTGTTTTTACTGGCTACCAAGGCTAAAGAAGTATAAGTACAACTGCTATAATTCCTTAGTTAGTGGGAAGTGGCACATTTAAAGGGCGCAAATCCATTCTCTTTGCAGCCCTCTATCACTTTCACTGCAAATGGAGAAAAATAGAGGAAAATTGAAGAATCATTTAGTTAATATGATAGAAAAGAAGGAAGAAAATAAGGGTGGTGGGGGGCAGGGTGGGCTGGGGCCTTTGGAGAGCATGCGACACTTGCAAGATCCTATGAATGAGAGAAAAGCAATGATGGAAACAAACATTTACTAAATCTTTCCCTGTGTTTTGTAACCTGAAATTTCCAAGATATTCCACTGTATTCAGATATAACCAGCTGCCTATTGTGGGCCATTTTGGTTGTTTACAATTTTGTTGATATTGCCTGCCCTACATTCCTGCTCCTTCTTCCTCTTTGATTATTAGTGATGCTAAAATACTTTTAGATGTTTATTCACCATTAATATTTGTGAATCATCCTTTCTCTGAGCCTGGGCCCTTCTAAGTTCTTCTCCCATATAATTTCATTCTCTACTCATAGAACATAGAAATGGGTATCATCTTCTCCACTTCACAGGTGAAGAAACTGAGACTCAGAGAACTAACTTGCCCACGATTATACATTCTAGTAAACAATGAAGCTGGAAATGCAAACTACCTTCATAACTCATTCTGAAATTACATGTATGTACATGTGTTTGCATGTGAGTGCCCAATGAACATGGCTTTGTCAAGGATGGAGTTTTCCTCATCTAGTCACCTGGAGCTCGGAGAAGTGAACTGACTCAATCGTGGCCATGGAGGCATCATGAGAACACAATCCACCAATTAACAGTCTAAATGAATAAAGCGTAATTTGTGTTGGAGTTTCACACTGGCTGGGCAACAGCTTTGAGATGGAGTGCAGGCTTTGGTTGCTAGCAGCCATTTGGGAAAGAGAGAATCATGAAAAACAGCAGAAGGTATGGAAGATGATGTCTGTGAGAAGCTAGTCTATGGGAAAATTTTGGGGTGTGTTGACAAGGGAGTATCATCATCCAATTAGCAACTCCTCATAGTACCCAAGGTTCCCATTTTCCTAGGATCTGGGGAGTGGGAATTCTGAAGGGCAGATCAGAGAGTCTTATTGCTTCAGGACAAGGACAGCCGAGGGGAAGTCGTCAGTATTTGAAGAGATACAGCAGCAAGTGGGATTAAGAAGAAAAATTCAGATTTAGAAAGCCAGACAGAAAAAGGAAGGGGCTGGACTCTAAAAACTGCCCTCATCCTATAAGACAGGCATTCTTTAAACATGTCCCAGTACTCCTCACACTCTTGTAAAGTCACTTCTCTTCATCAATGACCTGAAAGTAGTGCTGCTGGTGGTCAACCAGTAGACAGGGAGATGAAAAATTATAGAGCAAGAACTTCAGTACCAAGACCATGGTCTCAAAGAGGGTCTTCATGGTCCTCTTTTGTATCTTTTTGATGGTTTATTGCAAGACTTAGGGCTCTTCCATGTGAAAACGTAGCATTTGATATCAGCTAATGGTAGAAGCATTACAGGGAACACTTTCCAGGGAAGCTATTTAATGATCATTACAATCAGTGCATTTGAATCTTAGATGACCTAGTGAGTCATTGTCTTCTGTAATTTTATGAGACTATGAGTTTTTGGACTATGAGTCTTTAAACCTCCTATAGGGCCTAATGTGGTGTCTTGCTTACAAATATGAGGTGAATGAAAGACAGACATCCAGGTGTCTTTCCAGGGGTATGTTGGAGAACCTAAAACCTATCTTCCTACAAATACAGTTTGGTTTAGTTCTTCTCAAGTGTCTTCTTTGGATTTGCCACATTGGAACTCCTCAGTCACCAGTGTGTGCCTGTTATTCAGCAAGTACCAAGAAATTTTCCTTTGGTTGGTTTTCACTCTCCACGGCCAAGTCTAGTCATCAGAGAAATGTTTCTAAGAAATTTAATAGATTTTGTCATCTCTGTTTGATGCAGAATGTCTGAGAAGATGCCAGAGCTAGACACCTCCAATTGCAAACACGGCCCAATTACAACTAAATCTACAAATGGATCACTTTCTAGTTTTTGCATGTTGGGTGTTTCATATGCAGAGTTGACACTATTGGCTCTTCCTCAGTAAGATATACATCTCAAGTAGTTTTTGTGCAGTATGATGGAATGACCTGGCCTGATAGACAATATGATGGAGTGACTATACCATGGACAGAATCATCACTATCTCCTGACAATCTTCCACAATTCTAAGTTTTCTTATTTGTTCACTACAAATGTCAATATAGATTAAAAATCATTTACACCTTTTTATTAGCCTAGGAATTTTTGACCACCTTCCATGAGCCAGGTATTATGTGATGCCCTTTACATATAACCTTTCATGTCTCTATTATTCTATTTTATAGCTGAGGGAGCAGAGTTTCAGAGACACTAAGTAGATTGTCTGAGGCCAAACCTCTCTTAAATAGCAGTTAGGATGTGAATAAAAGTCTATCAAAATTCAAATTTTTGCTGTTTCTACTATACCACCATTCCTAGGTCACATTCCTAGTTGGATGGAAGGAGTTTGCTATGTAGACTATTCATCCCCAAATTGCCTTTATTATGGAACCTTATAAAAAACTTGTACAAAAATCTAAATAAATAACTAAGACTGCATTCTCATTTTTGGTTTTTTTTTTGAGGTTATTATTAAATGACACAGGAAAATAATATGTTATGAAACAAGCTGGTTACAAGTAGTAGGTAGATGACTCCATTTTTGATAAAAAAATTAAAAAGCATGAACATGCATATAAAAATTAGATTAGGTACAAAATACCAACAGTATTTACTTCTGCTCAGTAATTAAATATTCTTCCCTTCGCTTTTGTCTTTTAAAAAACATTACTTCTGAAACAAAAAAAAAAAAGGAAAACATGATCCTGGAGAGAGTTACTAAACATGAGGAATTAGGAATCCAAGAAGCCAAACCAGGAGCCCAGCAGTCAAGGTTGGAAGCCCAGGACAAGTGTGACCAGGGTGATAATGGCCAAGCCCAGAAATCGAAGATTGTTCTTTTCTTTTCCTACTGGAATATTCTTTACCAAACAGTTTCCTCTACATTAGATATTAGCACACTTACATTTAATGGGATGCTATGATTAACTGGCACAACAGAAAAATGATGCTAGCAACTTTTGTTTTGAATTGCTACAAAATCTATTATTTTGTAGTTACACATTATACAAAACACACTAGAAATCAAATGCTCCTACAACAAAAAAACCATCTGACTTCGCTGTTTTTTTCTGACTGTTCATTTTCAATCTTCACAACAAATGTATTTTTTGTTTCAGGGACTGGAAGAGGTAATTTTTCTCAGAAAGAAGCAAACATTAATATGTGTTGGGCACTGTCTGATGGCTTGGCTCTAAGTCCAGGGCAGTTGCCCTTGTCTTCTAAGTACTGTACAGAGCGAAAAGGCTTACCAAAATCCAAACCACCTTGAATTAAAGAAATCTGAATGAGGAGCGGCACCATTCTTTGTATGTGTGTTTTTAAAGTCTTTGCTGTGTTACTGAATGAAGAAATGCAGTATATTATACCTCTATTGATGTAAACGAGCCTCAAACATCTCAATTCCACCCTCTTCCTACCCCACACTCATCAAATGTTATGACTGCTAGTGACACTTTATTCAAATTACAAACCATAGTTTTTGCTCTAAAAAACAAAACACCTGAGAAAGGCTCATTGCTTTAAAATCAAGAATCTGGGCCGGGCGCGGTGGCTCACGCCTGTAATCCCAGCACTTTGGGAGGCCGAGGCGGGTGGATCATGAGGTCAGGAGATCGAGACCATCCTGGCTAACAAGGTGAAACCCCGTCTCTACTAAAAATACAAAAAATTAGCCGGGCGCGGTGGCGGGCGCCTGTAGTCCCAGCTACTGGGGAGGCTGAGGCAGGAGAATGGCGTGAACCCGGGAAGCGGAGCTTGCAGTGAGCCGAGATTGCGCCACTGCAGTCCGCAGTCCGGCCTGGGCGACAGAGCGAGACTCCGTCTCAAAAAAAAAAAAAAAAAAAAAATCAAGAATCTGTAAAAGCAATGCCACCCCAATCCTAAGGTGCTTCTTAGGTATTTTCCAAAGCTCTTTGCTCTTTTATACTACAGCATTTTCAGGAGGAGTCATTAGGTACTCCCAAGGTCCAAGAAATAACTAAAAACAAAAAATAACCTGAGACTCTTTTCTGCATTACCACCAGCTTCCCAGCACACTAGGTCACCTTTTACAGCAGTAAGCAAAGCAACCCATGCCACAAAAATCTTCACAAACCAAGAAGGAAAGGTACAAAAAGAATTATATTAAAACAATAACGTACATTTGTGTGTATGAAGGAGGGATATTTAAAAATTTAAAATATTATATCATCACAAGAAAGAGCAGACATTCCTTGCTCTGCCCTTGGGCAACCAAGAAAATTAAAGCCTGTTTTATATCCCAAAAATAAAAGAGACTTGATAGAAGTAACAGTGCTCAGTGCTTGCAACCCAAGTCAGTTTATACTCTTGTTAGACCAGTCCAAATTCTAAAGGCTACAAAAATCCTGTTAGATCAAGGGGGAAAATTTCATGTCAGGACAAAGTTATTCAAGATAAAGACAGGCATCTCTTGAGTGAGGGAACTGCCTGCTGCAGATGACTTTTTGCTAATGTGTTTAAAGATTATGGACTTCTCAACTTTCTTGGTTTTCTGGTAGCCAAATCCTCCTTGCTTTTTCTGCTTGCCTTCATTGCTGTTCATGTTCAGATCAACAAAGGGAGGCAACTTGAAGCCAAATGACAGAGCAATGTGAGGCAAATTTAAGTTATTAATGTTAAAGATCTGTTTCAGAGAATAGGAATCATAAGCTCGTATGTATGACTTATATGTTTCCTGTGCTGACTTATGAAGAAAATAGTTCTTTTCAATCAGTTTCTCAAGCTGAGACTGAATGTCAGAAATTTTAGATCAGGAAAAGTCAAATTCACTTAATGGAACCTTGGATTGTTTCAAGTAGTGAAGGAAACCCAGTTCTTCTGGGTGCAAAATGAGCAAGGCATGCCTTCCCCCATTTAGGCCTCTGGCTGTTCTCCTCACACAATGAATACATTCCTTAGGGTCATCTGGAGGGTCATACTGAACAATCCAGTTGACTTCAGGAATGTCCAGTCCTCTTGCTGCCACATCCTTACACAATAGTGTTCCTGAATCTGCGTTGCAGTACTAGAAGAATGTGGTTGTATGCTTATTTTGCTTTTGCTTTCCATGAATGGCCAAGACAGCAAATCAATGTACTTCAGCAACCCGTAGGGGTATTTCACAGACATACAAGCTGAAAAGAAGACCATGAGCTTCTTCTTTTGGTTCTTCTTAAGGAATGTAAAGAGCAGAAGGTATCTCTTTTCAGAGGGACAAACAAAGTGTCCCTGCTCAAGACCATCCACAGTTGCATTAGCTTTATCTTCATCAACACCAACATACAATGGCTCCTTTTTCGGAGAAATCCTTGCCAGGTCCTCAACTTTTCGAGTTTAGGTGGCAGAAAAGAGCATAGTCTGCCTGTGTGTTGGCAAAAGTTTAATAATTTGCTTTAATTTATCTTCAAACCCAATGTCCAAGATACAATCAGCTTCATCAATAGCCAGACCCTGCAGGTTTTTATACATAAACCCTGGGGTATTCTGCGTATGGTCCAGCAGACGGCCTGGTGTGACCACAATGATGTTGATCCCATTAGCAAGTTTCTGTGCTTCAGCAGATCTGTTACTGCCACCTATTATCAACCCATAGGTGTGCACATGGTGAGTCATTAGCTCTTTAAGAACACCAAAAGTTTGCATGGCTAGTTGTCTAGTAGGTGAGAGAATAAGGACCCCTGTTCCATTCCTGGGCATGAACTTTAACTTAACAACGAGTTCAATAGCAGGGATGAGAACAGCCAAGGTTTTACCACTGCCTGTTTTTACAGCTGCTAGAAGATCCCTGCCTTCCAGAAGTGGTCTGATAGTTTTATGCTGAATTTCAGCCATGTTGGTAAAGCCCATTTCTTTTATTTCCTTCAGAGTGTTTTCATTGACAAGATTACATAGAGAAGCAAATGAAGTATCCTCAAAAGCTCCTGTCAGTCCCAGGAGCAGGCTGGGCACCTCACTGTCATCTTCATCATTATCTAGCTTCTCCACATTATTTTCTGTTTCTTTAGAAGTCTCGGCACTTTATTCTTCAGATTCTCCTTTGTTTTCAGTTTTTGCTTTTTTTTTATCAGGCCCAGCATCATTCGCCATTTTTCTCTTTTTCTTCTTCTTTTTCTTTTTTGATTCTGACTTGGGAGACTGCATTTCTGCATCTCCATTGGTTAATATGGTGGATTTCTGGGGAGATTTTTTAACTTTTACATTTTCCACTGTTTCTTGAGACACGTCTCCATTTTGAGCTTCTGATAAGGCCACATTTATAGAATGTTTTGATTTTTTAACCTTTCTACCTCCCATTGTTTCTTCAGACACATCTCCATTTTGAGTTTCTGGTAGGGTCAGATTTGAGGCCCCCTGCAACTTTAGGTTCCACTGCCACAATTTGAGGTTCTGCTTCTCCATTTCCTTGCTCAGGAGTTTCATCAGCAGGTGAGACATGCTGTCCAAGAAGTGCCTAGACCGCGGTGCCACAGTACGGCTCTGCATTCCCATTTTTTACATATTGATTTTGCTCCTCAAAGAACTCCATGAACCCAAGGAGCTGGTTGACGGAAGCCTCTGGTCATCCCAACTGAGTCTCCATTCCATCTAGGAGCAAGGGCCTCCAAAAAGCATTAAGTAGAAGGTTGCTTCCCCAAGACTCGAATACCAAGCAAATATTTTCTTCCAGAGTTGAGGAAGGTTTTTCTAATGTCTATTTAAAATTGCTCTGAAAATCTGGATCCAATGGAATAAACTAGATAGGGCTGTTGATTGTGGAGAACATCTATCACTAACTTTATACCTTTTCTCTTTTTAAAAATTCTTTTTGACATTATAAAAACAATATATGCTTATTGCAAAACATTAAAACAATACAGAGGTGCATAGATATAAAAGTGAACATTCTCGGTAGCTTCTTTCACTTACTCCCATTTTAGGAGGTAACTGTTAGGAGGTAACATTACCACCTTAGGAAGTAACTAGATTGTATATCACAAAATCTTTTCTGAGCTTTTATATCTCACCTCTGTACACACCTGCATATGCATGCACAGACATACACAGTTACATGCCTTTTCTTTTATATAAAAAAAGAAAGCATGCTCTAAATTTCATTATGCAGCTTTCAACTTAATACACCACACATAGATTCGTATGTCCATCAGTCATAATTCTGTTGGTTTATCACTCATAAATGGGAACAACACTGTTGTCCCCTCTCTTACAAGTTTGCCATGAGGATTAATCATATGTTCAAACATAGGCAAGGACAGTGGTACTAAAAAATGGCACAGAAGGCTTTGAGATGGCCATTGATGTATTATTTTACAGAGACATCATACAGATTATGTGATGAGCTCCAAGAGTAAGGATGAGGAAGTAATTTCTTGTTTTCCCACTCTGAATGGGACACTTCGTGATCTGCATATTACAAAAAACATGAAAGTGAGGTCAGGCTTGGCAGGGAAATTGCTGGCTACGAGCTTTTAGGACAATTAAGAAACAGCAGGATCATTCTGGCACAAGCTTCAACCAGTTGGCAGAAAAATGCCTCTTCTGCTCCTACAGTGACTGGCAATTCTAAGTAAATGGCTAAAATTGCCTTTAATGTCTGCCGGCAACTTCTTTCCTGAAGTCTTTGAGTCTTGTTGCATTTGCTTTGATAATGAGTATCTTCTCTATTAGGGTAAATTTGACATGCATAAGGATTATTTCAACTCTGACAGGAGAGAAATTCGCTTGTTTCCAGAATTAGGAATACTTGAAAATTTGCTCAAGTCTATGAATTTTTCCCTAAAAGTTTTCTCCTTTAAGACTCTGTTACCATACACAAAGACTATATTTTATATGATTAGTGACATACTAACAGGCATTTTGAAATATTAAAAATAGCTCCTGAACCCCTGTTATTTTCTTTGGTGAAGTCCAAGGACTTGGATCCCCAGTTAGGGCATTATTAACTTAAAATATTCCTACTCACTTAAATTATAAGCTGTCAATAAATATCACTTTTCTTTTAACTTCAATTCACAGTTTGCCCTGAGACTACATTGCTGACCATATGCCTTCCACCCCTGATACCTAGCCAAGGCAGCATCCATAATTGCCTGTTGGCTTGCCTCTGAGAGCCCAGTGTTGGACAGCCTGTATAGTACGATGGTTGAAAGCAGTCTTTGGAGCTCCAAGGGCTCTGCACATTTGCTTGAGTCCCCGCATAACATGGTGGAGATGGTAGCACCTACCTAAGAAGGTTGTTAAATTAATTAATTAGCCTATATAAAAAAGCACCTAGAATACTGCCTGGACCATAAAGCGTCATTATTACCGTATCTTTTGTATTTAAAGTCATTCTTTTTAACTTTTGTTATTGGGATGAGGTCAGTAGCTTTTTATGCTTCTGAGAGAGGAAAACCTCTTCATCTTGTTCCCTGGGTCATAACAGAAACAAAGAGGAAGAAGGTGGTATAAGTTCAGTAAATCTTCCCCTCATATTTGGTCAGATAAGAGCAGGGGCTTGGAGCCAGGCTGCCTGACTTGACCACTTACCACTAGCAAGTTTCTTAACCTCTCCAGCCTCAGTGACTTTATCTGTATAAAGGGGATAACAATTGCCCCTAGTCATAGGGCTGTTGGGAAAACCAAGACGGTGTGAATAACAGACTTACACATAGCGAGTGCTCAATATAGATAGCTAGTAAGTTAATTCTGAGGCAGGCAACAGATTCAAGTCTACTACTACTGAGCTCCGACTATGTGTCTATTCTGTATAGGGACTGCATTTAACAATATTCCCACAAGGAACACACATTATCTTCACTTAACTGATAAGGAGACTAAAGCTTTGAAAGGTTAAATGGCATGCAGCAGTTCTCCTGTTAGAAGGCCATAGAGCTGAAATGTGACGCCAGGTCTTCTGATTCACAGGCTAGTGTTCTTTCTTCTAAACCCCTGGATATCTCTGTGAGCCACGCATATCTGATTACCCCAAGGATTCTCAGGGTCAACAATAAATAGGGTAGAGAGGCCGTCAGTCCCTGCCTTCTGCTTACTGCCAGAAACCTTTCCAATTATCTTTGTATGACCAACACATATGTAAATGCACAACATGCTTTAAACAGTTAAGAAAAACATAATTTTCCCATAATCCTACTCCGGGATTCTTTTCTCTCAAAGTTTCATTGACTTTCTTAGAATGTCTAAATGACCCTCGGAATGTTTTTCACCAGAAAAGTTTTGTTGTTTTTTTCCCCACTGATTCCAAAACAGTGAGTTGACTCCTCTTCTTCCTGGAAGGATTTCTAGGTCATCACAAATAGCATTTTTCTTTATAGTTCTCAAGTGACCTTTAGTGCAAACATTTCTTTCTTCTTCCTGGGGTGGGTTCTGACATCATTCTCCAGGAACACAAAGGCCTCCACAAGGTTGATTTATCCTGCTGAGATTCTGGAAAGGGTCTCTTCTCCTCTGACCATGTCTTAATTCACAATTGAGGGAAAAATATTTAGCAATGAGTCTCTTTCCCTATTTTCTTTGAGCTTGGTTTTTAAAAGTCAGTTATTCTAACATCTGCTTGGAACATTTTATTGTCCCTAGTCAGAAGTATGGTTTTGTATTTTTTAGCCAATTATTTCTTATCTTTGGTTACTTTTGCTCTTTTTTAATTCAAATCAGCCAGCATCTGTTCCCAGGATTCAGTGCCAAGGTGCCACCCAGTTTAGGAAAGCTAATCTTTGATCTTTTTCTTTTGCCTCTTCTTGGTACCACACACCAGTTTTCATCCCCAATTCCCCCACATTCTCATACCTCCCTTTGCAAATTCACTTGAGATTTTAAAAAGAAAAGAAAACTTTAAAAGGAGAGCTAAGATGATTGTTCAGATAAAATGCTGAATCCATACAGCCAAAATCTGTGTGGTTTTCTCCGAGTTTGCTCTGTTCTGCCTAGATGTTGTGTGGCTTAATGGGGAGAGAAGCTGCCAGCTTAGAACAGAGCAGAAGGATTTTCAGCATCAGCTCCTCCCATGTCGTGGGTCTCTGGTAAGTTTCCCAGTCTTTTGTTACCCAGGTAGCTTTTTCATATCATGGGCATAATGGTAGAAACCACCTCCATAGGCCAAATGGCAGGCACAACATTAATGTCAGGAGAGAGGCCCAGGTGGCTGCTTCCTTACTAAGACCAGTCTCTGATATTTGCAGTTACTTTTCTTTCACTTCTTGGTGCAAACAGGTTTTCTTTTAAACATAGCTAACAATGATTTTGCAGTTTCACACTGACATAAAATTTTTGTCCAGCTTTTGAAGGAAATCTATTTATGCGTGATGAGTCTTCTGAATTCTAAATCACTGTTACAGACATTTTTAAAGTGAGAGTTGTGTAACACATGTAAGATGGAGTAACAAAACAGTTTTTAAAAGTGCTTGGGCTGGGCACGGTGGCTCACGCCTGTAATCCCTGCACTTTGAGAGGCTGAGGCGGGCAGATCACCTGAGGTCAGGAGTTCAAGACCAGCCTGGCCAACATGGGAAAACCCCGTCTCTACTAAAAAATACAAAAATTAGCCAGATGTGGTGGCAGGCGCCTGTAATACCAGCTACTCGGTAGGCTGAGGCAGGAGAATCACTTGAACCTCGGAGGCAGAGGTTCTAATGAGCCAAGATCGTGCCACTGCACTCCAGCCTGGGCAAGAGAGCGAGACTCCATCTCAAAAACAAAAAACAAAAAACACCAAAAAAAAAGTGCTTTAAAGGGACTTTTTAATCACTTAGTCATTCAATCAACAAACATTTATTTAGTGCCTTACTCTGTCAGATGCTACATTAGACCCCAGCAATATAGTAGCAAGGAAAAAGACACACAGTCCCCGTCTTCCTGGGGCTTAGAGCCCAGCAGTCTTCTGCCACTGCAGAAGGAGTCTGAATATGAGTTGTGGCTTTTCTAAGTCAAATGTAAAGTTTGACACTTGTCTTGAAACCACGTGAAAAGCCACAGGACAAAGGAAAAGAAAAAGATGCTAAAAAAAAAAAAAAAAGATTATGTGATTCCCAGGAGGATTTTATCTCCTGAGCACTTTCCTAAGCAGGTGGACCTTTTTACCCAGGGCCATGAGCCTGAATACATTAATTCCTTCCATGGTGTGGAGATCAGTGACCAGCCAAAAACAAGGGCTAGTAAACTACTTCCGGTAGTCAAATCCAGCCTACCTCCTGTGTTTGCATGGCCTATGAGCTAAGAATAGTTTTTACATTTTTATATTACTTTAAAGGAATCAAAAGAATAATAATATTTGGTGAAACAGAAAAATAATATAAAATTCATATTTCAGTTTCCATAAATAAAATTTAATGGGAACATAGCCTGGCCCATTCATTTATGTATTGTGCTATAAGGGCAGAGTTGAAGAATTGCAACAGAGACTGTATAGTTGGCAAAGCCTAAAATATTCATTACTTGGCTCTTTAAAGAAAATATTTTCTAACCTCTGGTGTAGAAAACTTTCTGGTGCTGTCACTTCACACTGCTTGGCTGTAGCCATCTCCTTAATTGCTAAGAGACACGGCAACCCCAAACAGCCATCTTCCTTTGTATTGCATGAAATACAGGGTAAGCTGTAGGAACAATAGAGAATGGTACATTGATAAGCAGGTTTGAATTTTCTTAAGCCACAAACTTGAGTGTGCAAAATTGATAATATTATTTTGTATAATGTAACTTAATTTACTTAACATTATAACATGCAATGTTAATTATTTATAGAAAACTTCTCTGTTTTCTCAATCTTTTCATGTTAAAATTCAGTTAATTCTGGATTTTCTCTATTGTCTTCCATCTCCTTTAGATGGCACCTGTGTGGGGTAGCCTACATGGTATTCTGGCAAAGCCTGCCTCTCCTGAGATGTATCCCACCTCTGGTTACTAGCACTCCAGCAATGTTCATTACCTCACCTGGTCTTGCGGCTTTCTCTTATAATGTACTTTTTCACTTCTGCCGGATACCTGGGTTTATCAGTGCTCTGCTACTCTTGAACTCTTCTCGAGTGTGTGGAAACTTTGCACTGCTCTTCCACGTTTTCTCTGGGGTTGCTAGAGATGAGTAGAAAACCCTGGCCTTCCCTGACCCTTCCCACCCGCCCCCCACCAACCTGGGAATCTGGCATAGGAACCAGGTCTGTCTGACAATGTCCTTGCATTTAATACTGTCATCCCACCTCTTCCCATAGCCAGCTTCTTGAGTGGAAAACGTCCCCAAGCCTGCTACTGCTCCCCCTGCAGTGGTGTCTCTTGAGTTGGAAAAACAGGATGTCTTCTCTTTCAGGGCCATGATCTGAGGCAGGCTGGGAGGAGGGAGGAGGAGGCATCTGGTTGATAGCCCTTTACAAAAGGAACATACTTGTGCTTCCCAGCTCTGTGCATGCTCCAGTCAGCTCAAGTCCGACCTATTGGCTCTGTTTGATTCAGCAACTTCAGACTCTGGTTAGGCCAGATGGAAAATCAGTCCTGGAAAAACGAAAATGTAAAAAACTGTGGCAGAGAAGGTCATTCACTCCCTCATAAATCTAAACACACTAAGCCCATTGAAGGACTTGCCAGGAAAATGTGATTTTCAGTTTTCTCTTTGGGTCCAATTTATCTTTACTGCTAAGTAGTCAAGTTGAATTAGATCCAGAACCAGATACAATCCTACCATTTTTCTTTGAAGGGAGGGACCCCCACCTTCCTGTCAGTGACCTAGCTACCCCATCCTAAAGACTGGTATTTCCTAAGTTAGAAATTCTAGCAGATCTTCTTTTAGGTTTCTGAACTGGGTGCACCCTAGGTTTCCTTTTCTCAGATGAATGAGTAATTGCATCTTTTCTTCAATGCCTCACTAAAGATGAGAAACAGTCACTCAGGATTGCATTTCACTTCATTGCATTTTGCTTTTTGCAGATGGCAATTTTTCTGCATCTTATGATCTCCCTTGACCTGAAGCACAGCCCCATCTATCATCCTGACCATTCAAGTTTGTAGTTTTGAAAGATACACAATAGAATGGAATACAAGAAAGAGCAAACCTGTCCAGGAGACTTGACCAAATGAACCCTCGTGTCAATGAGGGCATTAGAATAGGCCCTGGAATACCCATACTTCCATGATATTACCACAGTTGCACGTAAATATAAAACATGCAAAGCATTCCCCAGGCTGTTATTGGCAAGAATCATAGTTCTTATCCTATGAAGATAGGAGCAGAATAGAAGAGAGTAGTCCAGGTGTGTTTCCTACCTGAATGACAAAGTGGAAATTGATGTATAATTTTCCATATGGAAACAACTTGTTTCCCCACATTCATTTCCTCAATAAGGACAGATGCCCTAAGGCAGATTCCTTCAAGATGGAGTGAGAGAGGCCTTTTTTCAGCTCCCTGTGGTAGTCTTACTATATCATCACAGAGTCTTTGCTATGCCTCCCTTCAAGAGATGGAGTTTGATGTCTTTTGCCTGGAATGTGAGTGGGACTTAGTAACTCACTTTCTAATGTAGAGAATATGGCAGGGGTGATAGCATGTCACTTACAAAGACTAGGACATAAAAGATACCTCTGGCTTCCTCTTTGCTCTCTTTGGGATCTCTTACTCTGGAAGAAGCTGGTTGTCATGTCATGAGAACACTCAAGCAGTCCTATGGAGAAGTCCACATGGTAGGACCTGGGGCCTCTTGCCAACAGCCATGAGAGTGAGCCATGCTGGAAACAGCTCCTTCAGCCCCAGTCAAGCCTTCAGATGACACAGTCCTAGACAATATCTTAACTGAAACTGCAGGAGAGACCCCGAGGCAGAGTCACCGAGTTAAACTATTCACAAATTCCTGACCCACAGAGGCTGTGAGATAATAAATGTTTGTTGTTTTAAATCCACAAAGCCATAAATTATAGAGTAATTTGCTGTGCAGCAATAGATAATGGAGTCCGCCTTGGACAATATTTCATTGGTGGTGAAAATTTCATTCTATGAGTTATTTATGATGTATACCTTTATGTTGAATGGTCATTTTTTAAAAAACTAGTCTGCTTTCACAAGGAATAGTACTAATAAAATAAATACTCTTATTAGTTTATAATCTGAGCTGCTATAACTTGACCAGACATGTTCCTAGACAATTTAGTGGATACACTTAAATGTTCCCCCTACGGATTACTTGAGTAAACAAAGAGAAAGTGGGGTCCAGACTTATCAAACCACTTCATTGTAACAACAGAGTTAAAAGGATATTGTGGGGGGTTTAAAATATGCATGCAAATTCTTTGACACCCTTCCCATTGAGAGGTGGGAGTCTCTGACCTCTCCCTGGGAATCTGAGCCAACCATAGTGACATGATTGTAATGAGTAGATGACTCTGTAGACAGCCCCAGCTGAGGTGTCAGTCAAGAGCCAGTATCAACAACCAGACACAGGAGTGAATACACCTCCCAATGAGTTTTGCTCTCAGTCATCAAGTAAGTTACTCCCCACTGTCAAGTCACCCCCAAGTTGTGACCCCATATATAATGGAGCAGAGACAAAGTATCCCCACTGTATTCTGTCCAAATTCTTGCCCCACAGAATCCAGGAACATAATAAAATGGTTGTCTTATGCCATTAAGTTTTGGGGTAGTTTGTTACATGGAATACCAACCTGAACAGATGTATGGAAACAACTTTTCTTCACCTTTCAGATTAGTTGAAAACAATACAGTTTGGAGACAAGAGCTAATTAGCAATTGAGTTAAGCTATGACCGTTAAAAGACTTAACTTCAGGGCAAAATGTAAGGTTCAGTAGAAGGGTGGCAACATGAGAGCCCAAGTAGAGAGACATCCGTATGGTTTTTGCTCTGTTGTTGTTTCCTTTTGCAAATTGCATATCTCTGAGAACATTGAAGAGCTCGTTAGGCAGCATAAATAGAGCTAGACACAGTAAGCATAAATTTTACCTTTGAGTTTTTCCCTCACTTAAAAAACATTTACAATTACAAAAAAATTCAAACAGAGAAATACAGAAAGTAATGAGACATCTAAGTTTTCTCCCCTACTACCCAGAATTCACCCAAAGTTAATATTTTTGGACATTTTGTAGATTTTATTTATTTGTTTATTTATTTTTGAGATAGGGTCTCACTCTGTTGCCCAGGCTGAAGTGCAGTGATGTTATTTTGGCTCACTGTAACCTCTGCCTCCTGGATTCAAGCAATCCTCCTGCCTCAGCCTCCCAAGTAGCTGGGATTACAAGCACGTGCCACCCCACCTGGCTAATTTTCATATTTTTAGTAGAGATGGGGTTTCACCATGTTGGCCAGGATGGCCTCGAACCCCTGGCCTCAAGTAATCCACCCTCCTCGGCCTCCCAAAGTGCTGGAATTCCAGGTGTCAGCCACTGCACCTGGCCAACATTTTTTACTTCATATCTTTTCTTAAGTAAGAAATAAGCTGCCAGATACATTTAGAGTTTCCTCGTCCTACCCAATTCCATTTTATCCCATCCCCAGAGGTAGCCACTATCCTGAAGTTAATGTTTCTCCCTTGCTTTCACCTTTTCATTACTTTAAGCATAAATAGTTCTGAGGCTGGGCACAGTGGCTCACGCCTGTAATCCCAACAATTTGGGAGGCCGAGGCAGGTGGATTACTTGAGCCCAGGAATTCAAGACCAGCCTGGGCAACACAGCAAAAGCCTGTCTCTACAAAAAATATAAAAAAAATTAGCTGAGAGTGGTGGCATGCAACTGCACTCCCAGCTACTCCAGAGGATGAGGTGGGAGGATCATTTGAGCCCGGGAGGTCAAGGCTGCAGTGAGCAATGATAGCACCACTGCACTCCAGCCTGAGTGACAGAGTAAGACACTTTCTCAAAAAAAAAAAAAAAAGAAATAGTTCTGAAAGTTATAAAGTTACCTTATAATTGCATTTATTGAAAGCTAGTTTTAATGATTCTGTCATCATTCAATAAGTTGATTTGGTGAAGACAAGACAGACAAATGTTTGCTCTCTCACTTACTAATGGATTAAAACTTCTAGGATACGTGCTCTCCATCTAGTGGTAAAAACGGGATAACCCTAGGTGCACTAATGTCTGATGTAGAGGAATGAACACACACCAAGGGCCTTCTGCGGACAGGACACTCCTCTGGTGTCTGTGTGGGAGACACAAATGAAGAGAAGATAGACTCTGGCCCTCAGGGTGCTAAATCTATGGAACATTGACCACGTGGTCAACAACCACATGAGGGACACAGAGGCCTAGAGAGGTCAAAGAACTTGCTCCAGGTCCAACAACAAGTAATTGGCAGAGACGCAAGCCAAACTCTGACCTTTCTGACTTCGAAGCCCATTCTCTAAACTGTGATGCTTGATAGTACTTTTAAACATTATTTTTATATTGAAACAAGTATAGATTTCTTGTGAAGCAGAATATAAATTTTCATGAATTGTAAGGATTTAAGAGAAGAGCTTTCAAATAAATTTGGCCTGTTTCTTGGATGGCTCTAAACCCTCAAATCCAGGAGTTTCTGCCTTTAGAAGTCCCGGGGAGGAAAATGTTGAGAAGCGCTTCTTGGGGATGACCTTCTAGAATAGAGCAAGGGAAGGTTCAGAGTGGGAAGCATGGAACTTGAAAGATCACTAGTAACAGTGATATTGAAAAATGTTAACACCTGGATCAGCTGGGCACTGACTAATAGCAAAGAGCATTGGCCAAATAGTCCAAACACTGAGCATAGCAAACAGCTTAGCTTTAACTATGCTTAGCATCTTCTTCCTGAAAAAAGAAGGCTGCATGTCCTAGGTAAGGAACAGGGACCTAAAGAAGGGTGAAGATTTAATAAACTATCCACTGGAAATTTCTTCCACTTGTTCCAAACCTGCTCTTCCTCTTCTGTGTTCCAGCCTTCATTAGTCTCCCAAATTAGAAACCTTAATGTCATCCTCGACTTAATTTCTCGATTGGACTAGAATCCAATCTTGATTTCTCTTCCTTACCTCATTGATCCCCTGGTTGCACTTCGAGGGATAGAGAGAGAATTAAGTGTGCCTGAAGCAAAAAGACCAGAAAATATGAGTCCACTGAAAAGGAAATTTTCTAGATGGAATAGCAGGTAGAATTAGTTGGGACATGGTTTGGACAAAGAAGTGGTAAGAGCATAGTGAGTGAGGATGAGAACACACTCCTGCACACACTCAATCAGTGAGGTCAGAGAGCACAGGAGGAAAGGTCGGGTTACGGAGGGTGTGGAAAGCCATCTGTGCAGCTTATGGTCTATTCTAAGGGCAGTTGGAAGCTGTTGGAAGATTTTAGGCAGAGGGGGAGGGGCATGTAGCAAGATATGATTCGTGTTTTCAAAACATTACTCTGACTGCAATAATGAATTCTAGGATAGCAAGACTGGAAGCAGCACTAGGAAATTTTACAGATGTAGAGAAGCAAGACAGTGCTAGTTTGGATGGGAACAGTGGTGAAGATGGAGACAAGAGAAGATATTTTGAATATGATCATAGGTAGAGTCCATAGGGAGCCCTCTGATATTATCTAGTTCAACTTCACCTTACAGATGAGAACTTTGGGGTTCAGAGAAGTAAAGAAATGTTGTGTCACCATCTATAGATGGCAGAGCTACCACTCTGATATGAGCTCTTGATTTCCAGCCTAAAACACTTCCCGTTGTATCATACTACTTTATGTATTGTTTTGTGTGTGCTCGCTATTATTCTTCTGCCAGATTATAAATTTTCTGAAAGCAGAGAAGTTGCCTTAAACGTGAGCAACTGATAAACTTTTTGTTTGCAAAGGCTATGGCCAAGGTACATTGTAGATGAAATGTAGACATAGTCCTACAGTCCCAGGATCACTCAAACCCAGGCGCATAGAGGAAGCTCATTGACATTTCTTAAATCAAAATGAAGTGTTGAATTACATACAAAGGTTCCAATCTGTGGAAAACCAAATCCCATTGAGATTCAGACTCCAAGAAAAAGTTCAGATTCTTGCTTGAGTTATGAGAAGGGGGAAATTCTAGAGGTAATCCACATTAGTTCTTTATGGAGGAGAAGATAATTGCCCTTGCAGAAACTGTCCCAACTGACCCCAAACTGGAAAGCATTTGGACACTCCCTTCCCTCAACTCAGGGAGGAGTTTTACATGGGCTTAGTGGAGGGTCCACATACCCTTCTTCAAGACCTGGCAATAGAGACTCTGATGGAAAGGGCAAATGGATTACAAATAACTCCAGAGAACTCTCTTTTCACTTCTGCCTCTAGATTGATAAAACAGCATTGGCTGAGCCATCATTTTGGGTGTTGTTTTTATCCAGAGGAATATGCAGAGCCAAGTAGAAGCCGAGGGAAAAGCAACCCTGGGGACTGGCTTCTCATACCTAGCTCTGGCTTGGCCTCTGGCTAAAATAAAGGAAAATGGGAAAGAAACATCGAGTTTATAAATGATTTGATCTGATTCACTAAGGTAAATGAGCGGAAAGGGATTAAGGATAAAACCAGATATAAATCATTATCAGGGATTAAGTCATAACTGGAAATAACAACTGTTCATTTAACTCAGCCATTTCCAGTGTTATCTCATTCAGGAGTCCAAGCTTGACAGGAAACAACTGGAGAGAGGTACATACAGATTGGGTGCAGGTGAGGAAACCCTCTCCATCTGGGATAGTTGGCAGCATCAAACACAGCCATCTGGAAAATCTCTAATAAAAAGATGCCACTTGGTTTCAGAGAAAATGCCAAATATTTGTGTCTGTTATTAATCATGAAGTTATTGAAAATTGGCTTTGAGTAGCTTGGGTACTAATGATCAATGAATTAAAGGTCATTCCCTATATCTTATATTTGCCCTTTGTCTAGGTGTGTGCAGCGTTGGGTAAGGTCCTCCTTAGGACAGATCTATTTCCTTGTGCTTTCAGCCTCTCATTCTGTGTCCCTCTCCCTCTCTCTCTCTGGCACCTGTTGCTTTCTTGCTCCAGTGAGGCTGTTTGGAACTCCTAACCAGGTTTGCCCACCGATGGATGTCCTATGTTCCTAGATTATTCCTTTACTCTTCATTGATTCCATAAATCCTCCCACTTCCTCAGCACACTGATCTCATGAACCCATTTGGAGGAAAAAAATCTGATTGACCTTATTTATGCTATGAGTTGGGTGACTTACGCATTAAGATGCGCGTTTTTCAAATGGATAGATCTTAATGGTGGGACAGTGTGGGAACAAGGGCCACCCCTTGCACTTCTAATATTGTCATGTACTTTTTTTTCATTGCCCTTATATAGTTTTTAATCACATAATTGTATAGTGAACTAGTTAATTTCTTTCTTTGAATTAGATGACAAGCTTAGGAGAATAAGGCCCATGACTGTGTGCATTTCTCAGCCCAAAGCCCCATGACTAGGCCAAAAAGGAGATGAGGGAATACTTCTTGTATGAATGAATGAACGACAAATGAATGAATTGAATTTTCAAGTACAGGTAAGACAAATGTTTTTCATATCTGCTCCAAAGCACAAAAACCAACCAAACAAATAAGACCCTGAAATCATGAAAATTGAAAGATTCTTGTAGGGAGCTAAACAATTGCTAATTTTGTTTTAATCATAGCACTGTGTAGAGATTTCTTGAAATTAAAAAAGGAGGAGAGACTTCATTGGGGCTGACAGGTAGGTTCAAGGAAGCAAGGCCCAATTACTTAATACTCTTTGCTTTCAGGGCATCATTCTCCTCAGATAAGAAAATAAATCAATATCATTCATTCCCACCTCCTTCCCCATTGCTCTGATGAGACAAATGATTTGGAAACAGAATCTCCAGCCTGAGCCCTGTGTTTCCAGCTCCCCAACTGGCAATCCTGCCACCCACTCCTCCCACTCCTATCCCTTCCCCCATGAAGACCCTCTTTTTCTCTGGCTTCCTTGGTGATGAGATATGGGAGTGGGATGTTGTACATAACATTTGCCAATTTAGCATGAGCTCAGCCTGTGCTGCAGAGGTGTCCTTGTTCTGCCTGGGTTTCTATGAAAAGGAGATAATTTAGGTAAAAGTGCCTGGTGCATAGTAGGAACTCTTAACATGAGACTTCTTTTCCTCCTACCTTCTTAGTTCATTAAAACACTTCTGAACCACTGCTGCGCAGCAAGCATCTCTGGCCTAAAAAAGAGGTTAAAATGTTCGTAATTAATTAAACTGAAAGACAGTAAACTGGGATTAGAAATGTACATATGTCTATATGTGAAAAGGAGCTAAGAAATTGTGAGTGGCAGTAGCCTGTAATTCCCTAGAGTGGAGGACTCTGAAAGAGGGTGATTTATCTTTGAGCATCGCTCAGGTGCCTTTTTTATAGAGTCCTGCTGTTGCTATGGAAATCGTGTCTGTAGAAATGTGTGCAAATCTAGAATGGATTGCCAGTTGCATGAATAGGGAAGTGTGGGGAAGGGGCAGGCAGGCTGACACCTGTCAGTCTCCAGCACTGGTCCTGAAGAGAAAGAATTAGAATGTGATTGAGGAACATGGAGAGAGTGCTGTGGGGCAGGCACCACCATAGATAGCTTAGTGTCTGAGGGACTCCAAGACCATCTAGAATCTCCAATCTCCACTCTACCACTTAGGGTGACCATTATTATGTCTGTTATCTTAGTGTTTCTAATGGAATGATAAATAATAGCATCCCCTTTCACTGTCAGTGTTACCCTGGTTTAGTTGATAAACCGAATAGTCACACGATCACTACAGAATATAGTTTCTGTCATAAAATGAAAAAAGCCAACTGGAAATGATCCTGTCACACCTTTGACGATATTTTGTGCACAGGACTTAAGTCATTTATAAAGTTATTTTCCAGGTAAGAACTATGTCTCCCTTTCTCTGCACTTCTCCCACAGCTTCAATTGAACAGCTATGCTTCATACCCACCCCCAAAAAGGAACAAATATTTTTATCATCTCACAAGGAAAAACTAAAGTTGTACTGAGTCACGGAACTGGAGATCTGCTCGGCTCTCTCACTAGTGAAGTGACCAGCTCTTACATATCAGCCTTCCAGACTACATATTTCAAATTTGCACCACAAGGAATAAATAAATGACTGCCTATAGTGAACCCCATAAGGGTGGACCATTCAAAGTTTCTTGCTGTGAGCAACTTAAATAAAAAAGTGATGTGTTGAAAGGACACTGGAGACATACAGAATCCTTGGCGGGAGGCTGGAGAACAAGATTTAGACAGTGACAGGCAAAAAGTGGGCCTGGGCAGCCAGACCACAGCCAAGATCAATGTCACAGTTGTCCCATTCAGACACTGAATGCCTCTGCCGGTGGGCATTGAACTCCACTGGTCCACCATGGTGGGCACCGTGACCATGACTGCCCCACAGACTGGTTGGTGTTGCCACTTTTGCTGCCACTAACAGATGGACAATCCATGATTCCCCCTTCTTTGCCTAATTAGCTTCTAATTCTAAGCCCCAGATGTGTGCATCTGATGGGCCAAGCCTACTCTGGGTGCGTAGGCTCTAGTAGCAAGCAAAGCTGGAAGAGTGAATATCAGCACTTTTCAGCTTCTACAGAAGAAAGTGGTTTTTGTCTACAATCACAGGAAAGAAATTCTTTTTTTAATTATTCGTTTATTTATTTATTTATTTATTTTAAGACAGGGTCTCGCTGTGTCACTCAGTCTGGAGTGCTGTGTCACAATCATAGCTCACTGCAACTTGGAACTCCTGGGCTTAAGCAATCCTCCTGCCTCAGCTTCCCAAATAGCTGGGACTACAGGTGCACATCACCGTACCTTGCTATTTATTTTTATTTTTTATTTCTGTAGATACAGGGTCTTGCTATGCTGCCCAGGCTGGTCTCGAACTCCTGGCTTCAGGCAATCTTCCCACCTTAGCCTCTCAATGTATTGGGATTATAGGCATGAACCACTGAGCCCAGCCAGAAAGAAATTCAAATGCTCCGCAGCCTAAATATATCTGCTACATGGGGAGGTGATGAGAATTAAATCTGAGAATGTCAAGGACCTCTATATATAGTTTTCAGAAATAAGATCTCTTAATGTCTATCGAAATCAATGTCAAATATTTCAAAATAAGGCCTTAAAGCAGGAGTCTCTCAGATTTCTAGAAAGGGGAGATAATTTTTAATTGTCCATGGCTTTGGGTCTAATGCTAAAAGAGGAAAGGGAAAGGAGGAAGAAAGGCTACTACTTAAAATTCCTAGGGACAGGGAAGTTCACAGTCCTGGATGGAAGAAGGGGAACATCTGCCAATTTTGCACAATCATCTGCCAGAAATTCCAAGCAACCACAGAGAAAGGATGTAATGGAAGGATGGAAAGGTATTGAGCCAAGATCCAGAATTCTAATCACAGAGAGAAGGTAAGAATGTGGGCCATAGTAGAGGAGAAGAATTCCATGGTGAGCTGAGTGTAACAAGCGAGTGGTGTTCTCCAGAAATCTTGAGCACCTGGGTGGTTCATGCACCAGGCTGTGACTCAGACACAGCCTTTAGGAAAGAGGGACACATGGATGATGATTTGAGCCAAAAAACACAGGAAGGGTCATCTAATTATGGGACAGGCCAGCTGTCAGGGCAAGAAAATTTGCCAGTGTGTCGCTTTGCCTGCAAGTTATAGAAACCCAATGCTAATTAGCTCAGGCAAAAAGAGAATTTATTGGAGGAATAAGGGGGTGCCTCATATAACTGCCAACAAAGTGGGGAAGGGGCAGCTCTGACCCAGTGATCAAATGTCCCCAGGGCTGTCTCTGTCTCTCATCTCTACTTCTCTCTGAAGAGCAGAGGCATCACTACCTTGAATCAGGACCAGCATTCAACCCATCGGGGAACAGGATTGTTCACAGGGCTAAAGTCTTATGTCCTGTGGCTTCTACCCCCAGAGGGGAGATGGTCCTCTTCTTTTAGTTCCAACTCTGTGGAAATAATCTAATGAGCCTGGCTTTCCCAGGTCAGATGTCCCAGTTTAAGTTTCTGACCATTTAAAAAGGCAATTGCTAGTTGCAGACAAATAGCTAACATTGTTACCTACTCCTGGGGTGATCGATTGTGGATAGAGAGGTGGGGTCCTGATCAATCCACCTTGGGTTCATTCTCCTCTGGATCTGTCAGACATGCATGTAACAGGCCGTGTAAAACAGACACAGCCCTGGAGCCTCATCTCCCTGAGTCCTTGCTGTTCTCAGAGAAGGAAAAATCACTTCGAGCTTCAGTTGGTGTCTTTTACATCCAAGAATCTGGATGGGAATTGGAGCACAGAGTTTTTCCTTGGGAGGAAACAGGTAGGAGCCCCAATATTATATACCGTGTTTTGCCATTCCTGATAATAAGGCAGTTGGCCTGAGAGAACAGTATTACCGGGAGCCCCTGAAGGGCCGGGACAATGCCTCATCACCGCTGGGTATATCCCAGGATGCTTGTGAGCAATCCACAATGGTGGAGTTGAAGGGGGCTTGTTACAAACTCAATCGTATAAAGTGCTGGTGAGCACGGGCAAGTGCCCACTGTGCTGACCTGACAATGGGGAGGACTTGAGCTTAGGGAGGCCCTGTGGCAGGGACAACAGGCACCAAAGCCGCCTAAGAGCCAAGGATGTTGGTTGTTGCTTGGAACTGTGAAAATGTAAAGGTAGCTTACCTTTCCTGCCTACTGGTCCCTCCTAGATAACACATCTAAGGCCACCCAATTCACATTTGAAAAGGAAAAATGTGGTCAGTCTCTGTTTACATCCCAAGCAACTGCTGTGAGGGATTCTTGATGGAACTGACTTAATCATACAATTGTTTTGATATCACACAGACAACCACAGTTTTTAGTTTGGAAAAAATTTATGTGTGCATTGACCTGACGCCAGCTGATGGCAGCTTCATCTCCCGGTCTCGCTGGGCTTTGCTGAAACCAGACCCTAAAAAGTATACTTATGATATTAAACTTGTATTTTTTAGTGTTGGAAGAATTATCACTTTCTAAACAGAGCTGGATAATTGGAAAAGGACAGGGGGAAGCTCCTGAAAAACTGTAGTTGAGTTTATGCTTCACTGCTCATAAGAGCAGAGACTGGCATCCGCCTCCTAACTTATATGTGCCACTGAACATTTTATGTGAAGTTCTGTTTCAGGGACTCAATTAAATCTATGTTTCACCCAGCTCTCTCTATATGATAAGTCATGGTCTACCAGCCTTCTTCCATGGCAAAATAAAACTCCATGAGTGGATTCAACCATCATTTGCTACTTGAAAATGCCTCAGAGTCATCTTTTTCTATTTCTACTTTTACTTAAGTTTCTGTCTTTTTGGACACATTCTTAATTTTTTTAATTAAAACTCTATCCTTTTAGGGATATATGTCAACATATCAACTGCTTTGTCACATTCTTTGCTAACGCCAATGTCATCAGAATTTAAAAAGCTGAAGTGAGGAATTGCGTTTTGGAATGAAAGCCACGTGAGCAGTAAGGGCAGCCAGCCAGAACCTTCCGGGGAAGTGAATGAAAGCAGAACTGTGGTGGAAGAGTTTAAATCCCCTTTACAGTTCCCGTCATCCTCCCCCATTTCCCAGCCTCTAGGGCCGACTGGAACAAAGGTGGTGTCATATTCCCTGGGCACACTGCCTGCCACTGCACTTTTGTTTTTTCCAGTTTTTTTTTTTTTTTTTTTTCTTTAGAGCAGTTTTAGGTTCACAGTAAAATTGAGAGGAAGGTACAGAGACTTCTTTCCTATATACTCCCTGCCCCAACACAGTCACAACCTCCCCCATGACCAGCACTCCCCACCAGAGCAGTGCATGTGTTACATCGGCACATCGTTATCATCCAAAGTCCACAGTTTACACTTGGGTTCATTCTTACTGTTGTCCATTCCACGGTTTGGACAAATATATGATAACATGTATCCTCCATTATAATATTACACAGAATAGCTTCTTCCACTGCTCTTAAAATCCTCTCTGGTCTGCCTATTCAACCCTCTCTTCTGACCTCTGACCTCCATTGATGTTTTCATTGTCTCCACAGTTTTGCCTTTTCCAGAAGATTCTACAGTTGGAATCATGCAGTATGGACCCTTATTGGATTGGCTTCTTTCACTTAGTCATGAGCATTTAAGTTTCCCTGTGTCTTTTCATGACTTGAAATGATAGCTCATTTCCTGCCACCATACTTTTAGTGTAAGCACCAAGTTTTCATTCTTCCTGCCCCCACCTTGACAAAGCATACATCTTAGAATCATTTCCTTGCCACCAACTTCCCCTGTGTGGGTGAGAGAAAATCAGATTACACACCAAAGTCTAAACATCGTGCTTCTCCACTGGTTTCCTGGTACCCAGTGTCCTCCTGGGCTTCGAGATTTCCTGTTTGAAAACCAAATGTGTTTGCCACCTTGTGGTCTGTATTTTTAAATTTGTTTTTAGCCAGATATTGTTATCAATAAATTCATTGCCTAGGGCCGTAAGTGTAAGTGTGTGCCATGTATTTGTCCTTGTTTAAGATTTCCATTCCGTTTAACAATGATGGTTAAAGTTACGAGGCTATTCATATTGGACATTTGTACATCAGAAATACAGAACTGTCTCTCAAAACCCTGCATATCAGAATAGTTAGCAGCAGCATGGGGAAAAGTATCCAAGAAGCTATTTCATTTCCATGGCAGCCAGGACCCAGACGCGAAAGCTTTATAGATTAAAATCAATGCCTGAATTGCATTCAGAAAGCCTGAATTGCCTGTCAGACTTCAGGACCAGCGGCTCAATGTGATAAATGAGGTGGAGGGCTGCATCCAGGCAAGGGAGTGCGTGCCGCATTAGCCAGCACTTTGGATCCTTTTTCAAGGCAAATACCAAATGGGATGAATTACTGGGAAACAGCAAATGAATGTCAAGAATTTGAGATGTGGGGGTTATAATTTACTAATTACTGGGAAAAGATGAACACAAAGTCAATGTGTGAAAGAATGTGGTAGGGGGAAGGCTAGATCAGGGAGACAAAGAGAGTGAGCTGCACAGAAGGCTGCTCCTGTTTTCTGTTTTGATAAAAAGAGATGGATTTTAGAGGCATAGATACCTGGTTGAACTCCCAGCTTGGTCATTACCAGACCAAATTGTATTGTGTCATAAATTGTAATTAGCATGAAAAGACACGTATATGAACACCAAGCCTCATACCTGGCACATAGTGGGCAGTCAATAAATGTTAAATCTGCCTTTTCCCAGATCCCTTTCTATTCTTTTCTTATTTAGCAAGCAATCTCAGTACTAAGTCATAAGAGACTTTGTACAATGATTCAGTGTTGGAGAATGAGCCTACCTTCCTCCCATGGCAGGTCACTGATATTCAAAGACAGTGAAGCAAAGATGCAGAATTGAGAAACTTGCAGAAATGCTGTCACAAAGACTGGGTTCACTATAAAACTGCATACATATTATGACGTTTTGATGCCTGTACAGATGTGTCACATGGCAAAATAATGGACCATGGTTTTATTCTCCCGTGCTCTTGCCTCTCTTTTGTGACACTAATGCATTCTCTGAGCCCAGTGGGAGCTAGGCAGAGTAGTCTATCAATCACATGCTCCCAACAGGGCTACAGCTCTCAAGCAGCCAAGACAGGGACTTCCTAGGGTCTCCTCTCTGCCACCATGGATAGGAAGGATATCATCTGAAGAGGAACCACGGAGTAATTGAGCAAGATGTGAAAGAGCAGCCAAGAGACACAGATGCTTATGCTGGACACTTGCCAACCAGTTGTGCAAAATGAAGGGGTCAGACCAGAGCATCACTTCTTTCCCTATTTTTACTAGTTCTTTAAGAGACTGTGTAAGGAAAATATACACTCCCCTCCCTTTCTCGGTACTAGTGCCCTCGATTTTTGGTTGTGGATATGGGTACTCAGAATGCCGACCACACTGACCAGTCTTCCTTGCAGCTGTGCCAAGTGATGAGGTTCTGGACAATGATATGAAAGCATAGGTAGTATGTGCAACTCCTTGGAAGTGTCATTGGAAAGGAGAGTGCATATGTCCTTCTGCTGTCCTTCCTTGTTCTTGCCGGTGTTATGCGTTTGTAGTGGCTGAAACTGGAGCAGCCATCTTGGACATGGATGTGGAAGCTACAAGCTGTGGAGGGTAGAACAATGCAACAGAAGGAGACAGGGTTCCTGAGGCTGTCTGGGGCCATGGCCAACCCTAGACTATCTAGATTTCTTTTATGTGTAATAAAGGAAAAAATGTCAGCTATTCTGAATTTTATGTTACTCAAAATTAAACCTTAATCTTAATTAACTAATAGAGATTTTAATAAATGTTCTACTAAAATGGGTCCCTTGGGCAAATAAATCCTGGAAATGTTGTGTATTACAGACACTTTTTAAAGATTTGCAGTGCAATTTAGCCCATTACAGGCTAGTATCCGTGGGCTCTTGCAACTCAGAGTATAATCCCTGGACCAGCAGCATCAATATCACCCAGGAGCTTGTTAGAAATGCAGAATCTGGCCAGGCTCAGTGGCTCGTGCCTGTAATCCCAACATTTTGAAAGGCTGAGGTAGGAAAATCCTGGAACCCAAGAGTTTAAGACCAGCCTGGGCAACATAGCAAGACCCCATCTCTGTTTTTAAAAATGCAGAATCTCAGGCAACCCCAAACCTACTGGGTCAGAATCTACATTTTTAACAAGACTCCCAGGTTATTTGTCTGCAATTCGTTTGAGAAGCACAACCATAGATTACAATATGGAAATGGCATCCTATGGTCTTTGAGTCTGGAATAGAAGTAGCAGCATACTGCCAGTGGGTATGTCTGGAGATCCTGGAGCACAGGAATGAGCATGGGTGGTTTTCACAGCCATAGAATGGCCGTGTGCTCTTCAAGCCTGAGGTTGCTGCTATCAACTCCATGAATCCTCCAAAAATTTTCAGCTCTGAGTTTTGAGTCATTTTCAGGACCAGGCCATCTTGGTTGTCATTGACTGAGCTAGGGGTTTGTGGCAGACATCCTCTTCCTCCCTCCTGGAGACTTTTGCTTCTGTAGGGATCTGGATCTCTGACCGGAGTGTCCCCCTGGTGCTGCACATCTTTGTGTCCTACAACTGCTTTTCTTGGCAAGTTACATCTAGATCTACGGGAAAGGTGAGAAGGGGTCTTCAGGAAACCCAGCACTACCTGCCAGAGGCCACAGAAGCAGCTGGGTGGGCAAAAACTCCGTCAGTCATTTTTATGCAAAACCTCTGTCAGTCATTTTTATTCTCACACAACTCACATATGGGCACCTGGGGGTCTAGCTAACCAGAACATCAGTTGAACTAGGTTATTTTGTGTGTGTGAAACAGTAACCAATTAGATCATTTCCATTTACTTTTTGCTTTCTGGTTTAGCTGGTGATAGTATGTCAAAGGCATTACTTGCTAGTGGTGAGAATCTTCTTCTCCGGAGCCTGACTTCCTGGGTTTGGCTCCAGGCTCACCATGCGCCAGCTGCAAGACTTCAGTCAAATCACTTAACCTTCATCCTGCCAAGCCTCAGTTCCTTCATCTGTAAAGTGGGGATTAGGGTGGTATCTACCTCCCAGGTTGGTTGTGAGAATTACACATGAAATATATATGAAGGACTTAGACTTCTTCCTTGCTAATAGGAAACACTATATAACTACAATAAAATTTAAATATGTATATATATATATATATATACACACACACACAAGTAATAAGTTGTTACCACTATGTTATAATTTAAGGGGTCAAAATCTAAATCATGTGAATAAAAATCTAAAAATGAGGAATGAAAAGAAGTACAGGTATGAATTGGCAAAGTTTTCAGATCTGTCTCTCCCATGAGTTATTAAACAAATGACTGTCAGTTTCATTAACGCAAAGCAGACAATTTGAACAAACACACACTTAATAAATGTCCACTGAGTGCCAAAGTTTGAGGTCCATGCAGGGCACTGTGGAAATGCAGTGATGACAACCCAGTGCTGTGATTCAGTGGAGGAGAAAGAGAGATGCACACATACCGTATTAAAAGACAAATGTAGAAAGTGCTATACAATATTCTGTGAAAGAAGCAAAGCACGCCTGCAATTCCAGCATTTTGGGAAGCCAAGGCGAGTGGATTGCTTGAGGCCAGGGGTTCGAGACTGGCCTGAGAAACATGATGAAACCCCATCTCTACTAGCCAGGTGTGATGGTAGTCACCTGTAGTCCCAGCTACTCAGGAGGCTGAGGCAGGAGAATCGCTTGAACCCGGGAGTTGGAAGTTGCAGAGAACCGAGATTGTTCACTGCACTCCAGCCTGGGCAACAGAAAAAAAAAAAGAAGCAAAACACATAATGATAATAATAGGTACCTGCAGTATAAATGACTCTCATTTTACAAATCAATAGGTGGAGCTTCAAAGATATTAAGAAAATAGCTAAGCTCTCAGACCTGATAAATGAAAGAGGTGGGATTCAAACTCAGGTCTGCCTGATGTCAGAGTCCTTGCTTTCTCTGCCACACTAGATTGACTACAAAACTTAACAGGCACTTCATAGAGAAGGTAACATTTCAACTTGACCTCGAAAGATGAGTTGGATTTTTTTTTATATATACTTTAAGCTCTAGGGTACATGTGCACAACGTGCAGGTTTGTTACATATGTATACATGTGCCATGTTGGTGTGCTGCACCCATTAACTCGTCATTTAACATTAGGTATATCTCCTAATGCTATCCCTCCCCCCTCCCCCCACCCCACAACAGGCCCTGGTGTGTGACATTCCCCTTCCTGTGTCCATGTGTTCTCAATGTTCAATTCCCACCTATGAGTGAGAACATGTGGTGTTTGGTTTTTTGTCCTTGTGATAGTTTGCTGAGAATGATGGTTTCCAGCTTCATCCATGTCCCTACAAAGGACATGAACTCATCCTTTTTTATGGCTGCATAGTATTCCATAGTGTATATGTGCCACATTTTCTTAATCCAGTCTATCAATGTTGGACATTTGGGCTGGTTCCAAGTCTTTGCTATTGTGAATAGTGCCACAATAAACATATGTGTATATGTGTCTTTATAGCAGCATGATTTATAATCCTTTGGGTATATATCCAGTAATGGGATGGCTGGGTCAAATGGTATTTCTAGTTGTAGATCCCTGAGGAATCGCCACACTGACTTCCACAATGGTTGAACTAGTTTACAGTCCCACCAACAGTGTAAAAGTGTTCCTATTTCTCCACAGCCTCTCCAGCACCTGTTGTTTCCTGACTTTTTAAAGATCACCATTCTAAATGGGTGTGAGATGGTATCTCATTGTGGTTTTGATTTGCATTTCTCTGATGGCCAGTGATGATGAGCATTTTTTCATGTGTCTTTTGGCTGCATAAATGTCTTCTTTTGAGAAGTATTTGTTCATACCCTTTGCCCACTTTTTGATGGGGTTGTTTTTTTCTTGTAAATTTGTTGGAGTTCATTGTAGCTTCTGGATATTAGCCCTTTGTCAGATGAGTAGGTTGCAAAAATTTTCTCTTATTCTGTAGGCTGCCTGTTCACTCTGATGGTAGTTTCTTTTGCTGTGCAGAAGCTCTTTAGTTTAAATAGATCCCATTTGTCAATTTTGGCTTTTGTTGCCATTGCTTTTGGTGTTTTACACATGAAGTCCTTGCCCATGCCTATGTCCTGAATGGTATTGCCTAGGTTTTCTTCTAGGGTTTTTATGGTTTTAGGTCTAACATGTAAGTCTTTAATCCATCTTGAATTAACTTTTGTATAAGATGTAAGGAAGGGATCCAGTTTCAGCTTTCTACCTATGGCTAGCCAGTTTTCCCAGCACCATTTATTAAATAGGGAATCCTTTCCCCATTTCTTGTTTTTGTCAGGTTTGTCAAAGATCAGATAGTTGTAGATATGTGGCATTATTTCTGAGGGCTCTGTTCTGTTCCATTGGTCTATATCTTTGTTTTGGTACCAGTACCATGCTGTTTTGGTTACTGTAGCCTTGTAGTATAGTTTGAAGTCAGGTAGCATGATGCCTCCAGCTGTGCTCTTTTGGCTTAGGATTGACTTGGCAATGCGGGCTGTTTTTTGGTTCCATAGGAATTTTAAAGTATTTTTTTCTAATTCTGTGAAGAAAGTCATTGGTAGTTTGATGGGGATGGCATTGAATCTATAAATTACCTTGGGCAGTACGGCTGTTTTCACAATATTGATTCTTCCTATCCATGAGCATGGAATGTTCTTCCATTTGTTTGTATCCTCTTTTATTTCATTGAGCAGTGGTTTGTAGTTCTCCTTGAAGAGGTCCTTCACATCCCTTGTAAGTTGGATTCCTAGGTATTTTATTCTCTTTGAAGCAATCGTGAATGGGAGTTCACTCCTGATTTGGCTCTCTGTTTGTCTGTTATTGGTGTATAAGAATGCTTGTGATTTTTGCACATTGATTTTGTATCCTGAGACTTTGCTGAAGTTGCTTATCAGCTTAAGGAGATTTTCGGCTGAGACGATGGGGTTTTCTGAATATACAATCATGTCATCTGCAAACAGGGACAATTTGACTTCCTCTTTTCCTAATCGAATACCCTTTATTTCCTTCTCCTGCCTGATTGCCCTGGCCAGAACTTCCAACACTATGTTGAATAGGCGTGGTGAGAGAGGGCATCCCTGTCTTGTGCCAGTTTTCAAAGGGAATGCTTCCAGTTTTTGCCCATTCAGTATGATATTGGCTGTGAGTTTGTCATAGATAGCTCTTATTATTTTGAGATACGTCCCATCAATACCTACTTTATTGAGAGTTTTAAGCATGAAGAGTTATTGAATTTTGTCAAAGGCCTTTTCTGCATCTATTGAGATAATCATGTGGTTTTTGTCATTGGTTCTGTTTGTATGCTGGATTATGTTTATTGATTTGCATATGTTGAACCAGCCTTGCATCCCAGGGATGAAGCCCACTTGATCATGGTGGATAAGCTTTTTGATGTGTTGCTGGATTCGGTTTGCCAGTATAATATTGAGGATTTTTGCATCAATGTTCATCAGGGATATTGGTCTAAAATTCTCTTTTTTTGTTGTGTCTCTGCCAGGCTTTGTATCAGGATGATGCTGGCCTCATAAAATGAGTTAGGGAGGATTCCCTCTTTTTCTATTCATTGGAATAGTTTCGGAAAGAATGGTACCAGTTCCTCGTTGTACCTCTGGTAGAATTCGCCTGTGAATCCATCTGGTCCTGGACTTTTTTGGTTGGTAAGCTATTAATTATTGCCTCAATTTCAGAGCCTGTTATTGGTCTATTCAGAGATTCAACTTCTTCCTGGTTTAGTCTTGGGAGGGTGTATGTGTCGAGGAATTTATCCATTTCTTCTAGATTTTCTAGTTTGAGGGTGTATGTGTCGAGGAATTTATCCATTTCTTCTAGATTTTCTAGTTTATTTGTGTAGAGGTGTTTATAGTATTCTCTGATGGTAGTTTGTATTTCTGTGGGGTCAGTGGTGATATCCTCTTTATCATTTTTTATTGCATCTATTTGATTTTTCTCTCTTTTCTTCTTTATTAGTCTTGCTAGAGGTCTATCAATTTTGTTGATCTTTTCAAAAAACCAGCTCCCGGATTCATTGATTTTTTGAAGGGTTTTTTGTGTCTCTATTTCCTTCAGTTCTGCTCTGATCTTAGTTATTTCTTGCCTTCTGCTAGCTTTTGAATGTGTTTGCTGTTGCTTCTCTAGTTCTTTTAATTGTGATGTTAGGGTGTCAATTTTAGATCTTTCCTGCTTTCTCTTGTGGGCATTTAGTGCTATAAATTTCCCTCTACACACTGCTTTGAATGTGTCCCAGAGATTCTGGTATGTTGTGTCTTTGTTCTCATTGGTTTCAAAGAACATGTTTATTTCTGCCTTCATTTCATTATGTCCCCAGTAGTCATTCAGGAGCAGGTTGTTCAGTTTCCATGTGGTTGAGCAGTTTTGAGTGAGTTTCTTGATCCTGAGTTCTAGTTTGATTGCACAGTGGTCTTTCCTGACTTTTTAATAATGGCCATTCTAACTGACATGAGATGATATCTCATTGTGGTTTTGATTTGCATTTCTCTAATGACCAGTGATGAAGAGCTTTTTTTCCTATGTTTGTTGGCCACATAAATGTCTTCTTTTGAGAAGTGTCTGTTCATATCCTTCACCCACTTTTTGATGGGGTTGTTTGTTTTTTCCTTGTAAATTTGTTTAAGTTATTTGTAGATTCTGGATATTAGCCCTTTGTCAGATGGATGGATTGCAAAAATTTTCCCCCATTCTGTAGATTGCCTGTTCACTCTGATGATAGTTTCTTCTGCTGTGCGGAAGCTCTTTAGTGTAATTAGATCCCATTTGTCAATTTTGGCTTTTGTTGCCATTGCTTTCGGTGTTTTAGTCATGAAGTCTTTGCCCATGCCTATGTCCTGAATGGTATTGCCTAGGTTTTCTTCTAGGGTTTTTATGGTTTTAGGTCTTACGTTTAAGTCTTTAATCCATCTTGGGTTAATTTTTGTATAAGGTGTAAGGAAGTTGCACTTTTCTGCATATGACGAGCCAGTTTTCCCAACGCCATTTATTAAATAGCGAATCCTTTCCCCATTGCTTGTTTTTGTCAGGTTTGTCAAAGATCAGATGGTTGTAGATGTGTGGCGTTATTTCTGAGCTTCTGTTCTGTTCCATTGGTCTATATCTCTGTTTTGGTACGAGTACCACGCTGTTTTGGTTAGTGTAGCCTTGTAGTAGAGTTTGAAGTCAAGTAGCGTGATGCCTCCAGCTGTGTTCTTTTGGCTTAGGATTGACTTGGCAATGCGGGCTCTTTTTTGGTTCCATATGAAATTTAAAGTAGTTTTTTTCTAATTCTGTGAAGAAAGCCGATGGTAGCTTGATGGGGATGGCATTGAATCTGTAAGTTAGTTTGGGCAGTATGGCCATTTTCACCATATTCATTCTTTCTATCCATGAGCATGGAATGTTCTTCCATTTGTTTTCTCTCTTATTTCCTTTAGCAGTGGTTTGTAGTTCTCCTTGAAGAGGTCCTTCACATTGCTTGTATGTTGGATTCCTAGGTATTTTATTCTCTTTGTAGCATTTGTGAATGGGAGTTCACTCATGATTTGGTTCTCTGTTTTTCTATTATTGGTGTATAAGAATGCTTGTGATTTTTGCAGATTAATTTTGTATCCTGAGACTTTGCTGAAGTTGCTTATCAGCTTAAGGAGATTTTGGGCTGAGACGATGGGGTTTTCTAAATATACAATCATGTCATCTGCAAACAGAGACAATTGACTTCCTCTCTTCCTATTCGAATACCCTTTATTTCATTCTCTTGTCTGATTGCCCTGGCCAGAACTTCCAATACTATGTTGAATAGGAGTGGTGAGAGAAGGCATCCTCGTCTTGTGCTGGCTTTCAAAGGGAATGGTTCCAACTTTTGCACATTCAGTGTGATATTGCCTGTGGGTTTGTCATAAATAGCTGTTATTATTTTGAGATACGTTCCATCAATACCTATTTTATTGAGAGTTTTTAGCATAAAGTGGCGTTGAATTTTATCGAAGGCCTTTTCTGCATGTATTGAGATAATCATGTGGTTTTTGTCATTAGATTTCAAGCAGAACTGGGAAAAGCCAAAGAGTTGTGGTGGGCTGAAGAGCACTTCCTGCCCAATGCATAGATGGCCAAGGCTGGCAGACAGGACCAGAGGCCACAGAAGCAAAGGAACTGTGACACATCAGGATACATAAGTGACGGGGGTCATGTGGTGGAGAATCTCGTGTAAGAGATTGCAGGGGGAACACTGAGGAGGCTGTGTAGCAAGCACACTAAACTCATTTAAAGGCTTTGCAATCTAAAAAGCCAAACCAAACCAAACAACCCACTGTACTTATAAACAAGTCTGCAGTGATTCTGGCCCTCCAATCACCAGTTTTCATATTCTGTCCAGCAGTCGTGTCCCCATGAAACAGGGGCTTAAAGCTGGAGGCAAGGAGACCAATTAGGAGGCTGTGTGGGGACAACAATGAGGGTCAGGACTAAGAGAGTGACAGTGGGGTAGAATCTGATGTGCAGTTAAGAAATAAAAAAATTCTGTAAATTACTAAACAGCTGGATTTTAAATCTGCTCATATCACTTCCTTAATTATCACTTGCCATGGGGGCAAAGAGACGCATCAACTAAGCATTATCCATAGGTCTGCTTCTGAAGCTTCTAAAATTCAAATGGATGAAATTACTTTCTGTAATCCTTGTGATTTAACTGCGTGCAGCCTCACAGCCAGCAAGGGAGGGGGCGGGGAGGAGTGAGGATGGTTAAATAAAAACAGTTCTATTTCTGGCATGCTTTAATGACAACCTTGTCTTAGAAATATTTTTTTTTGTGCAATGTCTTTTCAGTGTCATTGAAAGTGTTTTTAATTTCAAAGAGAGGCTGTGGCACGGGATGTTAATCAATGAAATTCTGGCACGCTTTTCTATGAACAGGGCTCGTTATTTATATTTACCAGTGACAGAGATGAGTTCTTCAACCCAGGCAATATTATCATTCATGCCTGGTTAATTAAGGAAGAAACAAATGCCTTAGGAAACTCATCCTGATATTAGAGGGAGGGAGAAGGACCTATTTTAGGTCTTGGGATATTTCATTTCCCCAAAGCCCTCCCTGTGAGTCACAGGACAGAAATTGGAGGCAGAGAAAGCAGAATAGCATAGTCGTCCAGACTAAAAAATAAGTTTTGGCTGAAAGACTGGATAATGGCATTTATGTATTCCTTGCTTGTGAGGTTCTGCAGTGCTTTCTGTTATGTATGCATGGGATGCAGCAGGCAATGCCAGCGTTTTTGTTCCTCTGAATTCCTGTCGTTGGACACTGCCAGGATTTAGGGTAGGGTCAGCCCTGGGCCATTTTAGCCCCAATAAAGGTCTGTTTTATTAAAGGCCTGCTTGTCCCTTGCCTGTTTACTGCTGCCTAATACAACACGTTCTTTATCTCTTTTTGGCTCTGCCCCAAAGAAAGCAGGGAGGCTTGTTGCTGCTTGGATTCCAGTTTCTGTCTCCAGTCTGGTCTTGTGGGGTTTAGGGGCTGGAAATGGGGAAGAGCTAGAGCACAGCATTTAGGATTGAGTTTTATACTATTCGGTACTCCAATTATGAAAACAACGATGATGATGCTTCTGACCTGCCCTGTTGGGCTGTTTCTTCCCCATCCTTTTGGTGAGTAGCTGTGCTGTGTCATTCTCATGCTCCCCTGTCCTTCTGGTGATGACGAGGCCCATGTTGGAACCTACAGAAGTGAGAAGTGAAGACTGTGACCCTGGAGGGTGTTGCACTGGGAAAACTAGCTGGTATATTGGGAATGTGAGCTATGAGTTTATCTGAATTTTAACCATGTTCTCACTAACTTATCTGGTCCTGAGGGTCACCAAGCTAACAGGCTGGGTCAACCATCAGCAGAGCCAGCTTCCTGAGCATGTGATCTACGAAGTCACACAGGCTCTGCACTTAAAAATAAAAAGCCCTCCCCCTGGTTTAAGTTCTGCTACCATCATCTGGAAATTTCTTAAGACCTTTTAAACAAAGGGTCCACATTTTCTTTTTGCACTGGCCCTTGCAAACCATGTAGCCAGTCCTGACTGTAAGATCAGATCTTCAAACAGTCCTAATACAGTCGATTGTGAAGATAGTTTAGCTTTTAGGCTTCCCCAGCAGTATTACAATTTCCAGAGGATTAAAGGAAGCACCTGAGGCAGTGAGAAGGAACACCTGCTGAATCCTGAGATCTATCTACAGTACAGGAGCCAGGCTCATTGATTCTGTCGAAAGGCAAAGTGTGATGCAGCCTTGAACATGCCCATCCCAGCAGTGCTAGGGTGCTCAGAGAAGAGGGTGATTGGCAGTGGCAGATGCAGCTGTGCGGTCAAGGAGGAGAAGCATAAAGAGGCTTTTTAATATGCCCTCAAAGAAGTAATTGGAGACCTGGAGAAACTGTAGAAGAGAAGAGTACAAGCTGGCTGGAATCCAGAGGAGAATTCCACAAGTGGAATTGGAGATAGCAAGAAAGAGACCATGTTAGAGGAATTTAGAGTGGGTGAGAGTTGGTGAGGGCTGAATATTTGTGGATGGGTAGCCTGTACCTGTCTGAAGGTCACTGGAAGGCAGTGAGGGCAGAGGGAAAAAGTGATGAAGGAGTAGGGAAGAAGAACATAGTCTGGAAAACTGACGCTGCAAAGGAGAAGTTAGAGAGGGAGTAGATATTACAAAGGATCCAGCATGTATCTGAGAGTCTCCATATCCTCACCTCTCAATTGGTAAGACTCTGAGCAGCAAAGGAGTGCGACTGAAGGAAGGCTGCTTCTGCAAATCTAGTCTGGAAACATCTGCAGCAAAATCACATATGGTGCTTATTACAAATGTATTTTCTAGATCCCATCCTGGACCTTCACTATCAGGTCCCTTGAGGACTTGGAGTTGGGAGGGCAAGAATCAGGCTTTTAAACAAGAGTTTCAAATAAATCCTGATGAAATTCAACCTTTAAAAGAAAGACGACGGAGGAATACAGCTAAGGCAGATTTTGGAGGCCTGACCATATGGCACAGTGATGCTGAGGCTGAGTGAAGAAGGAAGAGGTGTAAGCACAGGTAGCCCAGGCCTGCTAGTATGGAGGCCAGCCTAGCCTGAGATAACAGCAATGTCCCTCTGTCACAGAGGGAGGTTCCTGCCTGCAAAGTCCCCAAAGGGACTTCCTGCCAACCACATTCCTACCACCCCTTACCTTGCTGGAAGTGACTGTTTCCTGCAATCAGCAAGTGGGATAAAGAATTTCCAGTAAAGACTATGCTTCTGAAAGTTGAAGTCTGGTCTATCTTGCTTTTGTAAGATTATGCTTGCTTCTTAGATTCAGCCTCTTACACTGTTTCCCTAGCTGCCAGGTTCCTGTTCTCTTTCAAATCCTTGATTAATCCCTGATTGATGTTTCACTAATCAACTGATGATTTCTTCCAGACAGACTAGTTTTGCTCCTCTGCTGTCTGATCCTTAGAGAACTTCTCAAAGTATCAGTCATGTCATAATTTCTGAATGTTTTCAACAGCTCTCCTTCTCAAACTTGAACATGCAGACAAATCACCTGGGAAGGCACATTCTGGTTTAGTGGATGTGGGATAGGATCTGAGATTCTGCTTTTCTCATTCTAGCAAGCTCCTGGGTGATGCTCACGCTGCTGGTCCATGGACCACACTCTGAGTAGCAAGGTTTTCAAAATTTTTCCACTTGTATTAAGGGTTTGAAAGCAACATCCATTGCTTATGACAGTTGTGTTTTAAATGCAAATGTTATTTCTTTTTATTCTAGGTGGATGAATTGAGTGAATTAACTCTCTAAAACTAAAGCTTTGGAATTATGGCAATTATTTTACAATAGTAATACTTGAGGATGGAGAAGGTGGTCATTATTAAACATACATCCTAGGATTTTCTGTCAGTAAATCCTTCCACTTTTTCCTAATGGTCCTGCTCACACCATTCCTGCATTTCTCAGCTTTACACAGCAAAACTCTTGGAATGATCTATATTTATTCGGAGGTGTCTTCATTTCCACTCTCTTTTTAAGTGTCTAAAGTGGAATTCTGTTTTCACAATTTTACTGAAATTGCACATTTTAGGACATCAGCAATCTCTCAGTCACTGGATCTAATGGCTCCTCAGCCTCAATTTGCTTTTCTTCTCTAAGGTATGTGATGCTATTTGCCTTACTCTTTCTTCCCTTGGCTTCCTGACCATTAGTATATACTAATTCACCACCTGCCTCACCACAGTTAGATCTTCTTTACTATCTCCTTTTTCTGTACCCATCCCAATTGCACATGCCAAGGCAGGGACCTACATCCAGGGCTGTTCTTTGCCTACCCTCATTCTTTTGGAGATCTCATCTATTCACATGGTCTTAACTATTTGCACCAGGCAAATGTCCACCAAAGCCTCAACCTCCAGTGCTGACCTCTCCTTGCAGCTCTAGCCTTCATGTTTAATTGCCCACTCCATGTCTCCACTGTTACCTTTAAACTCTTTCTTCCACCCAATTTCCCTAGCTGTTTGTAGCAAGTATGAATTTTAATCATAAACTCAAAAGGTCAAGAAACATCACATTACTTATTTTTCTTTAAATTAATATAAATCTGACTCTGCAATCCCTTTCTCCCAAGCTGGCAGGAAGTTCAATTCATTTATCATAAGGGCAAGGCCCCATCTTTTTTTTTTTTTTTTTTTTTGAGATGGAGTCTCACTCTGTCACCCAGGCTGGTGTGCAGTGGTGCGATCTCGGCTCACTGCAACTTCCACCTCCTGGGCTCAAGTGATTCTCCTGTCTCAGCTTCCTGAGTAGCTGGGACTACAGGCGCATGCCACCATGCCTGGCTAATTTTTATATTTTTAGTAGAGACGGGGTTTCACCATGTAGGCCAGGCTGATCTTGAACTCCTGACCTCAAGTGATCTGCCCTCCTTGGCCTCCTAAAGACCTGGGATTACAGGCATGAACAAATACCAAATGCCAGATCTCCTCAAAAGGGGCATGAGGAAAATTTTTGGGGTGATAGATATGTTCACTATCTTTATTAACATGATAGTTTCTTCATTTATACCTAAATAGAGCTGTTAAAATAATTTAAAAATACTTTTGTAAAATATTTCAAAAGTGCAGATAAACAAAGGATACTATAACAAACATCCGTGTACCCACTACTAAGTTTTGACAGATCTTAACATTTTTCTACGGTTCCTTTAGATTTAAATCATTAGATATACCTGAAACTTCTATGATCCTTCCTAATCCAATTTCCTTTTTACCTCCCTTACTCCAAATGCAAGCATTATCCTGACTTTAATGATTGTGGACCTCATGCGGGTTTGAGATGCTTTGTTTGTATGCCCATAGATAATACATAGTATACTTGCATATGGTTTATATATTGGAAATCTTAACGTAAATGGTAACTTCCTCCCAAAACTTCTTCTTTATATTCAACACTGTTTTTTGAAATGTATCCATGTTTCTCTAGTTCATTCATTTAGCAGTCCATTTTGTGAATATACACAATGTATTTAAACATCCTACCCTTGGATTTTTAAGCTGTTTCCAATTTTCCAGTCTTACAAACAACTTTGCCCTTCTGCATCCTTACACCTTTTTCCTTGGGCCTATATGTGAGTATATACCTAGATGTTTTCTGGGAATCTTCAGTTTTACTAGCTAGAGCTAAATGGCTCTCCAAAGTGGATTATATTCACATAGCAGTTAGCATTTCCATTGCTCCTTATCCATACACACTTCTAAATGTGAGACATGGGAATCTTCAACTCCTCCTCCTGGGAGGACCTATCTTTAGTTTTCTCCAGGTGCACCTTACAGCCCTCCTCTCTGAATTTAGCCACCTTCCTGGAAGGCAGCTGGGAGCTGAGACGGGTGCACGCTTCTCATGGGACTCTCTTCCTAGTCTCTTCAAATCCACCTCTGCTGCCTTCTCTTCCCCTGACATTGAAAAAACTCCTTTCTCAGCTATTATTGGTCATCATTCTGGGATATCCACCACCATCCCTTGGTGAGCTTCATCTTTTAAAAAAGACAGGTAGAGCTGACAGCTCTTCAGACAAAGAAATAGGAAAGGCCTCCCTGCTTTTGTGGAATTAGTGGGGGGTTGGAGATGGGGAAGGAGTAAGATGCAATATGACATCTCAAAAACTATACTCCCCATAAAAATGGTACTTTATCACCCAGAAGCCAAACCCCATGACCCATTTATACAGTTCTGACATCCAGTCTTCCCTTTCTGTCAATTCTTCATTAAAATGCTCTTCTTAGTCTGTGCACTAACCCTATTCTAGACCTTCATCTCACAGTCAGCACCAGGCTTCCATCTTCTCTTCCCGCTCCACTCACCCTCATACTCCAATGCCTTTCTTCAAATGAGCACCAGAGTGATTTTCTTAGAAGACCACTTTGAACATTTCAGTATCTTGCTTAGAGGCTTTTAAAGCCTCCCTCTTGCCTGCAAGGTAAGGTTCAGACTTCCTAACCTGACAGTCATGACCTGTTTCAATCTGGTCCTATCTAGACTTAACTCCTTGTCCTTCCTATATGATGAACCCTCTGCTCTGGCTGGCTGGTCTCCTTCATCCTCCAAATAGCTCCATCACTTTTCAGCTGCTTCTCCTCCTTGACGGACACTTTCCTTTTTTTCAGGCTTAGACCCAGCTCCTCCTGCTCCACCCAGCTTCTATAACTCTAGACCACTGCTATCTTTTAAACTCAAGCTGTTTCTTACATCCAGGTCAAGTATTTGGGCAGTTAACCCCAGTTTGCTTTAGGACAGTTTTGTTTTCACATATGTATTTATGTTTGTCTCGGCATTTAAGGTTATTATTTTCCTAATGTATGTTACATAGATATTAGTTCCTGCAGCTGCCCAAAACAAAAAAGTTAATTGTGTTTGAATAATTTTAGAATTATTTGGGGTATGCTTTAGGAAAGACTGCATACCATACCCCTCTCTAGAAGGTTCACATTGTGTGTGAGCATAGTAAAAGATCTGAAAAGTGCTGTGCCAATTAAAACAGCTTGATTATTTTCTGATTCTTAATTACCAAGAAAATCTTTTTGTCTTATAATAATATTAATATTCCTCAGATTTTAGTGCTCCTCAGAGGAGTCTTTGGAAAGCATGGAATTAAATTAGAAACTCCTTACCCATCATTTTAATCCTACCATGGTGGCTAGCCCAGTGACTTAGTACTTAGAAGGTGCTCAGGGAATATTTGGGGATTTGGTGAATAATCACGAATGTTTTAGTCAATTACTGAGCTAAACTCTTCTAAGAGTTTCTTTCTGTGCAGTCTTTAGAATGCTGTAAAACAAATAAATAACCTTGCTTCCATTTCTTATTAAATTTATTGGCACTAGACTGTGAAACTAATGGAATTTCTGGGTCTTCTATATGCTTCTGTGTCTGCTTGAGAAAGATAATCTGTGCTTGTACACAGTGGGAACATAAAAACTTCACAGAATTTTCCACTCCCAGCACACCAGACCCAGGGTTGGCTTCTTGTCATTTAAATGCCTGCCTTGTCATTTTATTTGACTCAGAGAAATCATTCAGAGAGAAGCTCAGGAACCGTCTGGACTCCCTGAAAAGGAACTGACTCAGAACTTTTCTACAGATGAATTATATTTCTAGGTCTCATTGTTTTTCACATTTGTGGGTTTGGATGTGCTTTTACCAGCATGTTGGATAGAAAAAGTAATGGCGGTTTGAATCCGAATCTGAGATAGCAAAAGAAAAATAACTGCAATTAGTTCAACAGCTAAAATTTTGGTAGACTTACTAGTAACTCAAAAGGTTGACCTCAGAATTCAAAAGTAAGAGTAAAAATTTGAACCTAAACTTTGACCTTGGAATTCAAAAATGAAAGGAGATTTTAGAGAGGCTTGACAATAAGTTAGTGATTTTTTAAAATGTTAGTATAACTTTTTTTCTTAAAAATTTTAATGGGTTGGGAAGCTGCGGCAGGTGGATCACCTGAGGTCAGAGGTTTGAGATCAGCATGGCCAACTTGGTGAAACCCCGTCTCTGCTAAAAATACAAAAATTAGCTGGGCGTGGTGGCAAGTGCCTGTAATTGCAGCTACTCAGGAGGCTGAAGCAGGAGAATCACTTGAACCCGGGAGGCAGAGGTTGCAGTGAGCCAAGATCACGCCACTCCACTACAGCCTGGGTGACAGAGCAAGACTTCATCTCAAAAGAAAAAAAATTCATGGATTAATGTAAATATAGATATAAAAATAAATTATATACATTATATTATGCATATTACCACATTATACAATACATAATGTATTATCTATGTATTATTGTGTATATATATATATGGAAGAGTATAGAGCAAAACCTTTCCTTCCCAAGTCTGTCTCCCACCACTCAGCCCTCCCCAGAGGCATCCCTTTCTAAAAGATGCTTTTAAGCCTTCTAGAGATACACTGTGCATATCTAAGTATATGTTTATGCAATACCAAATGGCGTTATACAATTTACACTTCTTAACCTTGCTCTTAATATATATATATAGGAGAGGCGTTCTTTTCAGTAGGTATGGAGCTGCTTCTTTTTTTATTGCTTCAGTGGATGCCATTGTTTGGGTCTATTATCATTTATTTTATTTCCATATTAATGGACATTTAGATTATTTCAAATCATCTGCTATTATAAATGATGCTATAATGAATATTCTTATATACACATGTGTGTATATATATGTCCTTTCACAAGTGTGAATAAGGGTAGGTAATGAATTCTTAGATTTAGAAATGTCTAGGTCAAGGCATATATGTATTTTTTATTTTAATGGATCCTGCCAATTTGCACTCCTTAGCAGTCGTGCCAACTTAAAATTTCACCACCAATGTATGACAGTGCCAAGTTCCCAACACCTTTGCCTACACAGTGTATTATATATATGAAGTTCTTGTTAACTTTTCCTATATTATAGGTGAAAAACATTGTTTATAAATTGGATTTCTCACATGCTAAGTGAAGTCAAGCATTTTTATAGGTAGAAACCTATAATATTTCCTCTTCTGAGAATTATGCATATTCTTTGTTCATGTTCCTTTGGATGTTGTCTCATTGTTGATTCATGGGAACTCTTTATATACAGTCTGTGATACAGGTTGAAATAATTGACTTTAATTTCCAGTGCTAGTTCCTGAAAAAGACATTAGGCTATGATCTTTTCCAAAGTGACTCTCTCCTCAACCCTGACTTCTTAAAGATATACAATAGAAATGACTTCAGGGAAGATCAGTTTGCTTCCTTCTAGCTCGGCTTCATAAAAATTTTCCCAACAAAGCAAAACTAAACTTACATATCAGTACGTTCTGTATTATCTTTCCAAACTTAGCCAGTGGATTTAATGGGAATTGCTTTTCTGGGAAATGGTATCCTCCCATGACTTGTTTACATTCTAGCACAAGTAGGCTGCATACCCACCATGGCTGGTAGGATTTATTCAAATAACCTACCATTCCTTCTAGACCAGAGGTTACAAATTGGCCACCCAAGGGCCAAATGCAGCCACATATGTTTTATTTGGCCAGCCTGCTGTTTAGAAAAAAAACGAATTTGTTGCCCACATTAAAGAACAGTGGATGATTTTACAGGAATATCTAGATTTCTGACTTCTCTTGAAAAATCACAAGATCAGGAACATTGCATTTCCACATGACAACAGTTGGCTGGAGCTTGTGGGAATCTGCCCCGTTCATAAACCATGCACTTCCATACATTTTTTTAAGTTTTTTAGAAATAAAAATAGAGACGAGGTCTCACTGTATTATCCAGCTGATCTCAAACTCCTGAGCTCAAGCGATCCTCCCACCTCAGCCTCCCAAAGCATTAGGATTACAAGCATGAGCCTCTGCCACCTGGCCTCCATGTTTTGTTTTGTGGTTTTTGTTTTTGTTTTTGTTTTTTTGACACAGAGTCTCACTCTGTCACCCAGGCCAGAATACAATAGTGTGATCTTGGCTCACTGGAACCTCCACCTCCTGGGTTCAAGCGATTCTTCTGCCTCAGCCTCCTGAGTAGCTGGGATTACAGGCGCCTGCCACCATGCCTGACTAATTTTTGTATTTTTAGTAGAGATGGGTTTTCACCATGTTGTCCAGGCTGGTCTCAAACTCCTGACCTCAGGTGATCTGCCTGCTCGGCTTCCCAAAATGCTGGGAACAGGCCTGAGCCATGGTGCCCAGTCTGTTTTATGGGTTTGTTTGTTTGTTTGTTTTTTGAGACAGGCTCTCACTCTGTCACCCAGGCTGGAGTGCAGTGGCATGAACACAGCTCACTGCCACCTTGACCTCCCAGGCTCTGTTGATCCTCCCACTTCAGCCTCCCAAATAGCTGGGACCACAGACATGTGCCATCACACCTGGCTAGTTTTTGTATTTTTTGGTAGAGACAGAGTTTCACCATATTGCCCAGGCTAGTCTCAAACTCCTGGGCTCAAATGATCCTCCCGCCTTGGCCTCCCAAATTGCTGAGATCACCTCCATGTTCTTAAAGCAAGTCTGCTTTATTTATTTGTCACCTGCTGCTGGCTCCTGGAGATCTTTGCCTTTGGGAACCTCTAAGCCTTTGCTTCCAGAATTTTCCTCTGTCTCTCCCCTTCAATTACAAGAAGAAAGAAAAATCCTCCCAGGTGTCACATCTCTTTCAGACTCAGGTCTTTTCCACTTCTCTACCCCAGGCTCCTGCCCTTTCTTCTTTGAAAAGCTCGTTTCCTGCATCCCAGAGTGTTTACTTGCACTTTGTCCCATGTCCTCACACTTCCCTTTCAGCATTTTCCTTAGCAATTCAGCCTATACTTTCCAAAATAATTTGGGATGAGAAAAGTCTGCTCCACTAGGGCATGAATTTTAACACAGTTAAACAGACTCTAACAAAGTTTTGAGAAAGATGAATGAAACTTAGTTTTGAAGCTCCTTTTGGGCACTAATGAATGCTTTAACATGAAAATGTTTTCTAGGATGGAGTATATCGACCCAGGATTGGTTTGCTCCTCTTCGTCCCAATTGCCTCTCTCTTAGTTCAAGTTCTGGTCAGCTTCCACCCGAACTATGACCTCAGCCTCATAATGAATCTCCATGTTGCCAGTCTCTATTCTTCAGTTCTATTTGTGACATAATTTTTTAAAGCTTGAACATGAATCTTATCTTATCAACCCCCATTTCTCTTAACAACCTTTGATGATTCCCTGTTACCTAGAGGAGATGCCTCATACCAACAAGACTCACAAAGTCTTTTAGAATCGGGCCCTAGGACCTTATTTTCGACCCATTTGTAAACCTGGTGGCCCAACTACATCAGACTCTTCTCTATTCTCTGAGACCACCAAGAACATGATGTCCACATGCTGCTGCAAATGGTGCTCCCTTTAATTGAAATGCTGTATTTCTGCTCTTTTATCTAGCATGTCCTTATTTTTCCTTCAAAATCCAAGGCAATGTCATGTCCTCTGTGGAATCTTCCATCTTCTCCTACTTGGTTCCTCCCTCATCTGTATTTCTGTAATACTTCTCATAATTATTTAAGATGTTTTTCTCCCTCATTAGACTGTAAGCTCTTGGAGGGCATGAAGCTTATTTATCTTACAAGGATCAGTCACAGTGTCTGATATATAGTGAGTGTTCACTAAATGCTTAGTGACTGAAAGAAGAAGCCATTAACACCTTAACTCAGGGGTCCCCAACCCCCAGGCCACAGACCAGTACTGGTCCGTGACCTGTTAGGAACTGGGCCACACAGCAGGAGGTGAGTGGCAGGTGAGCTTCATCTGTATTTACAGCCACTCCTCATTGCTCGCACCACCTGAGCTTCACCTCCTGTCAGATCAGAGGTAGCATTAGATTCTTATAGGAGCACAAACCCTATTGTCAACTGTGTATGAGAGGGATTTAGGTTGCACACTACCTTGTGAGAATCTAATGCCTGATGACCTGTCACTGTCTTCCATCACCCCCAGATGGGACCGCTGAGTTGCAGGAAAACAAGCTCAGGGCTCCCACTGATTCTACGTTATGGTGAGTTGTATAATTATTTCATTATATATTATAATGTAATAATAATAGAAACAAAGTGCACAATAAATGTAATGTGCTTGAATCATCCCGAAACCATCCCCCACCCGTGAAAATTGTCTTTCATGAAACTGGTCTCTGGTGACAGAAAGGTTGGGAACTGCTGCCTTAACCCCTATGACTAGGCAGTTAGTCATTTGGTAGCTTCTAGAAAGTACGTTGTCCTCTTTTTTCAGTGAGCAGTATCTTCCTAACTGTAAACCTGATCAAGCCACTAATTTCAATTGTTTTCCACTGACCCCGATGTAAAGACATAGTCTTACATAGTTCCTCATCATGGTGTACATCATCCTTCATGATCTGTTCCTTTACCTACCATTCCAGCTTCAGTTGTTGTCATCCTCCAACTTTTCTCCAACTATACTGAAACATTTCAATGCCCTGAAGCAAACCCTACTCTCTAAGTCTGAGCCTTAGCATTTGCTCCTTGCTCTGCCTAGAAGGTCTTTCCTGCCTTTTCCTTCTCCTCCATGGCTGTACATGCAGGACAGACAGATTGAAGGAGGCCTCTCTGAGTTCTTTTGCCTTGGACTGGACTAGGCTAAGTGCTCTTCATGTCCTCCCATGGCACTTATCATGCTGTGATCTCTGTCTCTGCTGTAGTCCCAGCTCTACCCCCACTCTAAGCTCCTCTGGGACAAAAATTGTCTTTTTCACCTTTTTACCAATGATGGGTGCATAGGCTATGGCATAAACTAGATGTTCAATAAATGTCTGATGAGTAAAACATCATGATAAAGTGAAAGAAATCTGATATATACAATTTACGCAACTATGTGAATGCTTAACTCTCTCATTTGCCATTTGAAGAGATTCTTTTAAAATTAATATATGCAATAGTCAGCATAGTCAAGAAATAGAAATCCTGCTAGGTATTTCAAACAGAGGGGATTTAATACAGGGAATTTTTTCACAGATGTTGGAAGGCTGGAAGAGCAAAACAGGAAGTTGAAGCAACTGGTTATTAATACTTGTTGGAAGAAGTTATTTCCCCCAGGGCTGAGGTAAAGCAGCTACCACCCTGAGGACACTAGACAAAAAGTGAGATTACCAGAACCTAGTTGCTCAGAAGGAGAAAGGGAAAGAAATTCAACCATATTAAAGACACACATGATTGTAGGATACATCCCAATGCCAAAAATGTTAAAATGTAAAGGAAAAAAAAGACATGGTATTAACTGATAGACTGTCAAGAATATGAAAGAAATCCAGGCTGGCTAGGGGAATCTAGTACGTTTAGTCATATGAAATTGTGAATATTTTTCCATTTTGGCCTATATAAATGAGTTTCATATGTTTCAACCTAATATTTGGGGAGGCAAGAGGCTAACTGTAGAGTACCCTTGTCCTGGGCTTCTATCTCTCCGAGGTCCATTGTCCTGAGCTGTCCCTTCTCTTCATAGCTTCACCCACTCTCCTTCTGAAATTCATGGTAATAAGTTTATATGTGCTCAGGGGCTGGAGGACTTGAGGGCAGTGCAAAAACAACCATTTGAAAACATTAGTAATTTTAAAGTCAGATATTCTTAAGAAGGGGTTACATAAGTACAAAAAAGAACAAGTAGCATTTTATTGAATGTTTACAATCCTCCTCTGCCAAGTGTTTATCACATTATCATATTCATTTTATTCCCCAACAAACTCAGCTATGCAATAAGAGCTGACTCTTTTACGGTGCTTAATATGTAACAGTCATCATTTTAAGCCTGTTGACTTAAACTTGACTCATGCACTTGCTTCTCTTTATAAGCCTGTAAGGTAGGTGTTAGTTTGAATCATTTGAAATCACTGACATTCGACTGTTTTTGACCTACAAAATAGCAGTTTAAAGTAGTTCAATTTAATACAATCATTTTTGAAGAAATGACTACAGAAGAAGAAATTGAGGCATATGGCGGTTAAATAACTTTCCCAAGGTCGCGCAGCTGGTAAGTGGAGGAGCCAGGATTCAAACATAGGCAGTCTGTGCTCTAAACTATTACACCCTACTGCCTGTCCATGGGTACCATTTTATCCTCATTCACAAATGAGTGGAAACTGAGGCTTTGGACAGTTAAGTTACCTTGGCCAGAGCCCCAGAGCTGGGAAATGGTATAGCTGGCCTTCTGGGTCTAACTCCAGAGCCTCCGCTCTGCCCATGTATTATTCCACAGCCATGAATTCCCTGCAAGGAGTGCCTGGAATGGAAAGGGGGTGAATTCTCCTGGCTAATTACTCGGATATATTCATCATCCTGGTTGAGTAGATATTTGCAAAGCTATTTTATTAGATATAACTGAAAATATTGCCTCATAGATTCCCCCAACCCCACCCCAGAAAGATAACAGATATAATGCAAATAATGACATTGCAAATTACCACTGGGGTTGTCTAGACCCTTCTTCCAAAGGCCACCATCAATACATTCTGGATTCCTTTTTGGGAACTGACTTCCAAGCAACGTGCTCACATGTTGAAGATTCTCAGCATGGAAAGATTCCCCTTTCTTCTACTTCCTTTTTTATAAATCCTGGATTTATTAAGCACATCCTGTGTGACAGGCCTTGTGTTAATTGATGAGGATTCAGCAGCAAATAAAATGGACACGGCCTGCTTTCACTGTGTTTTCAGCCTATCAGGGAGGAAAGACATTATAGGAATATTAACAATAATATGTTTTGATGGAGTAATACAGGGAGCTCCGGGATCATAGAGCTGGGAGATTTAATTCAGTCTGGGGCAGTGGTACCCAAAGTGTGGCCTGCAGACCAGCACTATTGAGAATACCTTGGAGGCTGTTTAAATGCAAATTCTTGGGCCCCATCCCAGACCTACTAAATCACAATTTGGTGAAGGGGACAGAGATGGGAAGAGGGAATTTATAGTTGAAAAAGCTCTCCAGGTGATTCTCATGCATACTGAAGTGTGAGAAGCCCTGCCACCCGGGTCTGCATGGTCTAAATAGGGAAGTAACATTTACTCAGTCTGGAAGGGTGAGTAGGTCAGATGCAGGAAGGTGAGAGAAGGCTGTTCTAGCCTGAAGGGAAAGTCTGTGCCAAGATCAGGAAGTCCAAGAAAACCAGATCCATGGGAGGAGCTGGTGGTATGTGGGGAACACAGGGGTTAGAGATGAGGAGCCATAGAAGGAAAAAAGAGAAACAGAAGGTGGGAGAATGGGATCCTATGAGCTCTCATAAAAAATAAGGTGAGGAAGGAATAGTAAGATGAAGTGTAAGTGACCAAACTTACACTAATCTTATAATAACCCAGCTGTAAAAGCAACATCATAATTTAGAGAGAGTCAACATCTCTGAGGCTACTCTTAAGAGAATTAAGGACTCCATGAACATTTGCTGTTGAGCTGTGTGTGGGAAGAACTGCCAATCAGTCCTCACTCCCTTTCCCTTTCCCACAGAAGCAGACACTCTGAACCTAAATTAAACCAGTTTGAGTTAAATGAGTTCTTCCTGGTCTTTCTAGGGAGCATTTGTTAATGGGTTGCCCCAGGTGGAACCAGAGGGCTTAGTTGTCTTGCCAGGGAGAAAACAGGTGTCTCTCAATGTGAATTCAGACCACACTCTCCCTGAGACAGTCCATGTGCCTAATTTAGCAGGTCCGTGACTAAAAGGGCTGCTATGCCTGCAGCTTGAAATTAAATGGAATTGTGGCCCAAAGGAGCCACATCTATCCATGGTGATGGTATTAAAAAACAAAACAAAACAAAAAGATTTGGGTGGCAATGGGCATTTCTGATCACCCAGCAGCGCTATTTCAGACTGAAAGCAAACTTGAGGCCTTGCATGGGGAAGAAGGATGAATCCAAAGAATAAGACTTCTCCATGTAGGTAAGAATGGGGAGTCCAGGTGCTGTGGCTTTCGCCTGTAATCCCAGCACTTTGGGAGGCCAAGGTAGGAGAATGAGGAGTTCGAATTCAGCCTGGGCAGCATAGCGAGACCTTGGCTCTACGAAAAAATTAAAAAATTAGCTCAGCATGGTGGCAAGTACCTGTAGTCCCAGCTATGTGGGAGGCTGAGGCAGGAGCATTGCTTTAGCCTGGGAGAGCAAGGCTGCAGTGAGCTATAATTGTGTCACTCCACTCCAGCCTGGGCAACAGAGTGAGAGCCTGTCTTGAAAAAAAAAAAAAAAAGAAAAGAAAAAGAAAGAAAGAAAAAGAAAAGAAAAAAAAAGGGTGGGGAGGTGGACAAAAATTTAGACAATACTTAAGGTGATTGGGGAGGGGGCTCAAAGTAAACCAAGTCAGGAGTGGGAGAGAACCAGGGAGAGGAACTCACTGAGGAGAGGAGTCTAAGTTTTCAGGTACCCATACTGTGAAAACTCAAGAAAGTTAAAAGTAAGTGAGACCTCTAGCCTTACGGAATGGCATGGTCAATGTCAGAAGAGAATTGGAATGAAGGTGGGGGTCCTTACCTATAATTCCCTCTGACATTGACTTACTGTTCTGTGCTTTCATGTGTCCATGTCTACAAAGCCTAGTGTGGAGAGTGAAAAGGCAGAAAAATGGAGCACTGCCCACCTGTATCCTTATTTGATACAGAGGAGAAGTTGCACATCTTTGCGTGTCTGCACCCAGTGGATTCTGAGTGACCAACCAGTACCTTTGGAAAATAGATCCCTGGCAGATGTGGTAGAAGGAGTATTCCCGGAGGGTAAACTCTGGCTAAAAGTGTAAAACCAAACCCTTTTCTTACCCCATAGTTTGGACAAAATGCCCTCTGAAAGACAATAGGGGAGGCTGGACATTGGGGTAACAACTGATTGCCTTGCTGTTGCCTTGCCTCTCTAAGGAGAGGACACTTGGCACTCCAGGCCTTTGCAGATGCACATCTGAAAGTACAGAACACATGATCCCAGAGATCTGGGGCTTGCATAGCCACCTCCTCCTCAGTGGTCATTGACTATCCAGTTGGTCAGCACTCCTCACTGAGCTCTCAATATACCCAGAGCAGGAGGGCATCTAGACTCTGTGAAGATACAAAAGATAAAAAACAAGAAGACTTAGCTTCTTGGAGGAACCTGTGCACAGGGCCTAGTGGTTTGTGGGTGTTTTGTTTTTAATCAGTGACTTTTCCAGTGACAGTTTCCTTGATATATTTCAGAATCTGCTCATTTTGTACTGTTCTTCCCATCCCCCACAAGGAAGGAACAGATTCTTTACCCCCAAGTAGGGTTGCCAGATAAAATCCTGGACATACCATTAAATTTGAATTTTGAATAAATATCAAATAATTTTTTCATATAAGCGCGTCCCAAATATTGCAGAAAAATCAAATTACAGAGTGTCCTGTATTTTCATTTGTTAAACCCTACTCCCAAGGGATGCCTGTTTCTATTCTTGTGAGTGGTTCATTTTGGTTCTTTCTCTTAGGTTGAGATTAACTGGTGATCACTGGTTTTATTACATATGAAAACTTTCGGCACGGTCTTTACCGAAATGGAGGAAAAAAAGTGATTCTTTCTTAAGTTCTTTGGTTAGACTATTCAATAGGCACATTTTTTGTTCTTATCTAATATGGCAGTCTAGTAAGAAAATTGAGGAAAAATGCAGGATTACTAGCTCCCCATGAACCCCTTTCCTCCCTCTGCCCAAGTCTTAACTATACAGCATCACGATGTAAATGGAGGTAGACAAGGAGAGCACAGATGACACCAAAGCAATGCAATCTGAAACTATCAAAAGTTCCACTTCTCACACCACAAACTCCTTTGTTGGTTAGTTGTGAGTGGGTATTTATAGAACTAGCACTGTACTTTCATTTTGAGACAGCAGCTTGCTTTTAGCCTGAGCAATAATTAGATAAATTATTCCCTTCACTTCAGATTATTAGTGACTAAAACTCTGCCTAGAGATTTTTGAAACTTTGATCAGCATAAACTGGAAAAACAGTCACTTAAATGCTGCAAGTGATTTTCCATCTTGTAGGAGGTAGAGATATCAATAATCCTGCCAGGGTAGAGTCTCTCTTTATCAGACCCACCAGCCAGGTATCTTTTCACAAATGTAAAGCAAGTACCTACCCATTGCTTCTTGCTGGAAAAACAAAAAGAGGAAAGTATCAAGTTACCATCAAATGGGATGTTGTTCAGACTAGAAGCTCATTGTTCTGTTTGGAAATACAAACTGTGTGTTTGCTAGAGTCAGAGCTGCTTCTCTGCATACTTTTTTGGTCCTGGGGCTTGCTTTTTTGGGTCCAAGCTGAAGAATTGGATATAGAAAAGAGAAGAAAAGCATGAGATCCAAATCTCATGCTAAAGGAACTGGATGGAGTTTGGCACAGCTTAGCTCAGACTGGACCACTGCTGTCACATGCACGTTGTTATTTGAGACTGAATTACACAGAATGCACTGATGTTGGACTCTGATATGCAGTGATGTAATTGTCATGTTGAGGCCTACAGGGCAAGGCCACCCCCTAGTGGTAGGGGTTGGGATTGCTTCTTATGGAAGAAAAAATTACCACTGAATCATTCCAAGAAAAACCAATTATATCATGATTAGGTTAAACCTTAAATAGCAGTGGCTGAAATACACAAGGGTGTGCTTCTCTTTCTAAAAGGACATCTAGAAGTAGGCATTCGGAGCTATTCAGGTAGATCCTTGTTTCCCAAGGACTCAGGATTCCTTCTTCCTGCTTCATTAGCCTCAATGAATGGCTTGTTCTCAGGGTCACAGGATGGCTGCTGGAGCTCCAGCCATCATATCCACATTGAAGCCTAGAAGGAAGAAAGATGAAAGAGGAAAAATTAATAGCATGTGTGAGTGTATGTGTATTGGAGTGAGACCTCCTCACTGATTCTCCCTTTAAATAGCTTTTCTGACATTCCCCCAAACACTTCCACAGCTGGCTGAGGAATTGAGAAATGAAGCCTGTTATCTGGGCACTTTACCCTCCTAAGTAAATCAGGGTGCTTTTTACTAAGAAAGCGGGGGAATGAATGCCAGGCAGCAGTAGTAGTTTCTACCTCTCTGGGAAGCCAGCCTGAAACTAGAGGGACAGAGAAGTCTTTTCTCTCTCAAAGCCATTTGACAGCTGGGCCCAAACTTTCTGGTGGCAGACATGTGCTGGACTCTCATGTGGAGCTGGACCTGCTACTGAGAATGGCTCTGGTAGGTGTGTTTCAGGTAGCTGCTTTGCCAAAAGTTGAAATTACCTTTGAGGCTGAGCTTTCCTTCCATTATCCATAAGCCTTTGAAGAAGTTTTGTTAATTGTCTGGTGGTGATATGGTTCGGCTGTGTCCCCATGCAAATCTCTATCTTGAATTATAGCTCCCATAATCCCCACATGTTGTGAGAGGAACTAGGTGGGAGGTAATTGAATCATGGGGGTGAGTTTTCTCGTGCTGTTCTCATGATAGTGAATAAGTCTCATAAGATCTGATGGTTTTACAAAGGGGAGTTCCCCTGCACATGCTCTCTTGCCTGCTGCCATGTCAGACGTGACTTTGCTCCTCATTCAACTTCTGCCATGATTGTGAGGCCTCCCCAGCCATGTGGGACTGTGAGTCCATTAAACCTCCTTTTCTTTATAAATTACCCAGTCTTGGGTATTTTATTAGCAGTGTGAGAACAGACTAATACAATAAATTGGTGCTGCAGAAAGTGGGGAGCTGCTGTAAAGATACCCAAAAATGTGGAAGCAACTTTGGAACTGGGTAATGGGCAGAGGTTGGAACAGTTGGGGCTCAGAAGAAGGTAGAAAAATGTGGGAATGTTTGGAATTTCCTAGAGACTTGGAGGGCTCAGAAGATAGGAAGATGTGGGAAAGTTTGGAACTTCCTAGGGACTTGTTGAATGGCTTTGACCAAAATGCTGACAGTGATAGGGACAATAAAGTCTGGGCTGAGGTGGTCTCAGATGGAGATGAGGAGCTTGTTGGGAACTGGAGTAAAGGTCGTTCTTGCTATGCAAAGAGACTGGTGGCATTTTGCCCCTGCCCTAGAGATCTGTGGAACTTTGAACTTCAGAGAGATAACGTGGGGTATCTGGTGGAAGAAATTTCTAAGCAACAAAGCATTCAAGAGGTGGCAGGGCATAAAAGTTCGAAAATTTTGCAGCCTGATGATGCAGTAGAAAAGAAAAAACCATTTTCTAGGGAGAAATTCAAGCTAGCTACAGAAATTTGCAGAAGTAACAAGGAGCCAAATGCTATTCGCTAAGACAGGGGAAAATGTATCCAGGGCATGTCAGAGAACTTCATGGCAGCCCCTCCCATCACAGGCCTGGAGGCCTAATCAGAAAAAATGGTTTTGTGGGCTGGGCCCAGGGCCCTTCTGCTGTGTGCAGTCAAGGGTCTTGGTGCTCTGTGTCCTAGCTGCTCCAGCCATGGCTGAAAGAGGCCAAGGTACAGCTCGGGCCATGGCTTCAAAGGGTGCAAGCCCCAAGCCTTGGCAGCTTTCATGTGGAGCTTGTCCTGTGGGTGTGCAAATGACAAGAGTTGAGGTTTGGGAACCTCTGCCTAGATTTCAGAGGATGTATAGAAACACCTGGATGTCCAGGCAGAGGTGTGCTACAGGGGCAGAGCCCTGATGGAGAACCTCTGCTAGGGCAGTGCAGAAGGGAAATGTGGGGTTGGAGCCCCCACCCAGAGTCCCCACTGGGGCACTGCCTAGTGGAGCTATGAGAAGAGGACCACTGTCCTCCAGACCCTAGAATGGCGGATCCACTGACAGCTTACACTGTGAGCCTGGAAAAGCTATAGACACTCAATGCTAGCTCATAAAAGCAGCCAGGAGCGGGGCTGTACCCTGCAAAGCCACAGGAACAGAGCTGCCCAAGATCATGGGAGCCCACCTCTTTCATCAGCGTGACCTGGATGTGAGACATGAAGTCAAAGGAGATAATTTCCGAGATTTAAGATTTGGCTGCCCCACTGGATTTTGGACTTGCATGGGGCCTATAGCCCCTTTGTTTTTGTCAATTTCTCCCATTTGGAATGGGGGTATTTACCCAATGCCTGTACCCCATTGTATCTAGGAAGTAACTAACTTGCTTTTGATTTTACAGGCTCGTAGGCAGAAGGGATTTGCCTTTTCTTAGATGAGACTTTGGACTGTGGACTTTTGAGTTAATGGTGACATGAGTTAAGACTTTGGAAGACTATTGGGAAGGCATGGTTGGTTTTGAAATGTGAGCACATGAGATTTTGGAGGAGCCAGGGGTGGAATGATATGGTTTGGCTGTCTCCCCACCAAAATCTCATCTTGAATTGTAGCTCCTATAATCCCCACATGTTGTAGGAGGAACCTGGTGGGAAGTAATTGAATCATGGGGGCGGATTTTCCTGTGCTGTTCTCATGGTAGTGAATAAGTCTTATGAGATCTGATGGTTTTATAAAGGGCAATTCCCCTGCACACACACTTTTGACTGCCATCATATAAGATGTGCCTTTGCTCCTCCATCACCTTCTGCCATGATTGTGAGGCCTCCCCAGCCATGTGAAACTGTGAGTCCATTAAATCTCTTTTTCTTTATACATTACCCAGTCTTGGGTATGTCTTTATTAGCAATGTGAGAACAGACTAATACAGTGGAGCTCTGGAAAGTTGATGTAGGGGGTAGGTAAGCATGTCTGGAACTCAGTGTAGGAGGGCTATGTCTCCTTCCCCAAAGCTAGAAGGGTGGCATCTGTTGCCTAACAGAGATTGGCCAGGGAGAGTTGCTGGAGGTTATCAGAGCTCCCTGGGGTGTTTGGCTGAGGCAGTGGCTTGGCAGCTTGAGGAGGGGCCCTGAGCAAAAACACGTGAGCAGGTCAGACATGTTTCCAAACACACTTAGGATGAGCAACCTGGTTTGCTTTGGACTGAGAGGTTCTTGGACCCCAGAACATTCAGTGGTAAAACCAGGAAAGTCCTGGACAAGCTGGGATGAGTTGGTCGTCTTAATAATACACATAAGAAAGCATCTTATAGGGATCTTTAGAATTGCCTTAGGGGCCAAGGACTAAGTGCCTGCCATGTGGCAGCTGGCAGCTCAGAGTCACTGCAATCTTATTTTTACTGGTATGCAATGTGGGAAATTTATTTTGATGATGCCTAAAGTTTCTGATTTCGCAAACTATATGTCTCAGAAATAAACTGTGTCTGCATTGGATAAGAGAAGAGCAACAATTTAAAAGGCCAGAATAAAAATGGCAATAAGTAAACGAAATAAAGTGGAAATGTCCAAGTCCCATGACACTGCATACAGACCTACCACCCAGAACTCAGCTTGTGCCTTCTCTCCAAGCTCGTCTCCTACCACCACCCTCCTGTGTGACTCCCTCTTCTACTGCTACAACAGAATGCTACAGACTGGGGTAATTTATAAAGAAAAGAGATTTGTTTGGCCCAGACTTCTGGAGGCTGGGAATCCAAGATTGAATAGCCACATCTGGTGAGGGTTTTCTTGTTCCATCATAACATGGTGGAAAGCACCCCATGGCTAGGAAGTGTACACACAAGATGACACAGGAAATTGGGCCAAACTCATCCTTTTATCACGAACACACTCTCTCATTAACTAAGCGACTCTCTTGATAATGGCATTAGTCTATTCATGAGGGCAGAGCCTTCATGACCTCATCACCTTTTAAAGGTCCCATTGTGATACCATCACAATGGCAATTAAATTTCAACATGAGTTTTGAAGGGGACATTCAAACAATAGCACCTGGCAAACATCACCTTGCCAGCCCTGTCATGTCCTGAATGCATTATGCTATTATGCACATCTCTGCCTGGAATGCCTTTCCCTCCTTCATGAACCTGGTGAACCCCGACTGTTCCCTCTAATTTGCAGCTTAAGAGTCATTTCTGTGGAGGCTTCTCTGGCCCTCCCCAGGCAAAGCTTAGTACCACCTCCCTTCAGCTGCCTGTGCACCCTGGCGTGTCTCACGACACTGCATCCCAATGGCAGGCTTGGAAATGGTCTGCCTCTTTCATGGATCAATTAGCTCCCTAAACCTAGGAAGTCCTTACCTTGTAGCAGAACTTCAGGAACACGGTATATATAATAGACACTTACTAGCGTTAGTTAAGAGTCCATCAGTGTGTGTGTGTGTGTGTGTGTGTGTGTACATATTTACATTTATATTTATTGGCTCTTTTCTATTCAGGGCATCAGAATGCTGACTGAAATTCTCAATTGGATCTACTCTGTTCAGATTCACGTGTTAAAATACACAAATGATTCATTTAACCTGAGACTTTATAAATACACAAGAAAAAATTCATTAGAAATGTTATCCTCATAATAACTAAAACTTACAAACCCAAGAAAAGAATTCATTAGAGATATTATTATTGAAAATAACCAAATCTGTGATGTGGGATGAACTGTTATTTTTCCCCAACAGTTAAACCTAAGAAGATATATATGAAAAATAACTAATATTTCAGAGTATGTTCAGATACTAACTTTTCATTGCTTCTCACTCTGGAATTAGAAAAGTATTTAAATGAACATGACTGATGCATTAGAAAAGACAGAATAAGTTAGGCTTTGTTAAGAAAATAAAACCAAAAACAAAACCCAAAGCTCAGAGATTTAACAGAGTGAAGGCTTATTTTCTCCTCCCTGCTGATGGGACCACTTTACACATATTGCCCTCAAGGGCACCATGACAAGAGGAGAGCCCAGGATGATCCCACAGGCAAGTTCCCTTCCCATTGGCCAGAGCCCTGTCACATGGCCCCAACCTACCCAGTAAGAAATGCAGAGCAGCCCATGGCCAATGAGTTGAGAGTCACAGTGCCCCAGGGAAGGAGATTCTGACCTGGAGATTAGCACACAACTCATCTACTAGAGAGTGCTGTCGGAGATATAGCTATGGAAGGGAGGGAAAGGAAGCAGGATTGGGCAGAGGGAGAGGTCAAGCCTCAGGGTCATCTCAGGGGTCTTAGCTGCTATTGTGGGGAGTTCTGAAGATGAGATAACTTCAGGGCTATTCTGAGTTGGGACAAAAGGGCTAGACCTTGGTATCCCTAAGTTGGTCGGTCAGTCATTGGAAACGATGTGACCCTGAGTGAGGCAGCTCAACTAAAGCAATTTCAGAAGGGATTCACACCTGAGGGCTAAGCACCAGCAGCTGGGGAGTAAGTCCTGCTCACACCCCTGATGGAGGATCAGGGAGGCTCTTCTCAGCACTCCACAGTGCGCATGACAGTGTCTTCCGAGCAGATAGCTCTGAACAGATTACATCTGAATGTGGCCACGTATGAATCCTCTTTCATCATTCTGACATCAATTGCTGGACTTGGCCTGTGAACCACACCAGTTGTCTTGCTAGCAGTTCCACTACGCTCAGGCTTAAAGGACCTTCTTTATCCCTAGCTGCTGTAGCTGTCCCTACTGACTACTGCACAGACTCAGGCACTGCTGAGCTCCAAAACAAAACAAAATGTTCCGCAAAATTCCTGCTGGCCACTTGGTCAAAGGATGGTCTCTCTTCATCCGTCTTTGCTGAGCTCACTATAAATCATGGATATCTGTCTCTCTTTGAGCTGTCTCTGGCTACGATGGGCCAGGACCCTTCAGAGAGCCTCTTTCAGGTTGGACTTCCTAATCAGCATCGTGGAACATCCACTCCTCCAGTAATAGAAACCATATTTGATTTTTCTGTTTAACCATTTCATGACCACTACACACCAGTTACACTGGAAACAGTGTAACTCTGTTGAGAATCACCTGTGCAACTTCAGCATTTGTTTACTGGGTCTCCAGTAGCAGAGGATGTTGAGCTCAATCCTCATGTTCAAGAGGATGCTACTAGGGCCTCACTTTTACTTGGTCTAACCACATGCTTTTTGTGGAGGCAATAATAATATGACTGGCATTTACGGCAAAGCGTTTTATACATGATAACTTAATTTTCACAACTACTCTATGCAGAAGCACTATTTCCTGATTTACATTTAAGAAAGTCAAGGCATAGATAGCTTAAGAGACTTCCCCAAGGTCACATGAGGCATAAATGGGGGAATTAGTATTTTAACCCGGGTAGTCTTACTACAAAGTTCTGGCTCATAATTACCATGTTATACAGCTTGTCAATCAATATCCAGGGCTTCTTAAAACTCAGGGATTGATGTGTCCATGGATGCAGGCCCATAAGTCAGCAATGCGTATTTCTATGGAATCCCTCATAAGGGTCATTTAATGCTTTAAATCTAAACCCTGCATGGAAAACCCAATAGGGAACTAAGCCCTAGCTGGGAACTCCCCTTGTGTGCCAGAAAATAGAAATGAGTAAATTTAGAGAGGGAGATTCCCCATTAAAAAAATGACATGCAAATTCGTGAGGCATTCCATATTTTTAAAAAATGGAGATATGTATTAAAATATAAATTTATAGAATTTAGTATTTTTAGCATGGGGCAACTTATGACTAGCTTTTGTGAATGTGTATTGTTGTACCATAAGGCAATAAGGTAGTAAAATACATTTAGACTTGGAGGAGAGACAGCAACCACTCTTTGTGGGGAGGGTGGGACAAGAAGATGGAACTGTCCCCTACCAGCATTGAGTAGGGGACAGCTCGTTTCTCTCCCGGCACAGACAGGTAGCTATATCCCTGTCCACCCCCATTTGCAAAGGAAGCCTAACTGTCTACACAGTCTCTGGCATCCTCTATGTTCAATTATCTGGTGAGAACGGGGAGACGCTTTATAAACCTGTTCTATATGCTGGACAAACCGCTCCTTTGTCTTTCGGCGTAACAGTCTGATGGACTTTCTCCACACCACATTACCTGGGGAATGGGGCTAGAAGGAAGTTTTGTGCCATGTTGCTCTGATAGGAACGCTAACCTGTCACATTGGCCCCAGTGTTAGGATACAAATAGCCCAAATGAGGCCATCCACCAAGCTTAGCAAGCCTTGCGTGGTGATAAAATGTGCTTGCAACAGGCAATATCTGGGGGCGATTTGGGCCTGACAGCTCAGCCTCCAAACCACATTTTGCATGTGTCAGGAAAATGAACACCATGTCCACTCCACGTGGTTTTAGCAATTAGACCTTTATTAATACCATGGAGCAGCTGGAACTAGAAATAGTCTCAAGTGCTTACATTCTCTGAACATACCAATTTCCAGAGTGGGTGGCAGCTGTTGAGGCCCAGGTTTATCCATCTTGGGCCAAAATTCTCATACTCTTGACCCCATGTATTGGACCTGGATTTTGTGGCTCCCCAAAAACATGGCTACAAAGCTTTGTTCTGAAAAATCAAAGCCTCCTCATTAAAGTAAGCATCTTCTCCCCCTAATCCTTTGTCCCCTCCATTGTCATTAGTTCAGATTTTAGAAAAGAACTACTCTTCCTGTACTTGGGGTTTTGTTTCTCCCCAAGTGGGAGAGTTACTGGTTCATAACGCTCTTACACCTGTCCCCTACCCAAGGCTTCTCCCTGTAACCTTGGGCCAGGCCGGACTTGACGAGAAGACAAGAATTGATCTAATCCAATTGCCTTTCCAGTGAAACAGGCTCCGTTTCCCCAGGCATCACTTACTTATGGGATGGCCGATTTCCATGCCAGGACAGCTCTGGGTATTTTGACGTTCTTTCTTGTATTCCACTTAGATCTACTCCCTTAATCTGGCCCCATCAGTTCTGTCTCATGTTATGTTCACTGAACTTAATGAAACATTGATTTTCAAGCAGACAGTTTTCTTGAGTGTACTGGTCATATGTAATCTTCATTTCCAACCACACATTTCCTCATGTTGCTCCAGGGAAAGAAGGGAAAGGGCTATTGAAATTAACTACTTCTCTCTAGTCAAGGATAAAGGCCAATTTATCCTTCAAGAATGAAGTCCAATGCTACCTTCTCCAGAAAAATAAGGTATTTATTTTCTCTATTTCTATGAATTTTGTCATATTAGGTATACTTGTGGGTTAAATTGTTTCCTTCCATAAAAGATATGTTAGTGTTCTAACTCCCAGTGCCCCAGAATGCAGCCTTATCTGGAGATGGAGTCTGTACGGATGTAATCAAGTTAAAATGAGGTCATCAGGACAGGCCCTAATTCAATGTGATTGGTGTCCTTCTAAACAGGAGAAATTTGGATACAGAGACAGATGCACACAGAGGGAAGATGATGGGAAGGGACACGGGGAGAAGATGGTCATCCCCATGCCAAGGAAGGAGGCCTGGAACAAATTCCCCTTCACAGCACTCAGAAGAAACCAGCCCTGCTGACACTTCGAGTTCAGACTTTTAGCTTCCAGAACTGTGAGACTATACGGTTTTGTTGTTTAAGACCCCCGGTTTGTAGTACTTTGTTACAGCAGTCCTAGCCAATGAATACAGGTATATTATGAGGACTTTAGTCTTTTACTTCTTTTTTCTTTACAAGTTTTTTAAATAGAAAAGTAGAAGTAAGAAAATAAAGCAGAAAAAAATGATGTTCAGTGTCCCTGTTGTGAAAACTCCTGCTGATATATACATATATATAGTATATATGATATCTGAAATATATATACACATGCATACATATACAACATACATATACATATATATGTATATAGTATTATACATGCTGAGTTACACCATTCAAAAAAAATTTTTTTTTTGAGACAAGGTCTCACTCTGTCACCCAGGCTGGAGTGCAGTGGCATGATCTCGGCCCACTGCAACCTCCACCTCCTGGGTTCAAATGATTCTCCTGCCTCGGCCTCCCGAGTAGCTGGGATTACAGGCACCTGCTACCATGCCTGGCTAATTTTTGTATTTTTAGTGGAGATGGGGTATTGCCATGTTGTCCAGGCTGGTCTTGAACTCCTGATCTCAAGTGATCCACCTGCCTCAGCCTCCCAAAGTGCTAGGATTACAGGTGAGAGCCATCACTCCTGGCCTCAAATATTTTTTAAAAGTGCAAAGAAAAAAGAGAGTGACTAAGAGCGAGCTTCCATGCCTTAACTTCTCTTCTCATAACTGTCAACCATTCTTAACTGTTAACCACTAAATCTCTGTACCCAAAAGTGTTTATACCAGCAACTCCATATCCATTTATCCATCTGTTCTTTTTTTTAAAAAAAAGTATACAAAAGGGATCCCATTTTACATACTCTTCTTTGCTTTGCTGTTTTCTTTAAATGATACGTTGGAACTCCATCCAGACCAGCACATACCGAGTGTCCTTATTTCTTCATGGCTGCACAGTATTCCACCATGGGCATGTGCAATGTTTCATGTAACAGGATCTACCCAAGAGCCTGTGTTTTCTGCTGGGCTCTGCTAGGGCAGGTTAGGAATGCATCTGAGCACCTTAGGGCTGGTAGGACATTCAGAACTCATCTGCCAGCCCTCTTGTTTTTCACATGAGGAAAACTGGTACACAGAATGGAAGCATTTTGCCTAAAGTGACACAGAAACTTAACAAAAGTAGTTCCTGCTGTTAGGGATGTCAAACATTTTCCATAATTATGTGGTTTTTTTTGGTCACCAAAACAATGTAAGGATGTCACAGGCCTCATGTTTGCATATATTTCTTAAAATGTTTTATTTCCATAGGTTTTTAAAGAACAGGTGGTGTTTGGTTACATGAGTAAGTCATTTAGTGGTGATTTGTGAGATTGTGGTGCATCCATCACCTAAGCAGTATACACTACACCCAATTTGTATTATTTTATCCCTCAACCCCCTCCCACCCTTTTCCCCAAGTCCCCAAAATCCATTGTATCATTCATATGCTTTTGCATCCTCATAGCTTAGCTCCCACTTACGAGTGAGAGCGTACAATGTTTGGTTTTCCATTCCTGGGTTACTTCATTTAGAAAAATAGTCTCCAGTTCCATCCAGGTCGCTGAGAATGCCATTAATTTGTTCCTTTTTATGGCTGAGTAGTATTCACCATAACTTCTTTAACCATTCGTTGCTTGATGGGCATTTGGGCTGGTTCCATATTTTTGCAGTTGCGAATTGTGCTGCTGTAGACGTGTGTGCAAATATCTTTTACAAATAATGACTTCTTTTCCTCTGGGTAGATACCCAGTAGCGAGATTGCTGATTCAAGTGGTAGATCTACTTTTAATTCTTTAAGGAATCTCCACACTGTTTTCCATATTGGTTGTACTAGTTTACATTCCCACCAGCAGTGTAGAAGTGTTCCCTTTTCCCTACATCCACGCCAACATCTTTTTTTTTTTAATAGCTATTCTTGCAGGAGAAAGGTGATATCACAATGTGGTTTTGATTTATATTTCCCTGATCATTAGTGATGTTGAGCATTTTTTCATATTTGCAAAAAAAAAACACAAAAAAATTTAGAAACAGAATTTTCTAATCTGTCTATAATGCTTCTAAATGTTTCAGAGTTTTAGTGGGTTGAACACATTTTTTAAATATGTAAAAATGCAACAAATTCCAAATTGTTTGTCACAAGAATTGATTGACATAAAGGGAAACAGAAATATAATAGCTGACTTTAAAGAAAAACGTTGGTACAGTTGGTAAATGGGATTTTAAAAAATAAGCATCATGACTTAGTAAGTGCAGCTATTGCTTTTCTTATTTGTATTCACACGCCTTTGTGAGGTAATTAAACTTTTTGTTATTGGCAATTATTGCCACTGAAACCAGCATCAAAATAAGCCAAACATAAACCCAGATCTTCCTATTGCTTTATGTTAAAGCAGTGTCAAATTAAATGTTAAATCAAGATATTTTAAAATCAATGAAGCATTAATATCTACATTTAACTCTTTAAAATATTATTAATTATAACTAATAACAATTTAGCAAAAGCAAATGCTTTTTATTTTGATTTTAAAACTTTTTCATATACGTAGTCATTTTTTTTATTTTACATATGTTGTATTATGTACATATTAGTACATTAATACATAGATAAATTTAGGTGTAAAATACTTATTCTAGAGGATGAGCACAAAGTTGGTTTTACTTATATGAATGTAAAATCAAACAAAGTTTGTAAAACTGTAAATTAAACTGCCAGCTGATTTCTTCATAGCAACAATAGAAACAAGTAATGAGACAACTTCAAAGTGCTGAGGAAAAATAACTGACACCCTAGAATTCTATTCTCAGCTAAACTAAAATTCAAGACTGAGAGCAAAATAAGGACATCATCAGGCAAGCAAGCACAGATTTAAATAAATTACTACTCACAGTTCCCTGCTGAAAGAATTCCAAAAGCTCCGTTTCTCTGGGAGAAGGCACAGGAAGTGAGAAGCAAAGAGGAGCAGAGACTGGTAAATATTAAATACAAAGGCAAATCTAAACAGGCATTGATCCCAAAACAATATAATGGTGACTAGTTTGGGGTTATAAAAATGAGGTATCACTAACATGCTAGGCAAAGAGAGCATGTGATTCAAGAAGGAGTGACCAGAATGAATAGGTACTATGGTAATGTCCAGCAGGAGGGCAAAGATATTGATTAACTCTAGGCTTCATGTCAAAATTCCAGTGTGAAGATGCCAGCAAAAATTGGTGTTTCATGGAAAGCATCCAAAAGCACCAAGAAGAATGAAAAATAAAATTCAATCTCTAATTTTAACAAAGCTTGGAGATGGCTAAAAGTTGAATCACAAAATAAGTGGAAACGCTCCCTTACAGCAGTGGACATGGAGCAAGGCAGTGCATGGGTGGCAGCATAAAGGGTATCCTGGAGCAAAGTTAGCAAAACCAGCTTCTCAAAAGTGGGCTGTGGAACTTCATCCAGTCAAGTGTGGTGGTTCATGCCTGTAATCCCAGCACTTTGGGAGGCTGAGGCAGAAGGATCGCTTGAGCCAAGGAGTGTGAGGCTGCAGTAAGCCATGATTGTGCCACTGCACTCCAGCCTGGGCCACAGAGTGAGACTCTGTCTCAAAAACAAAACAAAACAAAACAAAACAAACAAAACAAAACAAAACAAAAACCCTCAATCCAAGAGCAGCGGGAATGGGGCATAAGCAATGGCATCAAGGTCCCCCTGGACCTGACTTAGTTCCAAGAGGAAGAAGAGTTAAAGACAACGGAGGTATAATCATACAGGTAGGCAAGGCACCGTTCCACATGAAGATCTAAAACTTCCAAGATTGTAGACTTTTAAGAATGTAGTCTCAAAATATATAAACCACAAATGACCAGAATCACAAAAAAGTCAAGCAATCCACAGCCGCAATAAGATATTTTAATACAATGCTCAATACTAAATAGCACAAGCAAACAAAATAATTAGTAAACATACCAAAATTTGAAATAACATTTTTAATAACTCGAGCATAACATTTCTGTACTTAACAATTAGAGAATACACATTGAACTTATTTTTGGATGACCACATACTTGGCCACAAAAAAGTATCTAAAAATAAAAAATGAATCAATCCTACAGACCGCATTCCCTTTTCACACGCTATTAAACTGAAAATAAATTACAAAAATGAAACCAAAAAAGGAACCATATGTTTGGAAATTTTGAAACATTTCTATATAATTAATGAGTCAAAGTAGAAATCATAATGGAGATTTTTAAAATAGACCTGAATGACAAAGGGAAAACAGAACATAGAAATTTTGGAGATGTAGCTAAAGCAATAGTTTAGAGAGAAAATTGTAGATATACATACACACATACACACACCTGAAAAGAAGAAAGGTTGATAACTAATGAACACATGTAATCAATCCAAGAAGTCAGCAAAAAAAAAACTGTTAATGTAAGAAAATACAAAGGAAAGAAGACACAGATATGGGCAAAAATTAGTGAAATAGAAAACAATTAAGCAACTGAGATGGCCAACGAAGGTCTAAGATTAGAAGAAAAAGAAAAATGGTACAAATGAACCATACTGGGAAAGAAAAATATGTAACAATAGATGTAACACACATTTACAAAAACATGAGACTGCTATATATGACTTTATGCCACTAATATTTAACTTTTAGATAAAAACATTTCTAGAAAATGTAACTAAAAAATAAAAAAGCTGAATAAACCTATGGCCTTAAATATTTCATCAATAATTAAAAATTTAGTCACAAAAAAAATAGCTGTTACCTCAGATAGTTTTGCAGGTAAGTTTTCCCCAAGTTTCAAGAAAAATTTGATTTCTATTTTGTATAATCTGATACAGAAAAAAGAAAAGATTGAAAGTTTTTCAACCCATTATATGATATTAATATAACATTGAAAACAAAAACTGAAAAAGACAATACAGAAGAGGAAAAGTGCAGGCTGATGTCACTTATAAACGTGACATTTTGAAATCAAATATTAGCAAACTGAAACTAGTAGTGTTTAAAAATATTACATTATGACAAAGCTGGATTACTTAAGAAGTAAAAGTTTAACAATAGAAAAGTCATTACGGTAGTTTACTACACAGACACAATAAAGAAGAACAAAATATGATCACTTCAAAAGATGCAGAAAATGCATTTGATAAAATTCAATACCCATTAATAACCAAAATATTTTAGCATGTTAGAAATAAAAATAATAACCCAATAAAGTGATCTACTACAAATCTACAGTGAAAGTTATGCTTTGTGAATCTCTAAAATAATTCCAGTTAAGTTCAGGAATAAGGGAAGGATGCCTACTATCAAAAGCCCTTATTTAGCATTGCTTTGTAAGTCCTATTCAGTAAAGTGATAACAAGTAAAGAAATACAATAAAGCAAGATTCAAAAGGAAGAAATAAAAGTATCATTAATTTTGTTTTGTTTTGTTTTGTTTTGTTTTTTGGGACTTGTTTATTTGTTTTTTGTTTCGTGTGGGTGGTTTTTTTTGAGACGGAGTTTCGCTCTTTTGCCCAGGCTAGAGTGCAGTGGGGTGATCTTGGCTCACTGCAACCTCTGCCTCCTGGGTTCAAGCAATTCTCCTGCCACAGTCTCCCAAGTAGTTGGGACTACAGGTGCCTGCCACCATGCCTGGCTGATTTTTGTATTTTTAGTGGAGACTGGGTTTCACCAGGTTGGCCAGGCTGGTCTCGAACTCCTGACCTCAGGTGATCTGCCCGCTGCAGCCTCCCAAAGTGTTGGGATTACAGGCGTGAGCCACAGTATTATTAATTTTTTTTAATTTTTTTTTATTATTATAAAGTTTTAGGGTACATGTGCACATTGTGCAGGTTAGTTACATACGTATACATGTGCCATGCTGGTGCGCTGCACCCACTAACTCGTCATCTAGCATTAGGTATATCTCCCAATGCTACCCCTCCCCCTCCCCCCACCCCACAACAGTCCCCAGAGTGTGATGTTCCCCTTCCTGTGTCCATGTGATCTCATTGTTCAATTCCCACCTATGATTTTAGATGCTATGATTATCTAGTTTAAAAAATTCAAAATAAGTAACAGCCAACTATTGAAAGGAATAAGGAAATTCAACAAGTTACCTAATTAAAAACTGATTTTTAAGATGGTCCCCGAACATCTACAATAAATTGTGAGAAAATATCATTTTTCAGAAGCTGCTATTTACAGTTGTAGCAAGCACTATAAATACCTCATAATATGGGTAATAAAAATGTATAAATATTTACAGAAAAAATTATAAATCCATATTAAATGATATAAATATAAAAAGGAGGCCTAAATAGAGAGATATATCACATTTACCATAGATAACTATAGTACAAGTGGCAAAATTTTTCCAAATTAACCTATTTAGGTACACTTCCTTTATCAATTCCAATAGCATTTTTCACAGGAATCCACAATCAGATCCTAAAATACTGGAAGAGGAAAGACTAATGAAAACAAAAACAAATGTGAGCTAAAACAAAAAAAATAAGGGCAAACACCACACCAGCTATTAAGACTTGCTCTTTAGCTATAATAATGTTAAAATTCTGGTATGGGTGTGGGGATAGACAAATGAACCAACAGAATGGTAGAGTCTAGGAACTGATCCACTTATATATGGGAATTTGTATTTAACAGAAATGATATTTCAGCCAGGCGCGGTGGCTCTCACCTGTAATCCCAGCACTTTGGGAGGCCGAGGTGGGCGGATCACCTGAGGTCAGGAGTTTGAGACCAGCCTGCCCAACATGACAAAACCCCATCTCTACTAAAAATACAAAACATCAGCTGAGCGTGGTGGCGTGCGCCTATAATCCCAGATACTCAGGAGGCTGAGGCAGGAGAATCGTTTGAACCTGGGAGGCAGAGGTTGCCGTGAGCCGAGATTACACCACTGCACTCCAGCCTGGGTGACAAGAGCAAAACTCCATCTAAAAAAAAAAAAAAAAAAAACACCAGAAATGACATTTCAAACAGCGGGAAAGTCTGGATCATCCTTGACAATTAACTTTCTGCTTGGAAAAAGATAAAATTAGATCCCTACTCATCACATAAGCAAAAGTAAATTCCAGATGGACAAAAATTTAAATGTGAAGGGAAAAAAAATTTAGAATTTTTAGAAAACAATGTGGGAGAATATCTTGAATGTAGAGTTAGAAACAGATTTATTAACTAAGGGACAAATGCCCACAAACCTTGAAAAGACATATAAATTTAACTACATGAAAATTAAAAAGCTATTTATAATAGAACATGACATAAACAAAATTAAAAGGCAAGATACCATTTGTGAGAACACTTTTCAACTCAGATAAGAACTTCAGAATAAATACAACTATAAATTTATAAGAAAAGAACAAAGGATTAAAACCTATTTCTCTCTCTCTCTCACATGCACACACATGCACATACACAACTGGTTAGTAAACATGTAAAAATGCTTAAGCTCATGAATAATTAGAGAGATGTGAATTAAAAAAATAAAATGTCATTTGTACTTATTGGATAAGAAAAATTGAAAGCCTCACAAATGATGGTAAGGATGTAGGAACACAGGGATTTCTAATCTAGCATGAGTTCAAATAGGTACAACCACTTGGGAGAACAATTTGTCTCTGCTAAGGAAGGTGCAGAAGTATATTTCCTACTAATTAGCAATTTCACTTCAGGGCATTTACACTAACAAACACGTGCACAAAGATGCATGCACAGGCATGTTCATTGCAATAAACAACAACGACAATAAAGCAATAACTAATTTTACCCAATAGGGAAATGGATAAGTAAACTATGGTATTTCACAATTAAGTTAAAATGAATGAACTAGGTCTACACTGTATCCACACAACATAAATAAGTCCCTAAAATGTACTGTTGAGTAAGAAAAGCCAAGTTGCAAGAGAATTTACAATATGATGCCATTTATGTAAATTAAGAATGCACACAAAACAATAGTAAATATTGTTTTGGATATACAAATATGTACTGAAAGCACAAGATCATGCATGGAAATGACACACACCAGCTTCAGGCAGAAGTTGCTCTGCAGAGGGGAGGAGGGGAGGGATGTGAGTGAAGGGGGCCAAGGCTTTAGCCGTATCTTTTTGTCTTTCTTTTGTTTCAAGTGATCTGAAGTAAATACGAGAAAACGTTAACAGTTGTTTAATCTGGATGGTAAGCATATGGTTGTCTGTTTTATATTCTGCACCTTTCCATATGTACAAAATCTTTCTTAATTTAAAAATTAAAATGTAGAAATATTTTTAATAGCTTAGAACCAGAATTCAAGTCCTTTCCCTCTAAATTGTCTTTAATACAATCAACATTTATGATGTCTCATGAGCCAGGCATGGGAGAGCTAGCTGTTCAGAGAGCTGTGGTCCCAAATTCAAAGAGTACAATCTCCTAACAGGGAGAAAGGGAACAATTATTTCTCATTCTTTTCGGTTATCGTTTGATGCCTGTCACTGAGAAAAACAACTGCAGTTTTTCGCTGGAACTAAATATAAATACACCAAGGAAAGACCTGTGTGAAGGGCTTTCCCCAGGGTCACATTCTTGGCTGGCACATCTACAGATGGCAGTCACAGGTTCCATTTGACTGTCAAAATGTCACTGGTTGTTGGTGCCTGTTCTTGTGTGTGTGGCACCACGAGGCCTCTGGGACCTAGGCCATGTCACCAACTGCAGGTAGCAGGGTTCCTCTGCAGCGGCCATGTTCTGTCAGGTGGCCCCTTGGTAGTTGCTACATTGGAGCAGAAAGATGAAGAAAGGAGCTCACATTCTAGTGGGGGAGACAAATATGTAGATCAAGCCATATGGTCCAGAGAGGAGGTAGAAACAACAAGCTAAAAGAATGGGGGGTAGGAGGCTGGGCATGATGGCTCACATCTGTAATCCCAGCACTTTGGGAGGCCCAGGTGGGAGAATCACTTGAGCCCAGGAGTTCGAGACCAGCCTAGGCAAAAAAGTGAGACCGTATCTCTACAGAAAATTAGCTGGGCATGGTGGCATTGGCCTGTGATCTCAGCTTCTTGGGAGGCTGAGCTGGGAGGATCACTTGAGCTCAGGAGGTCGAGGCTGCAGTGAGCCATGACTGCGTCACTGTACTCCAGCCTGGGTGACAGAGTGAGACCCTCTCTCTCTCTCTCTCTTTCTCTCTCTCTATCTCTCAAAAAAAAAAAGACTTTTCAACCAATCAATACAACTTTTTAAAAAATAGATAATTGGGGGTGGGAAAAAATGAGATTGCAGATTTCTTGGTCTTATTTCTGGTCAATGAGTATGTGAAGATCAGCCATTCCAATTCCATTCTGAAGGGTCACGCGGTATCATCCCAAATTGCTACTGACAGAGAATCCTTTAAGGAAGTGACACAGGAATCTGCTGATTAGGCTTAAAACACTATTCTATTCTCCTCTTCCACCTGCACCCTGCCCCCCGCCCAATGCCATAGTGTGGCCACAGTGTTATTCCCACATAGACAACAGGGTCACTCAGTGAGTGCAGATACAATCTGGTGAGTAGAGGGGGTAGAAAGGCAGCCACCCGGCAGGGTTAGGGAGGGAGACAGAGAGAGGGGTTCTAGCAGCAGCAGGTAAAAATGTAACAATTACTGGTGTTTCTTAATAAAGGCCTAAATCAAGAAGTAGACATCCCAGCTGAGACCAGTTTGCCTGGGACAATAGCAAATGGATGGCAAAAAGAAGATTCTGAGGCTACCTCACTTTGGGGTGAAGATAAACTACAGATTGAAATCACAATGTATATGTCTCAGAACTTGCTCTATTATTCCATGGTAGGCTAAATAATGGCCCACAAGGATCTCCAGGTCCTAATCCCTAGAACCTGTGATTGTTTCCTTATATGGCAGGAGGCTTTGCAGGTGTGATTAGATAAGGGTCTTGAGATGGGGAGGTTAGCCTGCATTATCCAGGTGGGTCTTAAATGCAATCATAAATGTCCTTACAAAGCAGAGGCCGAGAGAGATTTGACACAGAAGGAGAAGGTAGCATAACCACTGAAGCAAGACATTACGCTGCTGGCTTTGAAGATGGAGGAAGGGACCACAAGCCAAGAAATGCAAAGAATTCAGCTCTAAAAGCTGGAAAAGGCAAGAAACTGCATTTTCCCCTAGAGCTTCCAGAGGAGCCCAGCCCTGCTGACACCTTGATGTTGGCCTAGTAAAAATGATGATGTTGGACTTCTGGCCTCCAGAACTATGACAGCATAAATGTGTGTTGTTTGAAGCCGCCAAGTTTGTTGTCATTTGTTACAGCAGCCATAGGAAAGGAATACAGATTTCTTTAGCTGTTTGGATAGAAAAGATCATTGCAGACATTTGATATGTAGTTGTTGATAGAGTATTCTCCATCAGGTGACAAGATGCTGGCACTAAAGAAGGCAAAAGAGAATATGTCTGAGTGTGTGCATGTCTGTGTGTCTGTGGTATGTCAAGGTCCCTGGGAAAAAGATTCTGGGACAAAGATTTGCACGCAGGTGTTTACTGGGGAGTGCTGTGGCGAAACAACATCTGTAAAAGGGTGGGTGGTGAAGGCTTGAACTGATGGAGAGTTGCACTCTGAGGCAGTAGCACAGAGGCCTCAGCCCAACCCCCAGGGAGCTGTGGAGCTGGGGTAGTCCTTCAAAGATGGCCCAAATTGAGCAAAGGGGCCAAACTTTTGTACCCCTACATTGACTTGTGGTCAGATGCAGGCTATTCCCAGGGAAGGCATTGCAATCTTGAGGCAGCAACCTTTGATCAAGGACAATCCCTGGGGTGAAACTCAGCTATGGGCCATCAGCAGGCCACATTCCCAGCATCTGGGAGGGTATGTGCTTTTGTCCTGAGATGGGTCAGGACAGCACACCACACAGTATCTGCTACACCATAGAAGCATCCCTCAACCCTACTTTGATAAATTTCCTGATGCAGAGATGTAAGGGAAAGTTTCTTATTGACCCTCCTCTCAGGACTTTCCTTCAGAGACACAGTGCGAGTCCCAAGCTAGTGTGATTCTTTTAGAAACCTGCTGACAACAGCTCAGGGACACCTAGGGCAAAGCTGCTGACATAACTCTAAGTGGTTTGGTCTTGGACTGAGGTTTGAAAATAGACCTTCCAATGGACTATTTGGAAAGCCTTCTGAGAAAGCCCCTGAATAAATACCGTAGCCCCTTGCTACATGGGTTAGGATTGTTTTGGCCAGGTTTTCTGGGACTCACACTGTGCTCTGGCTGATAAACTAAGCCATGTAGAAAGCACAGGATCACAGAGCCAAATCCTATCCCAACCATCACACCACACCAAGCATCAGCCAACTCCAGCTTCACACTCCAATGCTGAGGCTGTAGGACACTGATTTCCAGTGAGCCCATACTCTGGAGAGATCCACTGTCAGAACAACTTTAAGCTAATCAAAGGCCTTTGATTTCAGCCTTTGTTGCTCTAAATCCTGCTAAAAGGCCTCATCTGCTTAAATACTGCATTGAATGTAATTTAGTGGTACTGTAGTAACTTGGAACCTCCCAGGGACTCAGAAGAATCACTCTGAACTGAGTGTGATATCTGAAGGTCTGGGGTCTTGTCCTACGTCTGACAACTATAAACTGTGTGACCTGGGCAAACGCTGCTCTCTGAACCTGCTTTCCTCCCCTGTAGCATGAAGTTGAATAAAATTACCTCTAAGATTCTGTCAAGTCTTAATGCTCAAGGAGTCTCCTATAAGCATGGAGGTTGCAGAGAATGACATGCGTGTGTACAGATGCTTGCACATCCTAGAATCTGCTTTGTTGGGAGAAAATTCCTGCCATCAGATTTCTTTCAAATGGATGAATATATGAATATATCATGCTTATTTGCATCAGCTGCTTTTGCTCAAAACCAGCAGCTCAATATTCCCTGAATCACCAAAATAGATTGCTTTCATCAGCCTGTGAATATTCCAGGGGCTTGTGCATGAGTGGCCATTACAGTTTTAAAAATCCACAGGATTATTTTTTAAGTTGAGCAGAATGGTAGAATAGAAAGCCTGCTAACTTATTTGCCAGAATATTTGCATTGCAATTCGTGTCAACTTCTCACCTTGTGACATTGGCAAGCCATTTAATCCCACTGAGCTGCTGATAGAGATGCCAGTCAAGGTCAGCTCTGCTTACCTCACATGGTAACTGCAAATATCAAATGAAATGGAACTCGTGAGAGAACTCTGGAGCCTGTAAAGCTTATCAAAATGAAAGCAATTAGTATCATTACTTTAACACCTTCAAATCCACACACAGAGAATCTATTTCATCAGTTGCATTTGCCTGGGAAGAATATTTCCTTTTCAAAGTAGAGGATTTTAGTCAGTGTTGTCAGAATATAAGCAGAGTGAATACAAAGATTTATTTTGCCAGCTTCTGAACTTCCCAAGAGAATAATTCTCAGTAGTAAGAGTTGCTAAAACAGCATGTGAGGTCACCTGCTCTTAGCAACAATTGGTAAAGAAAGAAGTAGCCCAGCATTCTCCTAGAGGACCGGTGCTCACAATGGGGCCCTGCAACTGCAATGGGTAATTTTTCATGCAACCTGCAGCCACTGAGCCCCTGCTTCTGTATTAGTTTAGTCAGTTCTGTTCGCTCCTTCAGAGCATGTATTAGTTGAGTGGCTTGTCTTGTTAAAAGGATGGCTGCAAAGGTGAATCTAGTTGCAATACAAAAATCGTAGTCCTTAAGACTTTCCTATATCCTATTTCTGCTTCCAATTTCCTATTTCTGCAACTTTATTCCTTCCAGATTGCAGCAAGCTCACAGAGCAACTCCTCACCTATTCTCTTCTCCCAGTGTGGTCTCTCCGAAAAATCCTACCCATGAAAGAGAAAAACCCACAAAAGGTGTCATCTCCATAAATGCAGCATGCTGCTGTTTGCAGATTTTTGGAAAATGTTGAATTCAACTTCTCTTTCAAAATATGACTGAGAAAACATCATAGTAAGCTAATTGACAGCTGACTTCCTATTCTTCTTGCTGCAAGCTTAAGAGGGCTTTTATAAAGCAACAGTGAAGGAAATGCAAACTATATCAAGATTAGAATGGCTTACGAAAACTCTGCTTTTATTTACATATATTTACTGAGTCTCTATTTTCCCCTTTCCACTCTTGGGAAATACTGATGATCAGTGCTGGTGCCTGAATGGGAATTGGTGTGACAGGTCTGGAGGGGACAGGCTGAGGGCTGGGCTTAATCAGAATGGATTGGCAGGTGGCCTTGTGCACCACGCTGGTGATGGGGTCTGTTGTTATAGAAACCAGATTCCTCCGGGAGCACACAGGTAGGGGCAACAGGTCTTTGGGAACAGAGTGCAGATAGTAAACCCTGGAACAGTGCTGCAAAATTCAGTGCAGGCTGACAGGCAGACTCATGCACAATGCAACTGAGCATGACAGTCAAGCACATAAGAGAGACCAGCACTCTGTGTTCAGGGTTGAAGCTCTGTCTTTCCTTCCTCCAGGCAGATGTCGGTTAGCAGGTGTGCTCTGCCCTCTCCTCACCAAGGCAGAGCTTTGCAGGTGCTTGTGATTATGGAGCCAGCAAGAGTTAGGTCTTCTGGGAGCCTTTCAGCGGTACTAATGTCAGTTACTTGTGGGTTCCTATTTTTTTACAGTCAATTAACTGGAGTTTCACACAGTGTTACGAAAAACATGGATCCATGTGAGTTGCCTTCCTCTTCCTGCTCTGAATCTCTCTCTCACACACACAAACACACACACACACACATCCACAGGGTAACACAAATACAAGTAACAACCTTGACACACACTCTTACATAGGCCCATCCTCATCAACCTCCCCTTCATGGACCCACCTTCATAGGTATTTACATTTCTCAGGTTAGAGAAGGCTTGTATTTCAGAGAATAGAGCTCACCTGTGTTTTTAAACATTTCAGCTAGCAGGTAGACGTTTATTTTGATGTAAGGTGGTTGTCAGGCTTGCAGAAATTTGGGTTTGAAGTAATGAAGCTCCATCTCTTTTCAAAACAGCTAAACTGCCTTGGTTATGATTGTTTGTTTTTTAACTTCCCTGAGAGTTTTCATGGTGTGTGGTTTCAAAATAGCCCTGTCAGAGACTCTGAGGTCGACACTTGCTTGCTCACCAGTTTTTCCAGGATATAAGAAATGTGTAGGCCGCCAGACGGGAATAAACCTGGCCAGGGTGGCCTTGTTTTAAGGTGTCTGTGGACCAAGAACCTTTCTGCTCTGTGCCTCTGGACGAAGAATCTTGACATCAATTGCCAGTAAGACTCTCCCAGCCCAGACACCTCATGTTAGAAGTACCCAGTAGGGTTCGTTAACCCATGACTTTGTAAAGACAGCAAAAAAGGCCAACAGAGAGTGATTGACTCCAACTCTGAAATGAGAAGTATGTACAGTTTATTGCACAGGTAACCAGAACACATTTCTGCGTCCCACAAGCCATAAATAATATATAGTTCTAGAATCAATTTCCACGGTCTTTTAACCAAGGACTTGTCTGTAGGCAAATATCTCTATCTGATCCTGTTCAGATCTTTGTTCCTTTCCCTGTTCCAGTTCTCATATATTTGATGCCCTCTTCAGCGTCTCTTTCCATTTAAGTTCTGAGCCCGTTTATGTGGATGGAGCAGAGATACTGCTATGTGTTCGCCCAAGTCCTACTTCTGAGCACAAAGGAAAGCTCATTTCCGAGCTTCCCAGCCACTAGATGTCATTGACTGAGCCCTGCCAGTGAAGTGCTAGGCTGGTGATCAAGGCCACTTCCATGAATGCATGGAGCAGAGCCTTCCTCACGCCTCCCTCATACAGCCATACCCGACTGTGATGGGCGAGGAGCAGATCCTTCCTCACGCCTCCCTCATACAGCCATACCCGACTGTGATGGGTGAGAAACAAACCTTTATTGTGTTACTCTAGCGAGATCTGGAGATAGTTTGTCACAACACTCAGAATAGACTCTTACATCACGGTTGGAAATACTAACTTTGAGGAATTCTTAGTTTGTCTGTCTACTATAGCTCAAAGTTCAGACTTTGAGAATATTTCTTGTTGACCATAGATGTGCCCAGAACTGCTCTGATCTAATGCAATGCTTATTGTCTGGTGTTCCAAGAATGGCTTCTCTGTATGCAATGCTTGAGTTATCTATTTTTTAATATGCTACCTGAGTTTCATTGCATAGCAGGGGTTTAAGTTATGTAGCTTAATGATGGAGTTATGTTCTGAGAAATGTGTCATTAGGCAATTTTGTCATCGTGCAAGCTTCAAAGAATGTACTTACACAAAGCTAGATGGTGTAGCCTACTGCACACCTAGGCTATATGGTGTAGCTTATTGCTTCTAGGTTGCAACAGCATGTTACTGTACTGAATGAATACTGTAGGCAATTGTAACACACTAGTGTTTGTGTATCCAAACATTTCTAAACAAAGAAAAAATACAGTAAAAATATAGTACAAAAGATATAAAGTAATACACCTACATAGGACACTCAACACGAATGGAGTTTGCAGGACCAGAAGTTGCTCTGTGTGAGTTAGTGAGTGATGAGTGAATGTGAAGGCCTAGGACATGACTGTACACTATCGTAGACTCTATAAACACCTAGTGTACACCTAGGCTACACTAAACTCATTAAAAATTTTTCTTCAATAATAAATTAACCTTAAAAATTAAACTATAACTTTTTTTTTTTTTTGAGACAGAGTCTTGGTCTGTCGCCCAGGCTGGAGTGCAGTGGCACCATCTCAGCTCACTGCAACCTCTGCCTCCCGGGTTCAAGCAATTCTCCTGCCTCAGCCTCCTGAGTAGTGGGGATTACAGACACCCACCACCACACCTGGCTAATTTTTGTATTTTTAGTAGAGATGGGGTTTCACCGTGTTGGCCAGACTGGTCTCGAACTCCTGACCTCACGATCCACCTGCCTCAGCCTCCCAAAGTGCTGGGATTACAGGTGTGAGCCACCGCACTCAGCCAACTATAACTTTTTACTTTATAAACTTTTAAATTTTTTGAAAGTTTTGAACCTTTTGTAATAACACTAAGCTTAAAACACAAACACTCTATGGCTGAACAAAAATATTTTCTTTCTTTATATCTTTATTTTGTAAGCTTTATTCTAATAAAAATTTTTAAATTGTCTTTTACTTTTTAAACTTTTTTAAAAACTAAGACACACACACATTAGCCTAGGCCTACGCAGAGTCAGGATCATTAATATCACTGTCTTCTACCTCCACATCTTGTCCCACTGGAAGGTCTTTGGGGCAGTAACAGGATGGAGCTGTCATCTCCTATGATAACAATGCCCTCTTCCGGAATACCTCCTGAAGGACCTGCCCAAGGATGCTTTACAGTTAATTTTATTCCTTTATAAGTAGAAGGAGCACAGTCTAAAATTGCAATAAAAAGGATAGCATAGTAAATACATAAATCAGTTACACAGTCGTTTATTATCATCATCCAGTATTATGTACTGTACATAATTGTATGTGCTACACTTTCATATGACTGGCAGTGCAGTAGGTTTGTTTACACCAGCATCACCACAAACACATGAATAATGCATTGTGTACTACGTTATGACGGCTACTTCACTAGACAAGAGGAATTTTTCAGCTCCAGTATAATCTTATGAGACCACCATAGTATATGTGATCTATTGTTGGCTGAAACATCGTTATGCAAAGCATGACTATATTAATAGTTCATAGCATTTTGGTACACACAATGTGAAGAATTCTTCCCCATTGCACAAAATTCACTCACCCCTGGTTCTTCTCTGCTTAGCAGTATCAAACGTTCTCCAAGCTCAGACTTACTTGTTCCCATCTTGGCATGTGAGCCACATATACCTATAGGCAAGCCTGGAAGATATCAGCCTTCTTGGACCTCCCATGGAAGATCCCTGCTATACATCTTCAGCAGCTGCACACCATCAGGACAAGTTCTTCATAGTGAGACATCGTCAGCTGCCCATAAACTGAGACCACTTCTAGACCCAATAGGTTTAGGAACAGCTCACTTACTTTTGAGAACTGGCAAAAAGGACAAATATGGATCAGTGAACAGAGCATGGGATTAGGTTGTGACCTGCATTTTAGTTCAGGCTCTCCCACTAACTTGCTGGGTGACTTTGGACAAGTGGAAACTTCCCTTGGCCTATGTTCCTTGTTTTCTCATCTTAATATACAGATAATAAATATTACTTTCTCTGGCTAACCTGTCAGGGCCCTTTAATTGTTACAAAACAAAAATGTATAGCATACATAGAAACATGGAAAAATTACAGTGGGAAAAAATATTAAAAATTATTTTAAGAAAGCTCATTTATAATCAGATAGTTATGTGTTATGGGCTAATCAGACCTCTGCCAGAAAGAGTTGCTTTTTGAAAATGGACATTATTTTCTTGGGGTCTGTTTGACAGTTTTCCCACCTTAGTGCACATATGAAACTGGAACAATGATCTGTGAGTAAGAAAGACATCATCAGTTTTCTGGATAGCTTGTTAGATTAGAGGTCTTGGTCAGTTAGTACTGCATTCCAAATGTCTACTCAACAGCATTAAAGTCAAGTTGGCCTATAATGAAAACTATTAAAACCAAGATTGGACAATTCCATGTCTATGAATTTATCTTATGAGTAGATAAATATGAGAAATGACACACATAAGAGGATATTCACTGTTTGGAACAACAAAAGAGTAAAAACATCTATATTTGCACATAAGGGGGACTGGTTAAGCCAACTACGGAAATCTGTGCTCTAGGAAAACGTATAGCTCTATGAATGCTGGAACTCTGATACACTGATATGGAGCATTCCCCAAGAAATTTCATTAAGTTAAAATGCAAATTGCAGAACAGTGTGTAACATACAATACCATTTGTGTCAAAAATTTTTAAAACATGTATTTGCTAGAGAATGCGTAAAATATCTCTGGAAGAATATGAAAATGCTGTTTTTATTGTTTGCCTCTGAAGAAGAAACTGCATTAGCTAGGAAAAGATTATGAAGGGGCCATTTGTGTTTTTTACATTTAAAATCATATGAATATATTAACTATTCAAAACAAAGCAAAAATAAAATCAAAAGCATGATTAGATCCAGTTCCTTTTTTACAGTGATTGGGTAATTGTAGTAAATATCATAAAATGTACTATTTTAACCAGTTTTTAGTGTACAGTTCGGTGGTGTTTACTACATTCACACTGTTGTGAAGCCATCACCACCATCCATCCATGTCCAGTTTATTTTTGATCCAAAGCTGCTGCACATTTCCATAGAGGACAAGAAACTTGTGCTTCCCTCCCCAGGAGGAAAAACTAGAATATTTCTGACAGCTTCTCTATCCTTTGCTCCCCTCTCCAAGGGTAGGTGAATGACTAAGCTGATGATTTGGAAGAAGGACTGAGGTTTAGCCTTTTCTGGGTTTTCTCTTTCACAGCATCTTGCTTCAGGACACATACATTTTCTGCTCCTCTAACCAGTAAACTTACTTAGGCAGATCTTCCCTCTGCACTGGAAGGCCTGCAGATCTGAGAAGGTGAGGACAATTTGGGAAGAAGGTGTGGGAAGCTCATTTGGGGTGGCTCAGAAAGGTAAGCCCTAATGTGTCCAAGACTGATTCTCACTCATCAGCCTTCTAGAAAAGGAGCTGGATGCAAAGCTCCTTGGAAATGAATTATAGCTGTGGGTGGAAGGCAGCCAATCCCAGTGAATCCCAAGGGTTGGACCTAGCCTCCTGAGCAGGCCAGGAGAAAGGCAGTGGCTTCCCAATCATGAATGCTGGGGGAACAGGTCATGCTAATGTGAACCCAGAAAATTTGAGACAGGTCTCAGTTAATTTAGAAAGTTTATTTTACCAAGCAAGGTTGAGCACACGTGCCTGTGACAGCCTCAGGAGGTCCTGACATGTGCCCAAAGTTGTCAGAGCACAGTTTGGTTTTATGCATTTTAGAGAGACATGAGACATCAATCAGCATATGTAAGATGAACATTGGTTTGGTCTGGAAAGGTGGGACAACTCAAAACAGGGAGCGAGTTTCCAGGTCATAGGTAGATATGAGACAAATGGTTGCATTCTTTTGAGTTTCTGATTAGCCTCTCCAAAGGAGGCAATCAGATATGCATTTATCTCAGTGAGCAGAGGGATAACTTTGAATAGAATGGGAGGCAGGTTTGCCCTAAGCAGTTTCCAGCTTGACTTTTCCCTTTAGCTTAGTGATTTAGGGAGCCCAAGATATTTTTCCTTCACACTGTGAAGTTGCCACAGTACACAGCAGCAATGGCCAGGCATAGACCTAGCTTTCTGGTTATGCAATGGGAGGAGCTCATGTTCCTCCAGCCACAATCCCTGAGCTGCCATGCCAGAACCTTATATTATCCTTATACTGTACTGTGACCTCTACTTACTCCAGAGGAGGGCTTGGCATTTCTTTATTAATGCAGCTTTAAAATTTCTCAGCCCAAAGGGCAGAGTCCCTTTCCTGAAAGTTGATGTCTGATTCCACCGATCACTTTGTTCTTCTTTAGAAGGCAGTGGGCACTGGGGATCCACACACCTGCTGCTATTCTTGTCTTTGTGGTCTCCCCCAGGAATATTGCCCCAACAGAGCGAGTGTGTCTGCTGTCTGGTTGTTTACTGTGTGTATATGACAATTTCCAAGCCAGTGCTAGTAGTAATAAAGTTGACGTTTTCATCTTTAGTCTCCTGTATCTAAATCTCTAAAGGTTCCAAATTCAGGGAGTGGAGATAGAGGACTGACTTATCATCACCTGCTTAAACACTAAGAATTTTTTCATTAAATTGCTAAACTATGACTTTGGCTACCACCTGCTCTTGTAGAGTTTCCCTCAGTTATTTCAGAAAATCCCCTATGACAGACTCTTATGTTTAATAATGATACTTCATGCCCTTGCCACTACTGCCTGTGGTCCCAAGGGATCACTGCCCTGTGGCGCATGGTGACATGTATGATGCTTTTACCATTCAGGCCTCAGGAAAGGGCTCTGCTCTGCCCTTCACCACCAGGACCCAAACATGTCCCAGGCATGTTCTTCTCTCCCTACCACCTTGCTTAGGCCAGGCTGAAAGTGAATTGAAATGGACTCAAGGGTTGGGGAAGCACAAGAAGAGAACTTAGAGAACTTAGATGTGATTTCTCTGAATCTGCAGGCCAACCCACTGCCTTCTGCCTAAATGTTGACCTGCTTACAAAGTACACGCTCATGCCCACCACTGAAAGTACTCAAAGCCTGATCAGGCTCATCACCAGAGGCCCACAGAAAGAGATGAGTTTCTCCTCCTCTCTAGTCTGTAGTCTACCTTCTCAATCCTTACTTCCTGTCATAGGATCTACTTCTTCCCAGGGCAATTGACAGTGGTGATGTTCACTCCTTTCAAGAGAAACACCACCCTCCGTCTATTGGGGTTTTACATGTTCCTCTGTGCCCCACTCCCTACCAGGCAATTGAATGATAACACATTGGTCTAATAATGGTACTTTCTAGGCTAATCTCCAGCCTCTTGGGGTAATAGTAGCTGCATTTTAGAAAGTAGTATTTATTTTACATTTTCGTACTGTAGACTTCTTGAGATGATATCCCTAAAAACAGAAGTCTTTATCTTTCTAGTTTAAATTTCTATATTTTGAATGACTGAAAACTACTTGTGGCTTTAAATGTTCTGTTTGTCCAGGCTGTATTAACTAAGTTCCAAAAAATCTCAACCTGGATACCGCATTACATGCTAATCACATGCTAATCCAAAGTCTTTAACATCACTTGCAAGGCATAACCTATTTGGGCTTATCCCACCAACACATATGAATGCATCTCCCATCATCTCAAACACACATATCTCTCCTCAGATCCAGGCACAGTCCTCCCAGGAGAAGCTACACTTGCACCTTTACTCATGCCACCCTCCTATCTGGAATCCTCCTCATCACTCGAAATTTCCCCCATTTGATGAAGTCTTTTAATTTATTCCTTTGGATTCCTACAAGGCACTTCTCATCCATCCAACCCATCCACCTACTCAACAGGAGCGCATTGAAGTCCTAGAGTATGCAAGATGCTATGCTGACTCTATGGGGTTTCCATAAATGTATAACACACAGGGCCTCCCCTAAAGAGTTTATAATTTTGTAATAAAGTATAGAAACAGCAAAGTCATGTTTCCCTTCAAGAATACCTCACATTTCTTTTCTCACCTCAAATCTTTATTACTCCTTCTCCTGTGCCCCATCCCCGATAGTCAGAATAGTCATTTTGTGATTCCAAATTCTCTCCATGTTGTATAGAGAAAATGGATCAGGCAAAGGCTTCCATTCAAACTCTAGATCATTCTGCAATTATCCCCATTCTTTCCTGCAATATCAGTTTTTCCTTGCTAGTGGTTCATTTCCATTTGCAAATAAATATGCTTAATATTATTCATTAAAAAACCAAAACCAAATTCACCCCTTGGACCCACACCTCCTCCAGCTCCTACCACCCTTTTCTGTTCTTCTTTGCAGCCATACTTTCAAGCAGGATGAATATATCCACTGTCATTGCTTCCTTTCTCTTTTTCTTTTCCTTTTCTTCTTCTTCTTCTTTTTTTTTTTTTGAGACAGAGTCTTACACTGTTACCCAGGCTGGAGTGCAATGGCGTGACCTCGGCTCACTGCAATCTCTGCCTCCCAGGTTCAAGCGATTCCCCTGCCTCAGCCTCCTGAGTAGCTGGGATTACAGGCATGCACCACCATGCCTGGCTAATTTTGTATTTTTAGAAGAGACGGAGTTTCACCATGTTGGTCAGGGTGGTCTCGAACTCCTGACCTCAGGTCATCTGCCCACCTCGGCTTCCCAAAGTGCTGGGATTACAGGTGGGAGCCACTGCACCCGGTCCATTGCTTCCTTACCTCCAAGACTATCCTAAATTCTCTCCAGAGTTGTTCATCCACCACTCTAAGAAAATGGCACATGTCAGAGTCACCAATGGCTGAGGCTTTTGACCAACCCCACCTTTGACTTTCTTGACCTCTGCTATGGTTTGGATGTGGTTTGTCCTCACTAAAACTTATGTTGAAGTTTAACTGCCAGTTCAGTTGTATTGGGAGATGGGGCCTAGTGGGAGGTGTTTGTCTCATGGGAGCAAATCCCTCATGAATAGATTAATGTCGTGGGTAGGTTCTCACTCTCTTAGGAATGGATTAGTTCCTGCAATAGCAGGTTGTTATAAAGTGAGATTACTCCTCCTGCATGGCCTCTTTGTTTGCATGTGCTTTCTTCTGCTCTGCATTCTGCCATGAGTTATAGAAGCATAAGCCCCTCACCAGATACAGCTGCCCAATCTTGGACTTTCCAGCCACCAGAACCATGAGCTAAATAAACTTCTTTCTTTATAAATTACCCAGATTCAGGTATTCTGTTATAGCAACATTAAATGAACTAAGACAACCTCCCAGCTGGGCTTGGCCTGACTGACTCCCCTTCTTCCATGGAATCCTTTATCAAGGTTTCTGGGCTACCACCTGCCTAGTTTCCCTCCTATGGCATTGCCTGCTGCTGCTTGGCCCTCTTTGCTGATTCTGTTTTTATACTAAATTTCTAAATGTTGAAGACCTCAGAGCTTTGTCAGGAATCCTCTTCTCTTCTTTTCCTTCTCTATAAACTCTTACCTTAGGAATCTTCACAGTCTCTTAAAGTTATGCACTAATTATACCCAAAACTTACATGTCCAACCCAGAACTCTTGAGCTCCAGACCCATTTATCCAACTGCCTACATCCATTAAGATGGTAAATGGACATTTCTAGCTTAACCAAGCCAAAAAAGCCCTATTAATTGCCCCCTACATTACATCTCCCCAAACAACAACAATCATTTGCTCCATGTCAAGTCTTTCCTATGTTATTAAGTGATGACACTTGCCAGGAGCAGGTCCAGGTTTTATGGTCCTGAAGCTTAAACAATTTGGGGAGCCCTCTTTCACATAAAAAATACAAAATTTAAATACATATTTAGTATGAAAGTATTTGTTTAGTCTGAGAAAAGGAAACTACAATGAATTACAAATTTTTAATTACTGAAAAATACCACAATAATCACAAAGTCAAGCAAGATAAAATTAAATTTTATTAATTACCTGCCTGACAACTCTCTATAATACCTATAATACTTCTTTCCTACCCTTTGGCTGCTTGCTCTTTGATTGCCTTTTTGTGTTACAACAATTTTATAATATGTTCTATAGCAAGAAAAGGATAAAAATTTAGATCACGTCTCTTGCAAGGTTAATAAAAAATTCATTTAAAAAAATTATGGATAGTTTCAAAACATTAATTTTAGCTTCACAACTCCCTACTGGCATTATTTAAATAAAACATACTTAAGACTAGATAGTTGCACACTTTGGACTGATCAGAACTGTGTCAATAAGAGTTGTTCCTTGAAAATGGACCTCATTTTAAGAAGGTTTATTTGGCAGTTTTCAGTGCCTGGGGCATGTATGGTGATATGGAAAAATGGCCCATGAGTAGGGTCCATATCACTGCTTATCCAGGTAGATTTTCAGACTGGAGTTCTTGATCACTTAGTGTGTCGTCCAAAATATCTGCCCAGCACTTCAGTTTATGTTTTTTTTTTAAAATATGTCATAGACATGATTAAGCAATTCCACCTCTAGAATTTATTCTACAGGTAGATTATTTTTCTTTCTTCACACTGCATATGCAACCCATCAGCAATTCTCGTTGGCTTTTTCTCCAAATGCTTTCCTAAATTGAGTTCTTCTTATCAGCCTCAGTGTTGTCCCCTGTTCTAAGCTGCAGTCACTTCCCTCGTGGATGACAGCAGTAGTCTATAGCTATCTTGCAACTTGCTAGCTTATTTTTACTTCCCTATCATCCACTGCCCCTACCTCACAGCACCCAGAAAGATATTTCTAAAGCAAAACTCAGCTCTTGTCATTCTCCTGCTTAAAACCTCAGATGGCTTTGAATCATGCTGAAAATAATGTGCAGCTCCCTCAGGGCCTCATAAATATGGCCTTGCCCATTTCTGGACCTCACTTTCTTCCACTCTTCCCCTTGGTCATCATGCTCCAGCCCCACAGATCCTCTTTCTGCCACTCAAACATGCCAAGCTTATTTCCAACAGGACCTTTGCACATGCTGTTCCTCCCACTTACAACATGCCTGACCAGCTCTGCAAAACAACTATGCTCATCCTTCAGGCTCAGGTTAGGCAGCCCCTCTCACAGGGGCCTCTCTCATTGCCTTATCTCACATAGCACTCTCCCTCCAGGTTTTTACCATATGCTTCCTTTTATAGCATTTTTTTTTTAGTATCAAGAAGTATCACATTGTATATATTTTTATACATTTTTGTCTCTACGAGAATATTGGCCCTCAAACTGAGATACACAGGCCTCCTGAGGTACATGAGGCCTTTTAAGGATATAAGGGTATAAAGAATCAGTTTTAAGGGAATCTTTTTCCAGATACCTAATTTCCGTATGAAATTTACCTGCAATGGAGACATTACGCTGGTTCTCCATTTCCCATTCCCCTGTCACAGTCGTGCTTCTCTTATGAACATGCCACTCACTCAGCCTGAACTTACTGTGGGTATAAAAAAGTCTAGGGCTGGAAAAATGGGGCAATTAAAAATAAAATATTTCAAAAGTAAATGACTTTAATGACAGGATTTTAAAAAAATCTTTTCCCAAGCATTATGGTGTTTCCCAAGCATTATGGTGTTTAATGATTTGCTTCAGGAAAATTAAAAGAGGGCCAAATATTTTTTTCAAAGATCATTAAAAATTACTTTAACATGGATCACTATGTGATTTTCTGAATATAACTTAGAAGGCACTCAAATGATTAAGTGGCATTGAGAAAGCAAAATGTTTTCCATCTAATTTCCTTCTAATTATTTATGTAAACCAAGTTTCTTAATGCTTATATTTATAAAAACAAAACTGAGAAATAGAATTGATGTTGAATCCTCTTATTCTAGCAATAAGTGATATTTATCCATAAATATACAAACCAACTGTAAAAACAGTCCTGTTAAGTTTCAGTAAGAAAGGACTATTCAATAAAATTTTATTTCTTATGTTTAATAAGTACTCACTAAAATTTATAATACAGTTCTGTTGTTTTGATCAATCAGGTTTTAATATCTATTGTATGTTAACTGAATCCCGATGAAAATTTTAACACTAAGAACTTTACAGTCACAAGAATAAAAATAATGAATTTCAATTGACAGAAGTATATTTGTTCAAGATAACTATCAACAAAAGAACTTTCAAATTTAAAAATATATTAGGATGAAATTATACAGAAGAAATGGAATGGAAATACCAGTCAAGAGAGAAAAGGAACAAATTAAAATTTGCGATTATTAAAATGAACTTTTCATACTTTTTTTTAAATGAATAATGTTCATATAAATAAGAAGAATTGGTTGGACATACAAAATGCTAGAAACCCAGCTTCCAAAATTGCATCCAGAGGGTCAAGTGTTATTAGGGACTTTATAGACTTTTCCATCTCAGTAGGAACAGAAAACTTTTATTACATATACTTCCGTGTGATTATCACATGTCCAACTCCGGTGTGTTTTCCAACACTTTATGTAAGCAAGCAGGGGCTGCCTGAACTGTCCTTCAACTCCACAGGGCCTGCTTGTATGCTAGTCACTCAGTGGTGACAGTCATAAGATTAAAGCAAACAAACAAACAAATGAAAAATGTTCTATCTCAGCCAGATTGTAGGCAGGAAGGCTCTTTTAACTCAGAGAGGGATTTCTTCTAGGAAAACTAGATGGGAAGCCCACTCCCCTCATAAGAAAGAGAAAGACAAACAACCTTTGTTTTTTTTTTTTTTTTTTTGAGACGGAGTCTCACTGTCGCCCAGGCCGGAGTGCAGTGGCGCGATCTCTGCTCACTGCAAGCTCCCCCTCCCAGGTTCACGCCATTCTCCTGCCTCAGCCTCCTGAGTAGCTGGGACTACAGGCGCCCGCCACCACGCCCGGCTAATTTTTTTTTTTTTTTTTTTTTTTTTTTTTTTGGATTTTCAGTAGAGACGGGGTTTCACCATGTTAGCCAGGATGGTCTCAATCTCCTGACCTCGTGATCCGCCCTCCTCAGCCTCCCAAAGTGCTGGGATTACAAGCGTGAGCCACCGCGCCCGGCCAACAAACAACCTTTTCTTTGCTTGAGATGTGGTTTTCTGGAATCAGAGTAAGAGTAAAAAATGGCTTCAATAGACAAAGATTCCTGTCAACTAATTGCCATAGAATATAAGACTTAGATCAGCTGCTCAAAGCAAATGAATTTTTAAGTGGCTTTATGGCCCTAAAGCATTCGGTCACCTAGGGGTACAGCCTTGTATGAGTCTATTCTTGCATTGCTATAAAAAGATATCTGAGACTGGGTGATTTATAAAGAAAAGAGGTGTAATTGGCTTACAGTTCTGCAAGCTGTACAGGATGCAGAGCGGCTTGTCAGGAGGACTCAGGAAATTTTCAATCACGGTGGAAGGTGAAAGAGAAGCAGGCACATCTTAGATGGCCGCAGCAAGAGCAAGATAGAGAGCAGGGAGGTGCTACACGCCTTTTTTTTTTTTTTTTTTTTTTTTTTTTTTTTTTTTTTTGAGACGGAGTCTTTCTGTCACCCAGGCTGGAGTGCAATGGCGCCATCTCTGTTCACTGCAAGCTCCGCCTTCCGGGTTCACGCCATTCTCCTGCCTCAGCCTCCCGAGTAGCTGGGACTACAGGCGCCAGCCTCCACGCCTGGCTAATTTTTTGTATTTCTAGTAGAGACGGGGTTTCACCGTGGTCTGGATCTCCTGCCCTCGTGATCCGCCCGCCTCGGCCCCCAAAGTGCTGGGATTACAGGCGTGAGCCAACGCGCCTGGCCCGCTACAAGCTTTTAAACAACCAGATTTTATGAGCACTCACTCATTATCATGAGAGCAGCACAAAGCGGGAAATCTGCCTCCACGATCCAGTCGCCTCCCACCAGGCCCTTCCTCCAACATTGGAGATTACAATTCAACATGGGATTTGGGCAGGGACACAGATCCAAACCATATCAAGCCTGCACTCATTTATCCTGCAGGTGTCACCTTTGTTCTGACTAACCATTCTAGCAGTGACTACACAAGTGGCCTGCATCATTTCCCGACTTTAAAACTGCTCTCATTAAACTGTGCTTTGGTGTTTTGTCATCAGGATGTTATAAGAAACAATCCCATGAAATCCATTAATTCATTGTCACATTTATTGTAGGAATATGGTTGAGGGTGTGAATCACCATTTTACACAGCATCTTCCTTACAAGCAGCCCAAGGTAGAATTTTTTTTCAAGTATCATAATCGGGAATATAGTTTTATTTCTTCTGAGCATCTGGGTGAGTTTTAATCTTGTGGACACTCTGGCCAACATGACTAAGCAGCTTTTGCCCTGTACTGATGGCTGTGAAGTTTGAGTAGACGGATCAGCCTGTACCAGCAAGTATCCTGGAATTCATGGCAAACATTTTTGTGAATGTGTGCTCACTTGACTACTAGCTTCATTTTTTTCTTCACTATTTTTTTTTCACCCTACTTTTCTCATATACTGAATTAATCAGGACCTTCAGCCAGGTCAGAAACTCAACATAATTGAAAAAAAAAAAAGAGAGAGAATCTATGATATCTACTAAGAAATCCCAGGAATCAATCTAGCTTCAGCCATGGCTGGATCTGGGAACTAAAAAACAAACAAAATGAAAAAATCTCACATTTCAGCTATAAGCTGTCTCTCTCTCCATCTCAGAGCTCTTCTCTCTTCTGTGTTGACTCCATTCTCAGATTCCTGCCTCCCTGCCCGGGGGCTCTGGCAGCACCAGGCTATTGTCCTACAGTTAGAAGTGCCAGCGGAGGCCGGGTGTAGTGGCTCGCACCTGTAATCCCAGCACTTTGGGAGGCCAAGGAGGGCAGATTACGTGAGGTCAGGAGTTTGAGACCAGTCTGGGCAACATGATGAAACCCCATCTCTACTAAAAATACAAAAATTAACCACGTGTGGTGATGGTGCATTTCTGTAGTCCCAGCTACTCAGGAGGCTGACACATGAGAATTGCTTGAATCCAGGAGGCGGAGGCTACAGTGAGCTGAGATCGAGCCACTGTACTCCAGCTTGGGGGACAGAGGGAGGATCTGTCTCAAAAAAAAAAAAAAAAGTTCCAGTGGAAGAAGAGCTTCTCTTTCCCCATCATTTTGACAAAGTCCCCAGGATTGAGTTTCTGTGAGTCACTTGGCCAAGCCACTGCGACCAGATGGATGGAATTTACCGATAGGGCAGGTGTGGATTACATGCCTTCACTCAGAGCTTGTGATGAAATGGTACCAGTTCCACCTGAGAGGTAGATCATTTCCCCAGAGAAAATAATAAGGGTAAAATGGATATGAGGCAGGCAAAACCACAACCCACCGTGTCCATTTACATTCAATTTTAACTTTTAAACTGAAGCATATACACTTTTATAAGCCCCTTATAAACTTTTTAGAACAAAGTGAACCATTGAAAAATAAATGGGAAATCAAATCGTAATTTGTCAGTTGCTTACGGAGAATAAAATCAGAACAAAGGAATTTGTGTGTATGGTTCAAGTATTTTATGGCTTTGGGCTCTTAAGGGCTGAATCATCTGTCAGTGCAACTAGGAACAGATAAATCACATCTGTGGGTCAGCCCTGGAGACAAATTGCAGGTGCTTGCTTCCTGCACTTTCCTTTTATACAGCTACTGTTGTCCAGCTATTCTGACCCCTCTTGGTTATGATAATACTATTCACTCTGTGCTGTTTCAGACAAGCCAATGTTGCTAGAATTCCTGGGCCTTGCTGCTTCAGACCTGAAAGGCAATCTGTCTTTTATTTGTCTTTGTATATATTTTGTCACATCAATCACGGACTGAATTTATATTTAACTCCGAGAGCTTGAGGGGTAGGGAGGATGCTGTTGAACCAATTAAACACTTACAATGGAGACGAAAGATTACTCTTTTCTTTTTACAAATGTTGTATGCCAGAGGCAAGTTGGAAGGTTGAATGCCCTTAGTTGCTAGTGGTGATAGGGCAGGCTTTGCCACCAATTGGCTAGCAGTCTAAGATAGGGAGTGGTAGAAATGAATAAAACAATTACACTGGATTTGTGCTGTACTCTCAGAATATAGGAAAGTGTCACTCGAGCAGTTTCTCTAGAAATCATGAAGAAGGCAGTGTAATTAACATTCAGATTCAACTATCTGCTAATATCTTCACAGTGTCTCAGGGGACAAACATTTCTTGGACTCCTATAGAAGGATACTGCTAGAATTAACATTAGCACTTGTATTTCATTGTTACGAGGTTGGCTGGATCTTTACTCTTCTCTGCCTCCTTTCCTCCACCTGGGAAGGGGAGAAATTAGGGATAACAGGATTCCTCATTGTCAGTTAACACCAGAGAGCTTCACGATAACCCTGAGCATGGAAGGGACAAACAGTCCCTGAGCTCCATAAGTCCAGAGTTATTATTTCACAAGAATGAGGACCAAAGTTCTGTTCAGATGGGAATAGGATCTGCTCACATAGGCTACTGGGGTATTACCAGAAGAAAACAAGTCCTCTTACTGGTGAATAGTGTCAGATTTTAAAATATTAAGGAGGAAGCTAACGGTAACCTGAAATGGAAGTCTGTCTTTTCTGTCCCTCTACCTTCACTCCGTTCTCATTCAGCCGCATCCTCTCCCCTCATCCATGGAAACCAGAACTCATGCTCCCAACCTCACCTTCTACTCTGCAAGATCAGCATGGATTGGCCAGAAGAAAGAGAGAGCTGGGGAGAGGGAGGCATCCACCATGAGGCCCCAGGTCCCCGCAGGCTGTAAGGACTGCAAGGTGATTAGAGGATGGGGGGACCAGAAGGACAAGGCATGGATAACTCTCTTCTTCATCACATCCTTGCTTATCACTGCTTGTTCTACTTGGGATCTTTTTTGGTTTTCTTTTTTTAGGGACAGGGTCTCACTCAATCACCAGGCTGGAGTGCAGTGGTGTAATCATAGCTCACTGCAGCTTTGAACTTTTGAGCTCAAGTGATCCTCCCCACACAGCCTCCTGAGTAGCCTGGGACTACAGGCACACACTACCACAGCAGGCTAATGGTTTTGTTTTTATTTTTATAGAGACCGAGTCTCTTATTCTCCTCAGGCTGATTTCAAACTCCTGGTCTCAAGCAATCCTCCCGCCTCAGCCTCTGGAAGTGCTGGGATTTCAGGTGTGAGCCACTACACCCAGCCTTTAGTTGGGACCTTTAAGGCAACTAACTGAAAGTTTTAGAAAAGAACTACATAGCTTCTTTGATGTCCAATATGGGTTTGTTTTAGGAAAATGGGGCACGGGCATCGAATGAGCATCAGCAGCTCCCTTCCTGTGTCTCGGTAGAAACAGGATCCAGGAAGCCAGGATTGTCTGTCCAGAAAATAGCTCTGTTCCAACAGTTTCTACTTCCCAAATGGCTCCCTAGAGTCACATGGTGTGGGAGAGAAGAGGAAAGATGGCTAAGTAGTTTGCTGCATGTCTACCTGTCTGGTCCCATAATGAATTGAACCTTCCTTAAGGAAAAGCTCATTTCTTGTTTGTCCTTCCTGTCTCCCCTCAGGTGGTAACCAGATTCAATATCTTGCCCAGTGAGACTTTGCAATAAATGATTATTAATATTTATGCCAAAATCAAAAAATAACATTTATTGAGCACAGTCTCCCAGATTGGCTTTATGCTAATGGTGGTAGAAGATACAGGACAAAGTATTATAGGTGAGAAATACTGCTCTTAAAGAGTTAAAAAATATAACAAAAATAACAAATCGCATAGACATAAAAAGAAAGCTAACAATTTAAGTCTTTACAGTGAGAAAAGCTTAGAGAGATTCAGTCACATACACAAGGCATATAGATGGTAAGTGATGAAACAAGGATTCTAGCACTCTCCAAAACATCAAAACATTTAGCCAAGGAAGGCAGTAGGGAAGGGATTCTGGGGCATTAACCAAATAGCTCCAGGAAAAAGGTTTCTGAAAAATTAGCATCAAACCTGGACTAGGGTCTGATCTTCTAACTCCTGGTCCAAATTATTGTGAGATCTGGAAATTATTTTTTTTAAGCCAAAGATGTCTGAGTAATAGGCCAAGGTTGACTTTTTCTTATTGAGCTAGCTCTTTCTCAATACTCACCATGGTTAGCAGGTCTTCACACTGTCATTAGTTCTGGCTGACTCTCTTAAATGATGTCTTTAAGTCAACAGGTCAACTGTCTTCAGAAACATGATGAATGAGGGACACAGGAGGCTTCATGCCTGGTTTAAAACTTTCAGGGAGTTGACAGTTTTCAATCAACTTCTCTCTTGTTATCCAAATCTTTATTGGTTTGTTTGTTTTTCTTCCTGGTGATCCTAAGGCACCCAAAATTTAAGCTTCTTAGGCATCCCACAGCAGCTAAGTCTATTAAAACCAGAACCACAAGTAACTAAAACCCAAGACTCAGTGTTGTTAGGGAAAAGCCTCACTGAGAGAGCTGCACTTTGCAGCAGACTTTTTCATCAGTTTGTCCACTCTGCCCACACCCCCTCTTCATAAGAGGGAAGCAGATATGTAGAGATAAGAGGCCATGTGCCTGGGTCGCTGGCAAGAGGGATGTCCTGGTGGCCCAGCTGCTGATGCCAGTGCCCATGGGGCCTGCTGTCCTGTCTGCCCTTGGGTTCCACTTTTCGTCTTAAGATCATTTTAATGGTCCTGAACACAGACATCATTGCTCTTTATCCATTTGTCACTAGAGTCCTTTATTACATTTTGTGAGTTTTCATTTACATCTTTGCTGTACCGCTCTAGGTTTATGAGTTTACTTACCTAATTGGAGTAGTTACTTGGTTTTGCTTTCATGTAATCAGAACAAAATACATTTGGCTTATCCACAATAGAATATAACAGTAAGCCAAAAAGTAAATTGCAAGTATTTGGGGAGATAGGAAAAGATTATCTTCAGTTATAAATCTGAATTCTATCTCTAGTCACAAATTGTGAAGGGGGTTTCCAAATAGCTTTTAAAAAAATTGCTTGTTTCTTTTATTTATACAGGATCACCACATTCCATTATCTTAACTCTTAAAGTCTCTGAACTGGGAATGCCATATGGACTAATTCAATTGTCATTTTACAGATCAGGAAATTGAGTCTCAGAGAGGTTAAATGTCCCATTAGGCTGTTTGGCCCAGGAAAGGTTATTTTAGGCCAGCGCCTCCACCCCTGGCCTTGACATCAGTGGGAAACAGATGTTTCTACATCTCTTCTGTTAGTAGGAATTTCCCTAATTGCTTTGGGCAGGGGATCCCATCTTTGATGCAAGTCTTTAGGGACAAATGGGGGTCTTTTCCTTGCCAACAACTCATTTCTGTGTGATAGGATGTTGTGAAGTACTGACTGAGGTTTTTCCTGCTCTTGACTTTCATTTATGACACAGAGATAATGAACTATGGAGGTGTAAGTTATCCAAGTCCTTTGGAATTCAAAGAAAGTCCTACTTCTGGCTACAGGATGCCCCTCTCACTTGTCACCACTGACCACAGGGTGCAGTAGAGGCCACCCTGGGGCTGCTTGGGGAGGAGAGATATAAGCAGACTGGAAGCTGGAAAGAGGTTGCTTTTGGGGAGATCCTTCAGATTTAAAGCAAGGCTGCCCCTCTCTCAAGGAGAAGGCCACCAACTAGTTTCTCCCTAGAGGCACTGAAGTGGTGCCCAAGACAACTGCCTTGTAAACTATGGTGGGCAGATGGTCATTTCCATCCCTAGCTGAATGTCTCCTCAGCCTCTTGATATGCTGATCCACCCCAGTGGTAGCTGAGCCGTGGGGAGAGATCAGAGGTAGGATAGGGAGACAAAGAGGGGAAAGAACATCTCCCTCAGGTTCTCATTTCTCTAAAGGCAGAAAAAATCAATTCCTCATGTGCCAAAGTCTCCAGAGGAGAGATAAGGTTGGACAGAGGAAGGAGCTCCAGGGCTTCTGGGTCACCACAGTCAAGGGTGCAGAGAAAAACAAGTCACAAGGCCCCTAGCTGGTGGAGGAAATGGGTTTTTGAAAGGGGCTACTAATGCTTTTTGGGTGTGGAAGGGGCTGATTGGGGCTGAATAACTGGCCAGTGAGGTTCCTTGTGTTTCCAATTTGTCCAACCCCTGGACAAGGAGCATGGATTCAGGAGAGGAGCTTGCCAGAGGGACCACATCTGGAGAGGTTGTCTTGGGGATCTTATCATTTCCCTGTCCCACATCCCAGTACCAGAAAACTAAGTGCAGAGAAGTGAAGGGCAGACCATTCTTCAGCTGCATTTCCCCCTCCATCCCACTGTTCCATCCTAGGCAACCAGAGCCCCCAGAGCAGCCTGAGCTGGGCAGCAGGGTTGGGAGGAAGAGAACTTTGAATTGAACAAGGTGTGGCTGTTTCAAAATGAATAGGTCTAAGTTTTTTGTTGTTGTTGTTTGTTTGTTTGTTTGTTTTGAGACAGAGTCTTGCTCTGTTGCCAGGCTGGAGTGCAATGGTGCGATCTTGGCTCACTGCAACCTCTGCCTCCTGGGTTTGAGCGATTCTCCTGCCTCAGCCTCCCAAATAGCTGGGACTACAGGCATGGACCACCACGCCCAGCTAATTTGTATTTTTAGTAGAGACGGGGTTTCACCATGTTGGCCAGGATGGTCTCGATCTCTTGACCCTGTGATCCGCCCGCCTTGGCCTCCCTAAGTGCTAGGATTACAGGTGTGCGCCACTGCGCCTGGCCAGATCTAAGTTTTAAGACCCTGATAATGCTGTTTGAATAACTAAAAGTGATGAGAAAGTAGAGAATCTAACCATGATGCTCTTATCTCCCTGGAATGGAGGGTTTGAAGGTGCCAACACTGACTGAGTGCTCTTCCTGGGTTTTGTACTATGCTAAGTGTTTTGTACTATGCCAAGTGTTTTGTATGCTGCAGCAGTTATGATGGGTCGTGGATGGATGAGCAAAGAAAAAATAGATTCAAACCCACCATGTGCTTATCTTATGTGCCTGATTTATCTAGCCAAGAATCCAGAAACTTTGAGAAGCAGATAGCACAACAGGGTGGGACGAGGTGCAGTTTTTATATCTGTAGACTTGATCCTGGCCTCCAGAGTCTCTAACAAGTGGTGAACTTCTGGTGACAGCATGCATACAAAGCAAAGTCTGTACAGATCTGAGAAGCTCTTGGCTTGCTCTGCCATCACTTTTTTATACCTGAGGTTGCATTACTATTCTGCAAACACATGCAGTTAAAGTCTATGTGCTTCTATTCACAATAGCAAAAACTTGGAACCAACCCAAATGTCCATCAATGATAAACTGGATTAAGAAAATGTGGCACATATACACCATAGAGTACTGTACAGCCATAAAAAAGGATGAATTCATGTCCTTTGCAGGGACATGGATGAAGCTGGAAACCATCTTTCTCAGCAAACTATCACAAGGACAGAAAACGAAACACCGCATGTTCTCACTCATAGGTGGGAACTGAACAATGAGAACACTTGGACACAGGGTGGGGAACATCATATACTGGGGCCTGTCAGGGGTGGGGGGGCTGGGGGAGGGATAGCATTAGGAGAAATACCTAATGTAAATGACGAGTTGATGGGTGCAGCAAACCAACATGGCACATGTATATACCTATGTAACAAATGTGCACGTTGTGCACCTGTACCCTAGAACTTAAAGTATAATAATAAAAAAGTGCTTATATTTAAGGATATGTTTATAAATATTGGATTCTCCTGGTTCTTGAACTAAACTTGCTGTCAGGCAGACCATGTTCTCATCCATAGGGAAAAATAGAATCATGCCCATGTCTTCCTGATGATTATCTCTGTCTCCGACCCTCCATTTCCCCACATATACATCATCCTTGTAATCCTGTATCCCAAACAGATGTCACCTTATTAGTGCTCACATAAGGCCTGTGGAATAGAACACAACTGGGATTAAAGACATTACCTAAGTCACCCAAAGTTACACAGCCAGTAAGTGGCCAAGCCAAATTTTAAACGCTGGCCTGCCTGACTCTTACCAATACTCATACTGCCTTTTTCAGAAGGAGGCACAGAGCTTTCCCCATCTTCTCCATCTGGTGGCTGGGTCAGGATGGGGGCAGCACATTGGAGAATATTGCATCCCAGGGATGTGGTAAGCTTCAGTCTCCAAAGTCCTAAGACCCTTTAGCTGTGGCCAGCGTGGGTCCTCAGAAGGTTAGCCCCCCTCGACCAAGTGTTTGGGGAGAGACTGGAGCTTTGGGCTACCTTGGCAGCCTCCGCAGAGCATCCTGAGCTGTAGATAGCAAAAGGCCTATCAACTCAAGACACCGCTCTTCATAATCAGAAGAACCATCCATTTTTTTCAGGTCCCTCGTGTTCCAAGCACTATACTGGATACATTATATAAATATTATTTGATCATTATAATATGCTTTGAAATAGATGTTATTATTGTTTATTTTTTTTAGTTAGGGAAACTAAGGCTCAGAAGAGTGAGTTATCTGATAAGTGCCATGGCTGGGATTGGAATTGAGTTATATGTGGTAGATTGCCTGCATCAAGGCCCTGAGTCTTCATTGCTCCCATTGTGGCCAGGGAATTCTGCTCTGCCAGACTTTGGACTCATATGACATATTTGGCTAATGAGCCATTGTTACTCCATTTGCTAACATATGGAATACAAGCCAATTATACTTCTTGCCCTTATACTCATCTTGTTTCTCTGACTTTACCATAAGAATATGCTTGGGTAGCCTAGAGGATGAGACAGACAGAGAACGACCAGGCCAGTCCAGTTGTTCACAGATGAGTGAGAGAGCCCAGCTAAGATCAGCAAGCCATCCAGCTAGCCAACCTGCAGCTGACTACAGATATATGAGCAAGCAGGCCCTTCTGATTCCAGCTCAACATAGTATAACCCGTCAGCCAACCCTATAGGTTCAAAGAAAATATAAAAAGTGTTGTTTAAGCTAGTAAGTTTTGGGGTGTTTTATTAACTGCAATAGCTGTTGGATACAGTATGTCTCCAAACCTGCACACCTGTGTTTTTTCCTCCTCACTATATGAAACGCATAACCTTAAATCCAACACTGTTTCAGAGGGACTTCATTGTCAGGGTAAGAGGTTGTGCTAGGTGACTTCCAAAGTACCCTCAGCGCCAGGATCTGTGATTCTCTGTGCAGCAAGCAAAATCTGTCAGCAGTTTTCCTTCATCATTTTTTTCTCTCTCTCCAGGTAACTTTGGGCTACTTCATGATGGCCCAGATGTCTCTGATCCTGTAGTGTGGTGCCCTAGCCTGGTCAACGCTTGGAGTTTTATAACCCTCCATAGCTTCAGTTTCTTCATCTATAAAATAATCATGGAGCGTCTACTAGGTCTTGCAATTAATCTGGTAAAACCTTTTTCTTCAACAAACACCAATAAAGAGGATCAAAAATAGCTTGCTTTTTTTTCAGGCTGGAGAGTGGCACATATCCACTGTTTTATCTAGGGTTAGTTCCCAGGAATATCTCCTGTTCTCTGTTACAATGAAGTCCAAAGGGCCTTGATCATATTGACATTCCGGAGAGCATCATTCAGTTCCTCATATTGATTGAACTTAATAAGTGGGAAGTGGCAAGTAGTTTGGACACTGTAGTAAAAATACATGTATACCAGAGGGAGGGAGCTACATCCCAAGGAGATTCAGATACTCTCCACATTGGTCTAGTTTTTGGGTCCAACAGTCTGAGTCATGCTGAGAAATCCCATCCAAGGTAAAGGACAAGTTGTACTTTGCTTCTCCTACCACTAAGAACAGGCACAGCACTAAATAGGCTTCCTTGGATTCTGGAGGCAGCATATACCATACTTGGGACTAATTCTCAACACATTTATTGAGTGACTCAGAATGCTTCCAGCTTTCAGTGGGACCAGAGCAAGAGAATCTGCAGCAGATTCAGGCTGTGATGCAGTGAAAAGTGTTCTGTCATTCAGGACATATGACTCATCAGATCAGTAGTGCTAAAGATAGCTATGGCAGATACAAATTCTGTGTGGAGTCTCTGCCAAGGTTCAACAGAAGAGTCACATCACAGACCCAAGGGTTCTGGAGTAAGGCCATGCCATCTATGGCAGAGAGATAGTTACCATTTGCAAAGCAGCATCTGGTGTAGTTCTGGGCCTTAGCAGAGGTGAAGTACCTGAGCATGGGACATAAAATTACAGATCATGAGATGGGTATTATCAGATTCACCACTTCATGAGATCAGGCAATCCATTGTACAATAGAAATGGTACATTTAGACTTGGATCCAAGCAGACCCAAAAGGTACAAATAAGTTTACATGAATAGATTACACAGACCTTCATGTTACCTAGCTCTATTGCACAGATTCCTCGACCTCAGTTCTCACCTATGACCTCATGGAGATTCCCCTGCAATCAACTGACAGAGGAAAGAAAAATCTCCAGCCTGGCATAGAGATGGATATCTGAGTAAGTACAGCTATCACATTTCAGAAATACTCAGAGGTAGTCCCAAAGGACAGTGCAAAAGGAAAATCCTCCCAGTCAGCAAGACTTTCAGCAGTGTAATTGGTCATTCAGTTTAAATAAAGCAAAAAACAGCTTGAGGTACAGACATACACAGAACCTAGAGAAGTGAAAAATGGCTTGGCTGGCTAGTAGGGATCCTGGGAAGAGAAAGATTGAAAGACCAGATAAAAGAAAGTTTGCGAAAGAGTCATGGAAATGGGAGCAACACACCTGTATCTTTGAAGAGGAGGCACTGAACAGGTAGGCAGGATGAGTTGTCCTATGGATCTAAGCCAGCATCTCCTCTCAGCCACCTCAGTACTTGGGCAATGGGCCCATGAGTGGCCATTGTTGTAGGGATGGTGCTATCAATGAGCCCAAGATTATGGCATTCCTCTTGTTATGGTTCTTCCAGCCACTGGCATTCATGAATGCCCTTCCTGACAGCTACAGAGACTGACACTAGGCACTTGCTATGGCACTATTATTGTAATGAAACCAGCCAGCCACAAGGTAGCATTTATTATTGATCACGTGATTACTATATTACTAGAAGGGGAGGTTTGGATCATAATCTTGCAAGACACAGTCTGGAACGCTGTAATCCCAAATGTTGAAATCACGAAAAATCAAAATCCCTAAAGTCTAAAATCCCTGATGCCTAAAATTCTGAAGATCACAATCACAGAATAGTTGCATCATGTTAGAACTATTACCTTGTTGTTGTCTTTATTTGGAAATTAAGTACGGCTTAAGAAGATGTCTATGGGTGCCAAGTTAACAAGGGGCAGATTTGTGGGCTTCATTTTAGGTGTCAACTTGACTGGATTGGAAAATACAGAGAAACCTGGTAAAGCATTATTTCGGGTGTTGCTGTTCAATCACCAGTATTGTTTGCACCAAATTTGTGACCTGTATATGAATGCATGCAGTATGGACTTCCAAGTACCCAAAACAACACAGAAGCATGACACAGAATATTGGACAATTTAATAGGGAACGTTCATGTCGGTGACTCATAGAAAAAGTTCAGAGCCATGCCACGTAGAAAATGAATATGAATGTATTCTCCAAGAAGAGCCATATCCAAAAAGAAAAATAGCAGCTATTCATCATGATGCAAGATTTCAACATATAGTTGATGATCGTGAAAGTTAGCTAGGTCTTATGAATGATCGCCATGCAAATGCCCATAATCTATTCCTGTAATATACTTTTTCATATGTTAAATTTTCTTTTTATGTTGTTTCTTTTCTTTTTTAGCTTTTTTTCACTACTTTAAATTGTGAACATTATTTTTTACAATTTTTTATGCTATGTGTTTCATCTTCGCGTCATTTCTGATATGGGAGGTAGACATTGTGTAGAGATTTTTTGAGAGTTCTAATTTGTCTTACGCATTATTACAAACTTGACCTCATAAAAGTTCATTATCACAACTTTGTGTGTGAGCATTATGTGTATACATAAAAACATTGAAACTTTCTCAATAAATTAAGGGACCTTCTTTTCGTACATCTGCATTTGTGAAAGATGAAATTTCTCGAAACCTCAGCTCTTTGGGTAACCCCATATGCAGTGGTGACCCATGGCGATTTTTGATTGATCTTGTCAAAAGACTTAGGTTGTTCATCACAGTACTTCAGATGACCACAATTATAAAGCTGAGTGCACACAATTACCAACCATAGTGACATTTGTTTATACATTTCCCTTTTTGACCTATTTCTTTACCATACAGTTTACCTACTCATACCTGTTATATCTGTGTGACTGTCATTAGCATACCTGAGTATTTATGCTTGCAAAAATATGTGTGTTATTATTGTCCATTTTATTGCTTAAAGTGGCCCATGAAATGTTCAGATGTGTTTTTATGTGTTTCTTAAATAAATCCCCTTTTAAAAATATAAATAAGTGTATTTTAAATAATTTTAAAAATTAGTTTTTCCAGACCTTTTGGAATTTCAACATTTGGGATTGTGGCGTTCAGGATTACGATTGGCTAGGATATGCTGGATCCCTTCATATCCAATGATTCATCCTCACCAGATTTGATATTTCTCTCTCTGGGTATGGGTTTGCCTTCGCTGCCTGTGGTGCCTCTTCCAGCACCCCCTGCTCCAGGTCTTATAGAATGCCTGCTTTATTGACATGAAATTTACATATTATATTGTATCAGACCAACAGACCTGTTTTACAGTGAAGAGGAGGTGATTTCTGGCATATAACTATGGAATTCATTTGTCCTACTATATACTAAATCACCTGGAAGAAGCCAGAATGGTAGAATGGTGGAATGGTCAATTAAAGGCTCAGCTATGGCATCATATCAAGAAAAACATATCCTGCAGAAGTGGGTTGCATTCCTCTGGAATGCAGTATACACAATGAACCAACAGCTGACATACGATGTTGTATACCCAATAGCTAGAATACATGATTCTGGGAACCAAGAGGGTGGGAGTAGCATTGACCCCTCTCACCATAATTCTCAAGGACTCACTTGTGAATTTGTGCTTCCTATTCCTGCAGTCTTAGGTTGTGATCGGTTCTTTTTTATGAGCAGTAGGAGAAGGATGTTTCCACAAGGGCAATCAGTAAAAGTTCTATTGAATCTGGAGCTACTATTAGCATCTAGTCATGTTTGATTTTTAAAGCCAATGGGCCAAAAGGTGGATTCAGGAATTATTAATATAACTCTTTTCCCGGGTTATTATGAGGAGCTAAGATTAATGTTGTATAGTCAGAGCATCTGGAATCAGAGGTATTTCTTGGTGTTTCCATGCTCAGTGATAACCATAAATGGGCAATTGTAGGAATCATGATCCAACAAGGAAAAACTAACCATGGGCTCCAATCCCTCAGAGTGAAAGTCAGGTCACCCCACCAGACAAGCATCCTATACCTACTAAAGTGAAGCCAAAGGTGAGAAAAATATGGAAAGGATAGTAGAGGAAGAAGACGATAAATACCAAATATGGCCTAGGAGCAGTGGCTGCCACAGAGGCTCCAGCTTGTTCCATCAATCCTCCTGAATTGAGTATTTAATAGATTTTGAGACCACACACACAGCACCTTGAAGGCTCTCTGATGCACTAGATTTAAAACAGGGCAAGGATGGATCCAAGCAATGTGAAGGGACCAATGGATGTTGGTCCAGACTTGTTCCTTGCTTCATGTCCTCTTAGTCCACTTTTTACTCAGGTCATTGCTGCTACAACATGCAGGTATAACCTGGAAACACCGTTCTCTGTCACTGTACTCGTTTCTGATGGCTGCTATAGCAAATTACCACAAAACATGGTAGCTTAAAACAACATAAAACTTTTCCCTTACAGTTCTGGGTGCCAGAAATTCAAACTAAGTCTTACAGGGCTAATCGAGGTGTTGGCACAGTCATGTTCCCTCTGGAGGCTCAAGGGGAGAATCTCCTTCCTCGCCTTTTCTGGTTCTTGACATACATTCCTTGGCTCATGACCCCTTCTTCCATCCTCAAAGCCAGTGGTGTAGCACCTTGTTTCTCTGAATCTGGTTTCATCACATGGCCTTCTTTTTCAATGTGTAGTCAAATACCCCTTTTATAAGGACATGTGGGATTGCACTTAGGGATCACCCAGACAATCAAGGACAATCTCTTCATTTCAAAGTGTTTAACTTAATCACTTCTGAAAAGTCCATTATATATATACATATACATGTATATATATGTGTATATATATGTACATATATATATATACATATATATATATATAAAGTAATATTCATAGGTTCCCAAAGTTAGGACCTGGATACCTTTGGGGGCCATGATTAAGCCTACCATAGCAACCATCATATGGGATGCCTAAGGGAACATGATCAGGCATTCTAGTGCACACAAAAAAATATGGAACTTTAGCCGGGCACAGTGGCCTACCCTGTAATCCCAGAACTTTGGAAGGCCAAGGTGAGTAGTTCATTTCAGCTCAGCAGTTCAAGACCAGCCTGGGCAATATGACAAAACCTCATCTCTACTAAATATGCAAAAAAAAAAAAAAAAAAAAAAGCCAGGCGTGGTGGTGCGCACATGTGTTCCTATCACTCAGGAGGTTGAGGTGGGAGGATAGCTTGAGCCCAGGAAGTGGACGTTGCAGTGAGCTGAGACTGTGCCACTGCACCTCCCACCTGGGTGACAGAGTGAGACCCTATCCAAAAAAAAAAAAAAAAAAAAAAAAGGCAGTGGTTGGCAAGATGGCCAAACAGGAATAGCTCTAGTCTGCAGGTCCCAGCAAGATCAATGCAGAAGGCAGGTGATTTCTGCATTTCCAACTAAGGTATCCAGCTCATCTCATTGGGACTGGTTAGACAGTGGGTGCAGCCCACAGAGGGCAAGCTGAAGCAGGGTAGAGCGTTGCCTTGCCCAGGAAGCATAAGGGGTTGGGGAACTCCCTCCTCTAGCCAAGGGAAGCCATGAGGGACTAAGCTGTGAGGAATGGTGCATTCTGGCCCGGATACTACACTTCTCCCACAGTCTTTGCAACCCATATACCAGGAGATTCCCTTGGGTACCTATACCACCAGGGCCCTGGGTTTCAAGCACAAAAACTGGGCAGCCATTTGGGCAGACACTGAGCTAGCTGCAGGAGTTTTTTTCACACCCCAGCAGCACCTGGAACCCCAGCAAGAAGGAACCGTTCACTCCCCTGGAAAGGGGTCTGAAGCCAGGGAGCCAAGTGGTCTAGCTCAGCAGATCCCACCCCAACGGAGACCAGTAAGCTAAGATCCACTGGTTTGAAATTCTCTCTGCCAGCACAGCATCTGAAGTCGACCTGGGATGCTTGAGCTTGGTTGGGGAAGGAGTGCCCACCATTAGTGAGGCTTGAGTAGGCAGGTTTCCCCTCACAGTGTAAACAAAGCTGTCTGGAAGTTTGAACTGGGCAGAGCCCACCACAGCTCAGCAAAGCCACTGAGGCCAGACTGCCTCTCTAGATTCCTCCTCTCTGAGAAGGGCATCTCTGAAAGAAAGGCAGCAGCCCTAGTCAGTGGCTTATAGATCAAACTCCCATCTCCCTGGGGCAGAGCACCTGGGGGAAGGGGCAGCTGTAAGCTCAGCTTTGGCAGAATTAAACGTTCCTGCCTGCTGGCTCTGAAGAGAGCAGCAGATCTCCCAGCATAGCACTTGAACTCTGCTAAGGGACAGACTGCCTCCTCAAGTGGATCCCTGACCCCTGGGCCTCCTGACTGGGAGACACCTCTCAGCAGGGGTTGACAGACATCTCATGCAGGAGAGCTCTGGCTGGCATCTGCTGAGTGCCCTTCTGGGATGAAGCTTCCAGAGAAAGGAGGAGGCAGCAATCTTTGCTCTTCTGCAGCCTCCGTTGGTGATACCCAGACAAACAGGGTCTGGAGTGGACCTCCAGCAAACTTCAGCAGACGTGCAGCAGAGGGGCCTGACTGTTAGAAGGAAAACTAACAAACGGAAAAGAATAGCATCAACATCAATAAAAAGGATGTCCACACAAAAACCCCATTTGAACGTCACCAACATCAAAGACCAAAGGTAGATAAATCCACAAAAATGAGGGAAAATCAGTGCAAAAAGGCTGAAAATTCCAAAAACCAGAACACCTCTTCTCCTTCAAAGGATCACAACTCCTTGCCAGCAAGGGAACAAAACTGGATGGAGAATGAGTTTGATGAATTGACAGAAGTAAGCTTCAGAAAGTGGGTAATAACAAACTCTTCCGAGCTAAAGGAGCATGTTCTAACCCAATGCAAGGAAGCTGAGAACCTTGATAAAAGGTTAGAGGAATTGTTAACTAGACTAACCAGTTTAGAGAAGAACATAAATGACCTGATGGAGCTGAAAAACACAGCACAAGAACTTCCTGAAGCATACACAAGTATCAATAGCTGAATTGATCAAGTGGAAGAAAGGATATCAGAGATTGAAGATCAACATAATGAAATAAAGCATGAAGACAAGCTAGAGAAAAAAGAGTGAAAGGGAACAAAGAAAGCCTCCAAGAAATATGGGACTATGTGAAAAGACCAAATCTACATTTGATTGGTGTACCTGAAAGTGACGAGGAGAATGGAACCAAGTGGGAAAACACTCTTCAGGATATTATCCAGGAGAACTTTCCCAACCTAGCAAGACAGGCCAACATTCAAATTCAGGAAATACAGAGAACACCACAAAGACACTCTGCAAGAAGAGCAACCCCAAGACATATAATCTTCAGATTCACTAAGGTTGAAATGAAGGAAAAAATGTTAAGGGCAGCCAGAGAGAAAGGTCGGGTTACCCACAAAGGGTAGCCCATCAGACTAACAGCAGATCTCTCTGCAGAAACTCTACAAGCCAGAAGAGAGTGAGGGCCAATATTCAACATTCTTGAAAAGAATTTTCAACCCAGAATTTCATATCCAGCCAAACTACACTTCATAAACGAAGGAGAAATAAAATTCTTTACAGACAAGCAAACGCTGAGGGATTTTTTCACCACCAGGCCTGCCTTACAAGAGCTCCTGAAGGAAGCATTAAATATGGAAAGGAAAACCTATTACTAGCCACTGCAAAAACATACCAAATTGTAAAGACCATCAACACTGTGAATAAACCGCATCAATTAATGGGCAAAATAACCAGCTAGCATCATAATGAAAGGATCAAATTCACACATAACATTAACCTTAAATGTAAACGGGCTAAATGCCCCCAATTAAACGACACAGACTGGCAAATTGGATAGAGTCAAGACCCTTCGGTGTGCTGTATTCAGGAGACCCATCTCACGTGCAAAGACACACATACACTCAAAATACAGAGAAGAAGGAATATTTACCAAGCAAATGCAAAGCCAAAAAAAAAAAAAAAAAAAAAAAAACAAGGGGTTGCAATCCTAGTCTCTGATAAAACAGGCTTTAAACCAACAAAGATCAAAAAATACAACAAAGGGCATTACAATGCAACAAGAAGAGCTAACTATCCTAAATATATATGCACCCAATACAGGAGCATCTGGATTCATAAGGCAAGTTCTTAGGGACCTACAAAGGGACTTAGACTCCCACACAATAATATTGGGAGACTTCAACACCCCACTGTCAATATTTGACAGATCAACAAGACAGAAAATTAACAAAGATATTCAAGACTTGAACTCAGCTCTGGACCAAGCAGACCTAATAGACATCTACAGAGCTCTCCACCCAAAATCAACAGAATATACATTCTTCTCAGCACCACATCACACTTATTCTAAAATTGACCACATAATTGGAAGTAAAACACGCCTCAGCAAATGCAAAAGAATGGAAATAATAACAAACAGTCTCTCAGACCACAGTGTAATCCAATTAGAACTCAGGATTAAGAAACCCAGTCAAAACTGCACAACTACATGGAAACTGAACAACCTGCTCCTGAATGACTACTAGGTAAATAACGAAATTAAGGCAGAAATAAATTAGTTTTTTGAAACCAATGAGAACAAAGACACAACGTACCAGAATCTCTGGGACACAGCTAAAGCAGTGTTTAGAGGGAAATTTGTAGCACTAAATGCCCACAGGAGAAAGTGGGAAAGATCTAAAATTGACACTCTAACATCACAATTAAAAGAACTAGATAAGCAAGAGCAAATAAATTCAAAAGCTAGCAGGAAACAAGAAATAACTAAGATCAGAGCAGAACTGAAGGAAACAGAGACACAAAAAACACTTCAAAAATTCAATGAATCCAGGAGCTGGTTTTTTGAAAAGATTAACAAAATAGACCACTAGCCAGACTAATAAGAAAAAAGAGAAGAATCAAATAGACACAATAAAAAATGATAAAGAGGGTATTACTACTGATCCAACAGAAATACAAATTACCATCAGAGAATATTATAAATGCCTCTATGCAAATAAGCTAGAAAATCTAGAAGAAATGGATAAATTTCTAGATACATACACCCTCCTAAGACTAAACCAGGAAGAAGTGGAATCCCTGAATAGACCAATAACAAGTTCTGAAATTGAGGCAGTAATTAATAGCCTACCAACCAAAAAAAGCCCAGGACCAGAGGGACTCACACCCGACTTCTACCAGCAGTACAAAGAGGAGCCGGTATCATTCCTTCTGAAACTATTCCAAATGATAGAAAAAGAAGGGCTCCTCCCTAATTCATTTTATGAGGCCAGCATCATGATACCAAAACCTGGCAGAGACACACACAAAAAAGAACATTTCAGGCCAATATCCCTGATGAACATTGATGCAAAAATCCTCCATAAAATACTGGCAAACTGAATCCAGCAGCAAATCAAAAAGCTTATCCACCACAATCAAGTTGGCTTCATTCCTAGGATGCAAGGCTGGTTCAACATATGCATATCAATAAACATAATCCATCACATAAACAGAACCAATGACAAAAACCACATGATTATTTCAATAGATGCAGAAAAGGCCTTCGATAAAATTCATCACCCCTTCATGCTAACAACTCTCAATAAACTAAGTTTTGATGGAACGTACCTCAAAATAGTAAGAGCTATTTATGACAAACCCACAGGCAATATCATACTTAATGGGCAAAAGCTGGAAGCATTCCCTTTGAAAACCAGCACAAGACAGGGATACCCTCTCTCACCACTCCTATTCAACACAATGTTGGAAGTTCTGGCCAGGGCAATTAGGCAAGAGAAAGAAATGAAGTGTATTCCAATAGGAAGAGAGGAAGTCAAATTGTCTCTGTTTGCAGATGACATGATTGTATATTTAGAAAACCCTGTCATCTCAGCCCAAAATCTTCTTAAACTGATAAGCAACTTCAGCAAAGTCTTAGGATATAAAATCAATGTGCAAAAATCACATGCATTCCTATACACCAATAATAGACAGAGAGTCAAATTATGAGTAAACTCCCATTCACAATTGCTACAAGAGAATAAAATACCTAAGAGTACAACTTATAGGGGATGTGAAGAACGTCTTCAAGGAGAACTACAAACCACTGCTCAAGGAAATAAGAGAGGACACAAATAAATGGAAAAATATTCCATGTTCATGGATAGGAAGAATCAACATTGTAAAAATGGCCATACTTCCCAAAGTAATTTATAGATTCAATGCTATCCCCATTAAGCTATCATTGACTTTCTTCACAGAATTGGAATAAACTACTTTAAATTTCATATGGAACCAAAAAAGAGCCTGTATAGCCAAGACAATCCTAAGCAAAAAGAACAAAGCTGTAGACATCATGCTACCTGACTTTAAACTCTACTACAAGGCTACAGTAACCAAAACAGCATGGTACTGGTACTAAAACAGATATATAGACCAATGGAATAGAACACAGGCCTCAGAAATAATGCCACACATCTACTACCATCTGATCTTTGACAAACCTGACAAAAACTAGCAATGGGGAAAGCATTCCCTATTTAATAAATGGTGTTGGGAAAACTGGCTAGCCATAGGCAGAAAACTGAAACTGGACTCCTTTCTTACACCTTATACAAAAATTAACTTGAGATGGATTAAAGACTTAAACATAACACCTAAAACCATAAAAAACCCTAGAAGAAAACCTAGGCAATACCATTCAGGACATAGGCATGGAAAAAGACTTCATGACTAAAATGCCAAGAGCAATGGCAACAAAAGCCAAAATTGATAAATGGGATCTAATTAAACTAAAGAGCTTCTGCACAGCAGAAGAAACTATCATTAGACTGAACAGGCAACCTACAGAATGGAAGAAAATTTTTGCAATGTATCCCCATCTGACAAAAGGCTAATATCCAGAATCTACAAGGAACTTAAACAAATCTACAAGAAGAAAACAAACAACCTCATCAAAAAGTGGGCGAAGGATATGAACAGGCACTTCTCAAAAGAAGACATTTATGCAGCCAACAAACATATGAATAAAAGCTTATCATCACTGGTCATTAGAGAAATGCAAATCAAAGCCACAATAAGATACCATCTCACACCAGTTAGAATGGCAATCATTAAAAAGTCAGGAAACAACAGATGCTGGAGATGATGTGGAGAGTTAGGAATGCTTTTACACTGTTGGTAGGAGTGTAAATTAGTTCAACTATTGTGGAAAACAGTGTGGCTATTCCTCAAGGATCTAGAACCAGAAATACCATTTGACCCAGCAATCCTATTACTGGGTATATACCCAAAGGATTATAAATCATTCTACTATAAAGACACGTGCACATGTATGTTTATTGCAGCATTATTCACAATAGCAAAGACGTGGAACCAACTCAAATGCCCATCAGTGATAGACTGGATAAAGAAAATGTGGCACATATACACCATGGAATACTATGCATCTGTAAAAATGGATGAATTCATGTCCTTTGAGGGACATGGATGAAGCTGGAAACCATCATTCTCAGCATACTAACACAGGAACAGAAAACCAAACACCACATGTTCTCACTCATAAGTGGGAGTTGAACAATGAGAACACATGGACACAGGGAGGAGAACATCACACACTGGGGCCAGTCAGGGGGTTGGGGGCTAGGGGAGGGATAGCATTAGGACAAATACCTAATGTAGATGACAGGTTGATGGGTGCAGCAAACCACCACGGCATGTGTATGCCTATGTAACAAACCTGCATGTTCTGCACATGTATCCCAGAACTTAAAGTATAATGAAAAGAAAAGGAAAAAGAAAAGAAAAGAAATCTGGAGGTTTGAGAGAATTAATACCCCAATGAACAATCCTTGACCAAGGGGAACAAAAGCTCATGGCTAGTCCTTTGTACCATGTCTCACTCAGACAGTTCTGACACACTTTCTACCTAGCTCCTCAGAGTTTACCCAGCAAGACCGGGGACCAGTTGCCCAAAGTGGTAACCAGCCCAATAAAGCAGCAAATTTTATCTCTATATAACATCTCCATATTGATAATTCTCAAGCGTCTCTCAAGCATGCACTGTTCCCCTAAATTTCAAGCTCCTATAATTATACTACTTCCTCAACATGCCTTCCTGGAGATCTAATAGACATCGCAGGCTCAACATGTCCAAAAACAAACCCTGATTCCTTCTCTTCCAAAACATGTCTCTCCCAAAACCTTCCCCAATTCAGTGCATGGCAGCTTCATCTCCCCAGTTGCTCAGTGAAAAATGTTGGTTCATTCTTGACTCTTCTCATTTTCTCATATCCCACCACTTTTCCATCAGAAAATCTTGGTTGGTGTTACCTCCAAAACATACCCATTCTGTGTTCACCTTTTACACTTCCGCTTTACCAAGCCGCAATAATCCTGACCTGTGTTATTGTTTTAGCCTTCTAGTGGTCTCTGTGATTCCACCCTAGCTGCTTTGCCATCTGTTCTCAACATAGCAGCCAAAAGATCCTTTTTAAACCTAAATAAATGTGTCACTTAAATAAAAAATTGTCACTCCTCTATTCAAGCTCTCCAGGATCTCTCATCTCATTCAGAATAATCCAAAGTATCATCAATGATCAAAGAAGTCCTACATGGCCAGGCATGGTGGCTTAAGCTTATAATCCCAGCACTTTGGGAGGCCAAGGCAGGCAGATCACTTGAGGTCAGGAGTTCGAGACCAGCCTGACCAACATGGTGAAACCCCCTGTCAACTAAAAATACAAAAATTAGCCAGGCGTGGTGGCTAATGCCTGAATTCCCAGCTACTCGGGAGGCCGAGGCAGGAGAATTGCTTGAACCCAGGAGGCGGAGGTTGCAGTGAGCCAAGACCAAGTCATTGTACTCTAGCCTGGGTGACAACAGTGAAACTCCGTCTCAAAAAAAAAAAAAAAGTCCTACATGAGGGTCAGGCTGGATCATGCCCATAATCCCTGCACTTTGGGAGACAAGAAGAGACTATCCCTTGAACCCAGGAGCTTGAAGCCAGCCTGGGCAACATAGTAAGACTGTTTCTACAAAAAATACAAAAGTTACCTGGGCATGGTGGTGCACATCTGAAATCCCAGCTACTCGGGAGGCTGAGGTGGGGGAATCGCTTGAGCCCAGGAGATCAAGGCTGCAGTGAGGAAAGGTTGTGCCATTGCACTCCGGTCTGGGGAAGAGAACGAGACCCTGTTTCTAAAAATAAACCAATAAATAAAAATTCCAACAGGATCTGGCCCTCACTACTTTTCTTCTCTCTCTTCACTGCAGCCACATTGACTCTCCACTATTCCTCAAATATGCTAAGCATGCTTTTGCCTCAGGGACTTTTCATAAGCAGTTCCCTCTGGCTGGAAGGCATTTTCTGCAGATATGTACATGGATCCCTCTTCCTTCAGGCCTGTGTTGAGCTGTTACCTCATCACCTTGTGTAACACAGAGCCACTTCTTACCTTGTTTTGTTTTCCTTCATGGCGCTTACCGCCATGCAGTATTTGCTTGTTTATATGTGTATTGTTTAGCTTCTCTCACTATAGAATTTTTTCTCTTCCGTGAGGAGTTCTGCAAGAGAAAAGGCTTAGTTTTGCTTACTGTTCTGTCCCTAGAACAATACTGGACACATTGTTAACATTCAACATCTGAATGAAGGACATGTTAGGTATTACTATACTCCTCACTTGTAGAGAAGATACCTAAGGTGGCAGGAGATGAGACTTGGGTCTTTTAACTCTTCATTCAGTCATTTCCCTGGCACCCCCTGGGAACTTGGCTGCTGTTGTTGAGGCAGGAGCTCCAAATGAAGTGGGAACATTCAGGCCCAGGTTTTCCCAGACCTCATGGGTCCTAGCTCTCATTGTTAGAGCTGGAAACTGCATGTCTCTGTGGTTAGACTATGGCTGTGTCTCCTGCACAGGAAGTCAGTTAACCATAGACATACTCAGAAAACAAACTGACAATCTATTTCTTCCCAGGCTCATTTCAGAGCAGCTCACTTCTTTTACCAGTAGGCAAAGGAAAGAGTGAGCTTTTGAAAGCTCTTTTCAGTAGACCTGGTCAAAATCTTAAGCTACTAGTCAAATAGCATGAAATTCTGAAAATCAGAATTTAGTATAAAATCCAATATAAACTGAGGGCATTTAACAAAATTTAGTGGAGAGCTTTAGTTCTACTAGTCATTTTCTCTTTAAAGTGTTAGTCAAAAAGAAATACCTGAAAAAAATGCTATGGATATGAAAAAAGGTTTGAGAAGTTTGACTCTTAAATTCTCAATGTCTTAATTTTTTTTTCTTTCCCGAAAACAGACATGTTTTGTTTTGTCTGCATATTAAAAATTACTTTTTAGGCTGGGTGCAGTGGCCCACCTCTGCAATCCCAGCACTTTGGGAGGCCAAGGTGAGAGGATCACTTGAGCCCAGGAGTTTGAGACCAGTCTGGGTAATATAATGAGACCTTGTCTCTACAAGAAATTTAAAAATTAGCCAAGCAAGGTGGGGTGCACCTGTAGTCCCAGCTACTCAGGAGGCTGAGGTGGGAGGATCACTTGAGCCCAGGATGCGGAGGCTGCAGCAAGCTGAGATTGTGCCACTTCTCTCCAGCCTGGGCAACAAAGAAAAATCCTGTCTGAAAAAAAAAATTCACATGACTAGAAATCAGGTAACTATTACCTAAAAGTGGTTATCTATTGCTGCATAACACACCATCCTTAAACTTGGTCATGTAAAATAAGGACTTACTCTTCTTGTGATCTGTGGAGTGGCTGGAAAGTTCCTCTGCTTGTTGCCCTTGGACCTCACTCATGCAGTTGTAATCAGCAGAGAACTGGTTGTGCTTAGGATAGGGGTAGAAAAACTTCTTGTGTAAAGGGCTAGATAATACATATTTTATGTTTTGATGGCCATTTGGTCTCTGTCACAAATATTCAATCTGCCGTTACAGCACAAAAGCAACCACAGGCAATATGTAAACAATAGAGTGTGATTGTGTTCCCATAAAGCTTTATTTGTGGACTCTAAAATTTGAATTTTATGTGATTTTCACATATCACAAACATTCTTCTTCTTTTAATTTTTCTAACCATTAAAATTATAAAAAACTTTCTTATTTTTGCAGGCCATACAAAATTAGGCAGTGGGCCAAATCTGGCCGCTAGTTTAGAAGGTCCACGGTAGTCTCGCTCGCAGGCATGGCAGTTGCAGCTGGCTGGGGCACCCTGGTTCTCCTCCACAAGGCCTTTCATCCTCCAGAAGTCTGAATTGGCCTTGTTCATGGCACTTTCAGGGCAGCATTCCAAGAGGTGGAAGGGAGAGTCTGCAAGACTTCTGAGGCTGGCTCCAGACCTCACTCAGTATCCCCACTGCTCCATTTCAGTCAGAGTAAGTCACTAGTCCTGCCCAGACTCAAGGGATGAGGGAACTGACTCTACCTCATGATGAGATGAGCTGTGAAATACTGTGGCTGAGTTTTTCAGTTTACCACAGTGAGTAATTTTCATGGGTTTAATGGCATCTCCCCCTCATTTTTGAAGTCCTCAGCTTCAGTACCTCTGTTTTTGAAAACAGAGTTGTGACAGATGTGATTAGTTAAGAAGAAGTCACACTAGACTGTGGTGGGCCCTAATCCAATATGACTAGTGTCCTTATCCAAAGGGGAAATTTGGAAACAGACATGCACACAGGGAGAACACCATGTGACCCCAAAGGTAGAGTTCGGGGTGATGCATCTGCAAGCCGAGGAATGCCAAAGATTGCCAGATTCTTAGTTTGCTAGGACTGCTGTAACAAAGTATAGCTGTCCCTCGGTATTCTGAGGGGATTTGTTCTAGGACCTTCCTCAGATACCAAAATTCGTGGATGCACAAGTCTGTTATAGAAATGGTTCAGTGTTTGCATATAATTTACATATATCCTCCTGTATACTTTAAATCATCTCTAGATTATTTATCATACCTAGTACAATGTAAATGCCATGTAAATAGTAGTTACACTATATCGTTTAGGGAATAATGACCAAAAAAAGTCTATACATGTTCAGTACAGACACAACCATCACTTTTTGTCTGAATATTTTTGATCTGTGGTTGGTTAAGCCCCCAGATATGGAGGGCTGACTATGCCACAGCCTGGGTACTTAAATAACAGAAATTTACTTTCTCACAGCTCTGGAAGCTAGATGTCTGAGATCAAGGTGTCAGTGGGGCTTGTTCCTTCTGAGGGCTGTAGGAGAAAGATCTGTTTCAGGTCTCTCTATTTGTTTTGTGGATGGCTTGTTTTCTTCTTGTGTCTTTACATCATCATTCCTCTGTATGAGTCTGTATCCAGATTTATTTTTCTTATAAGGACACAATTCATACTGGATTAGAGTTCACCGTAATGACCTCATTTTAACTTGATTAATTCTGTAAAGATCTTCTTTCCAAATGAAGTCTTCTTCTGAGGTTCTGAGGGTTAGAACTTCAAAAAATGAATTTTGTAGAGATCCATAACAGCTAGGAAACTACCAGGAACTAGGAGAAAGGCATAGAACGATTCTTCCTTACTGCCCTCAAAAAGAACCAATCCTGCTAATGTCTTGATCTTAGACTTCTAGCCTCCCGGCTGTAAGAAAACAAATTTCTATTGTGTAAATACCCTGTTTGTGGTACTTTGTTACGGTGACCTTAGAAAATTATATTGTAAACATAAGCAAAAACGCAATTTTTCAAGAGCTGAAACTCTAACTGGAAATCAACTAAAGGTTTTACCACATTGACAATTTGAAGTTTATCGCCCAGATGCCACTATTCAAATCTGTTAACACATAAAACTATTCCAAAAGTCAATTTGAGAGATTTTACACGTGTTAGTTACAAATATTAAGAATCTTCACATTTCATACTTTTCCAAAATAGAAATTCAGACCATAATATTCTTGATTTTAATTGACATTCTTACACAAACATGAAAACATAAGTGGAAGCTGACAGTCAAAGACCAAAATGTTTAGGGATTAAAAAGGGGCTGTTGAACTTAAATGTAATATCCAAAACTGTAAAAACCCTAGAAGAAAATCTAGGCAATACCATTCAGGACATAGGCATGGGCAAAGATTTCATGATGAAAATGTCAGAAGCAATTGCAACGCAAGCAAAAATTGACAAATGGGATCTAATTAAACTAAAGAACTTCTGCACAGCAAAATAAAGTATCATCAGAGTGAACAGACAACATACAGAATGGAAGAAAAATTTTGTAATCTATCCATCTAACAAAAGTCTAATATCCAGAGTCTACAAAGAGCTTAAGCAAATTTACCAGAAAAAACTCCATTAAAAAGTGGGCAAAGGACATGAACAGACACATATCAAAAGAAGACATGCATGCAGCCAAAAAATAGGAAAGAAAGCTCAACATCACTGATCATTAGAGAAATGCAAATCAAAACCACAATGAGATACCATCTCATGCCAATCAGAATGGCTATTATTAAAAGGTCAAGAAACAACAGATGCTGATGAGGCTGCAGAGGAAAAGGAACGCTTTTACACTGTTTGGTGGGAATGTAAATTAGTTCAACCATTGTGGAAGACAGTGTGGCGATTCCTTAAAGATCTATAAGCAGAAATACCATTTGACTCAGCCATCCCATTACTGGGTATATACTCAAAGGAATATAAACCATTCTATTATAAAGATACATGCACACATATGTTCATTGCAGTACTATTCATAAGAGCAAAGACACAGAATCAGCCCAAATGCCCATCAATAATAGACTGGATAAAGAAAATGTGGTACTCATAAATCATGGAATACTAAGCAGCCATAAAAAGGAATGAGATCATGTCCTTTGCACGGACATGGATAAAGCTGGAGGCCATTATTCTCAGCAAACTAACACAGGAAAAGAAAACCAAACACCACATGTTCTCACTTATAAGTGGGAGCTGAACGATGAGAACACATGCACACAAGGAGGGGAACACCACACACTGGGGCCTGTCAGAGGTGGTGGGAGAGAGAGCATCAGGAAGAATAGCTAATGGATGTTGGGCTTAATGTCTAAGTGATGGGGTGATCAGTGCAGCAAACCACCAAGGCACACATTTAGCTATGTAACAAACCGATTTATCCTGCACATGTAACCTGGAATTTAAAATAAAAGTTGAATTAAAAAAAAAGGGGGTGGGGGGAAGAGGAGGCTTTCGGTAACACCAATCTAACTTTATTTAATAGCTGAAAAAAAAAACGGTGTTTAAAAGATTTACGGCCAGTCGCGGTGGCTCACACCTGTAGTCCCAGCACTTTGGGAGGCCAAGGCAGGCAGATCACAAGGTCAAGAAATCGAGACCATCATGGCCAACACGGTGAAACCCCGTCTCTACTAAAAATGCAAAAATTAGCTGGGCAAGGTGGCGCATGCCTGTAGTCCCAGCTACTCAGGAGGCTGAAGCAGGAGAATTGCTTGAACCCAGGAAGTGGATGTTGCAGTGAGCTGAGATCGCATCACTGCACTCCAGCCTGGTGACAGGGCAAGACTCCATCTTAATTTAAAAAAAAAATTGTGATTTATCTAAAGCCAGGAAGTTAGACAGAGTGGTAGGTGATTTACTGTGACCCAGGCTAGGTAAATACTGTGATCTTGTTAACCTTAACCTAATGCTCTTTCAACCAGCTTCTTGCCTTTTTAATTCAATTCAGAAAAGTAATACTATATATTTTAATTTCAATTTAGGGTTCATAAAGTTTTTTCTTTTTTTTGTTTTTTTGTTTTTTTTTTTTTTTTTGAGGCAAAATCTTGCTCTGTTGCCAGGCTGGAGTACAGTGGCATGATCTCGGCTCACTGCAATCTCTGCCTCCCGGGCTCAAGTGACTCTCCTGCCTCAGCCTCCCGAGTAGCTGGGACTACAGGCACACACCACCGTGCACAGCTAATTTTTTGTATTTTAGTAGAGATGGGATTTCACCATGTTGGCCAGGCTGATCTTGAACTCCTGACCTCGTGATCTGCCCGCCTCGGCCTCCCAGAGTGCTGGGATTACAGGCATGAACCACTGCAGCCGGCCTAAAGATTTTTTAACATATCTATTTTCATCTTTGTTCTGATACTGGGATTTGTTGTCTCAATTTTGTAGATGAGAAAATTGAAGATCAAGGTCACTCAACATAATCAATTTAAGTGACAAAGCTTGCACCCAGGTCTTCAGATTCCAAACTCAGTCTGCTTCCTACTACACTTCTGCAGCCTCCCTAATACTGAATAAAAGCATCTCAGAACTTAAAGCCGATTGGGCCACAGAATCAGGTAAATCAGATCTTGCATTAAGTTGTGAAACCAAAACTTCACTGTAAAAGCTCAATGATGAGTATCCTTAAAAAAATTTTTAAAAATAAAAGCAATCTTGTGCTTTCTTTGATAAAACAAACAAACAAAATACAATCTTCAAATTTCTGCCATGGATATGATGAGAGGTGTGTGGACTCTCATTTCACGGCATGAAAAAGCAGCTATGATGAAGAATGCCCCTCACCAGGTGGGGTTCTCAAACATTTTGTGTTTATGTGCCAGGCCAGTGTTACCCACTGTCATCATAGTGTTGCCTTTTCCAAACTGTGAGATGGCACAAGTGGGTTCACTCCTCAGTTTACCAGAGTGCTGCAATCCTCAAGGGCTCCAGCTAAGCCGGCACTGTCAGTATTTTCTCACTTCTCATAACATTATAGAGCTGGGTTTAATGAAGAGCTTGATGTAGAAACTAGCAGACCTGACTTCGAATTCTGGTTCTTCCACTTGTTAGCTGGGACAATATTGTCTAGTTATTTATCTCTGTGAGCCTCAGGGTCCTCATCTATAAAATAGGAGTGACAACAGAGATACTAGCACTATACTCAGCACATATTATTAATCTAAAGCATGTGATTAACTGGAAGGCCTACCTAAATCATTAAAGCAATCAGGGGAAGAGCATTGGACAGTGGTAGTCATTGGTGTTCATTCTTTGACCACTTTGTGTACATCCCAGACCATTTTTATTCTGGAAGTTGTTAACATATTGTATCCCTTTTACCAGCCAAAGGATCGTGTTCTCCTTTCTGTTTTGGCTTCGAGGGAGCCAAAATTGGTGGCCTAACCATAATGGCATAGCAGGACTGAAAGTCCTGTGGATTTTTGACCTAACGTTTCCTTTTGCTTGGTTGTTATTCTATGCAGTTTATATTTCCTCTGGGTCTAGTTTTCATTCTCTGTTTTGTTAAATGGCTTCTTATTAGCTGTTTTAAATCCATTGTGGGACAAAGTCAAGTATGTAACTGGGTTATGGAGGAATCTCAACTTGTTGGGGGAAAGACATGAAACATTTCAATTTCTTTCACTAGCTGCTCCCAAGTCCCAGTTATACTCCATCAAATCATTCTTTATGCTTTAACAACATCTTAGGTATAATTAACAAAGTCTTTCATAACGTTTGCTTCATTTTCAACAGTTAAAATGTAGTCTGGGCTGGGCAAAGTGGCTCATGCTTTTATAATCCCAGCACTTTGGGAGGCTGAGGTAGGAGGATTACTTGAGCCCAGGAGTTTGAGATCAGCCTGGGCAATATAGGAAGATCTTGTCTCTACCAAAAAAAACAAAACAAAATTAGCCAGGCATGGTGGCACGTGGATCTCATGTAGTCCCAGCTACTCAGGAGGTTAAGGTGGAAGGATTGCTTGAGCCTGGGAGGTTGTGGCTATAGTGAGCTGTGATTGTGCCACTGCACTTCCTGGGTGACAGAGTGAGACCCTGTTTCAAAAAAAAAAAAAAGGAGAGAGAGAGAGAAAGGTCTGGTACAAAACTTCAATCTCCTATGTTTTCAAAGCCTCTCCATTCCTCAGGGCTCCCACTCCTTCACTGGGTCAGGGTAGGGAAGAGGGAGGGAGAAAGAATCAACTTGTTTTTAATGGCTGCTGAGGAGCCAGCACACTCTAGCCAACGTCCATGTCCCCAGTGTGACGGAGTTCATGCAGCAGTTCTTTGGAGACCCTTAAAGGCCCCTTCCCCTCCCTTGCTGCCTAATTCCCTGACCAGAAGATCCAACTCCAGCCCCACCTCATTTGCTCCCCTGCTCCCCGCCCACCTCTGCTCCACAGGGGCCCTGTGTGCAACATCCTCTTGTTGTAGTGCATCTTCACCAAGAGACAACCCTCCTGGGTGGGATAATAGCAAGATGGCTCAAGCCAGCTCCTTGTGATGCCCTGTGTCCAGTGGTCCCGTGGGAAACACATGCTCATTGTCACGCCCAGTGGTAGGTATGCAGCTGCTGCACCACCTCTCCCCACCTCCACATCTCTCCAAGTCTCTGACGCTGATGCAGAAGAGCAAGTCTGCTGTGGATATCCAACCACGGGAAGGATGACCATCTCTTAGACTCCCCTTCTTCTCCCTGTCTTTTTATAGTGAGCAGTGGTCCTTAGCGAGGGTCACACAATCTCCTAGGGACATTTTGGAAATATGTGGAGCTGTTATTGGTTGTCACGGCGATTGGGGGATCTTCTGATACTTAATGGGCCAGGGATTCCAGACATCCTGCAATGCACAAGACAATTCCACATGGAGAAGAACCATCTCACATCTACACATCTTTCTGGTGTCCTCCCAGACATTTTATAATGACATAGGCCTAGAACTCAATTCTATTTTATGCAAAAAACACAGGGTATTTTTGTATAGCTTTGATATACATTGGATTTTCCAGAAACATACCTAACATGTAAATCAAGGGAAGATTATACAGTACTTGTTCCTTTTGGAAACTTGCCAAAGACTGTTCAGCATTCGAACAATCACATCACTGATGGCAAAGCCAGTTGTGCTGTTTAGTTGCCAAAATATCAGTCTGCATTTTATCTGTTCAGTTGGCAAAAAGTCTATGTATAAAAACAAATTTACTTATTTACCCCTTGTTTCAATATGTATAAAGACAAAGTGTTGATGATATTCAACTTTATATTGGCCTATTTTCTTTTCAATGCAAACTTACTCATTACAAACAGGCCCAAACCACTGACTACTTTGTTATGTCTCCTAGAGTTGTGGTGCCCCAGGAAACACATATTATTTTAATAACTTACCTCTCCTTTATTTATATTATTTCTAAAAAGTTAGGGATTATATTGGCTTTGGGAGAAAATTATATACCTATATAATTTTTAATAGAAAGTTTTATTGTCTATCCATTTTAATTTGCAAATTGGCATTGCATGATATTTGTCACTAAATGAAGATCTGCAGTCCAATGGGTTTGATAGTCATTGATATAGACTGAGAACGGAGGATGAAAGGGGTGGTTACCTTTGTACCATCTCTTCCTTGTGGTACGATTTTTGTACCATCTCTTCCTTGTGGTACAATTTTTGGCCCCAAATCTTACCGTGTGTGGATGTTCTCTTTGCTTTTTAGCTATAGGCCCCAGATACCAAAACTAGGACAAGAAGACAAGTGCCACTCAATGTCTTGTTATAGGTATAAATTAGCTGATAATATTTGCTATTATTGTGCTGGTGATTTTGGGGAGGATGTTGGGAATATGAGATAGAAAGGTGCTATTTTCCCTCTCACGAATTCCAGTTCCTTCCTATTTTATTTCCGCTTTTCGCTTTGTAATAAATTAGTCAGTAGGCCTATTTTATTACCTACTTTGGTGCAGGTACATTTAGTTCAATTCAGTTTACTCCAATTCCAGTTTGGGCAGAATCAATTGAGTTCCATACACATGTGTGCCAAGCCTATGTGGAGTAAGATGCCAGGCTTCTATACGAATGAACAAGACAGTGTCATCAGCTGACCTTGGATGGCTTACAGCCTTGTGGGAGAGATGGGGTAGGATAAAACTCCTTCTCAATGGCAGGAGGATTAGCTCAGGGCAGGGGTGGGAGAGGTCAGTGTTGGCGATGGTGAGAGTGAGGGAAGGAGAGAGAAGGGCAGGTGTCAGGGGAAGGCTGAGCAGTCTTAAGTGGAAGCCATGTCTTGCACCAATCCCAGCTTTCTCTGTCCTCTGTTACGTTTGCTTAACACCTTCTGTCCCCGACTCATAAGGGACCCTTGGACTTAGAGACAAGCAAACATGAGCATGGAAAAGCCTAAGTCCCAGGTTTAAAGTACTATGAAAAGAGATCTGCACAACTTCTCAAAATGCTGTTTTGTCCTGACTGTCATCAACTTGCTGAGAGAACCTGCAGAAGTCTCAGAATTCCTGAGTTACGCCTCCATTTCCTTTTCTATAGAATTAAGGGGCTGCACTAAATATATTAGAGATGATGTCATTGTGGCAAGGATGCCATCGCTCCTCACGCTGGTGTCGGTGCAGACATGCTTAATCAACAGTGACACTTTTTCTTTTTCTTTCCTTTTCTTTTTTTATATTCTCTTTCGGAAACAGAGTCTTGTTCTGGTGCCCAGCCTGGAGTGCAGCAGTGCTTTCACAGCTCACTGCAGCCTCCATTTCCTGGGCTCAAGTGATCCTCCCACCTCAGTCTCCTGAGTAGCTGGGACTACAGGTGTGTGCCACCATGCCTGCCTAATTTTAAAATTTTGTAGAGATACAGTCTCACCACGTTGCATAGGCTAGTCATGAACTCCTGAGCTCAGCCAATCCTCCAGCCTCAGACTCCCAAAGTGCTGGGATTATAGGTGTGAGCCACCATGCCCGGCCTGTGACACCTTTTCTTGCTGAGTCTTAATACATCCTGGGACTATTTTCTCCCAAATAACACCACAGGCCAGTCATGATCAATTGACCAGAGTTGGCCCAGGAGCAGGAGCTCAAAGGGCATTGAGTAAGGAGTCAAACCCTTCTTAGGCCCAAGTCTTGGCTCTGTCAGTTACTAGTTATGAGACCTTGACCAAGTCACTTAACCAACTCGGGTGTTAGTCTCTTTTTCTGCTAAAATGGAAACAATAACCTCTAAGTCACAGAGTTTTAGAAAAGATCATCTGAGATCACAGATGTCAAGCTTTGCAAATGGTATAGGGCTGGACCAATCTAAATAGTTCCTGCTACTCTATGGTCTCTGTAACATTCTGTGCAGGATTTACTACATAGACTTACTGTACAGACCCAGGGGAGAGTAAGCAGGCTACCCATCTAAGACATTTGTTGCTGATTTTCTGCCAGTTTTCAGAGTTCATTTGCTCTCTCTAGTTGGAGTCAGAGTAGCGAGCCTGGCCATGAGGCAGGTACTTGAAAACACAGCCTATAAGGCCAGCCGACTTGGGTTTGAATCCAAGATCTCTTTCTTCCTAGCTGTGTGATTTTCAACAAACCTTTTTAACACATCAGGCTCAGTTTCTTCATCTGTAATATGGGGGAAAATAATAGATTTGCATTAAAGAGTTACTGGGAGATTTAAATGAGCACATTGAACCTTTATCCCAGGGCTTGCCATGTATTGTAACTGCTCAACAAATGATAACAAATAGATTGGATTGAAGGAAAAGTTCCATTACAGTGTTTAGAATTTGTCCTGGGTGGAAAGTTTTGCACCCTACATAACCTTTCCACAAGATTGTTAGACCTTTTCTAATAATTTCATGAACCATGAATTTAAGGGAAAGGCATCTCTACTTTTCTGGCTTAGACTCCCCTGCAAAATAAAGCATGCAAAAAGGAAACATGGAAAAATTGAGCTGAACCCTTGCCATTCTGCTCTCTAGCCCGTCTCTCTGCTGTGCAGCTGCAGCTGTCTTCTGTGACCAAAGTTGTTGCAGCCCATTCTGAAGATTTTCTGCAGTTCTAGAAGAATTCAGTAAAGAATGAATTCCCTAAAAGTCCATGGAGGAACGCTTAATTAATGAAAGTGCTTTAATAAAAAAGTTATTTCCCCATAGGTTGGTTGAAAGCTTCTCGACCAGTCTTTTGCTCAATCATAACCCTGGAAAAATACTTCTCAGGTGAGTTAAATCTCAGGCAAACAAAATTATCCTTTATCCTGTACTCTAAGAAATTGTAGTATTCTAGAAAGTTCCTGTCATTAGCCACAGAAGGAAATTATAGGAATTCTTGACATTCAGAACTTTGATGTGGCAATTTCTTTGAACATTCTTTTAAAAGGAGAGGTTTTTTAAAGACATTTCAATAGTTTCATTGTTGTACCTGAGCTTTCCTCATCCAGAGGACTTGCTCTAATTATCTGAATGATACTAAGGAAAATGGTTTCCCTTCCAGTAAGTGCACAGCAAAGTGATTATAACAGACATGAATGTAAATTGCTGTGGAATGGAAAATTGACTGTATTGTAACAAGTGGCAGCTGACAGGAGAGAGCCTTTGCTGCCTTTTATGAACGGGACTCTGGCTGAATCACTCTGTCTCTTCCTGACCTTAAGTGTCTGGATATAAGGTGGGCCAGTGTTTGTGACAGCTCTGAGTTTCCCAAGGACCATGCTGGGGGCGAGCATTGCCTGGCTGCCGTGACCTCAACTCCGCCTGAAACCCATGACCATATTTGGGCCTCCTTAATGCTCACTCCATCAATAGAAAATGCATCACAGCAGCAAGGGCAGCAACCATCACCAGAGTAGAAGAAAGGCAAAAAGAAGGCAGGGAGATGGAGAGAGAAAGAAAGAAGGGCAGACAGCCAGAGACAGTTGGGGAGAAATACACCGAGTCCCATGGAGAGATGCTCAGAGAGAGACAAGACCTACCTACAGGCAGACACAAAGGAAATGAAACACAGGCAGACAGCTAGACAGACCAGAGAGAGGAGGAAGTGAAGAGAGAATACCAGGAATAAAGAGGGAGAGATAGAAAGAAGTGAAAGTAATATCTGTCTGTCTATCTATCTATCTATCTATCTATCTATCTATCTATCTATCCATCCATCTATCTTCTATCTATCCATCTATCTTCTATCTATCTATCTATCTATCTATCTATCTATCTATCTATCATCTAGCTAGCTAGCTAGCAATCATCTATCATCCATCTGTCTGTCTATTTCTCTGTGCATCTGTCTGTATTAGTCCGTTTTCATGCTACTGATAAAAATATACCTGAGACTGGGAGGAAAAAGAGGTTTAATTGGACTTACAGTTCCACATGGCTGGAGAGGTCTCATAATCATGGTGGAGGGTGAAAGGCACTTCTTATATGGCAGCAGCAAGAGAGAATGAGGAAGAAGAGAAAGTGGAAACCCCTGATAAACCCATCAGATTTTGTGAGACTTATTCACTATCATGAGAATAGCATGGGAAAGACCGGCCCTCATTATTCAACTACCTCCCTCTGGGTCCCTCCTACAACATGTGGGAATTCTGGGAGATACAATTCAAGTCGAGATTTGAATGGGGATGCAGCTAAACCATATCACTATCTATCTATCTATCTATCTATCTATCTATCTATCTATCTATCTATCATCTATCTATCATCTATTATCTATCTATGATTTATCTGTCTATTATCTATCTGTCATTTATCTATCTATTTTCTATCTACCCATTTAGATATACATAAATATATATGTGTACATGCATGTTTATTCAACCCATTCACACACCAAAAAACTGGCTGGCCAGCGACCTAGTAGGGTCTCCACTCCGCATTCCCTCAGAGTTCAGAGGTATGCATTTGCTTAGGATGTAGAACATAAGGTACTAGTGAGCTCAGCTGCAACAACTGCCTTTCAAGAACAGGGATCATGCCTCAGTATATCTGACAAAGGATCAGGAAGAAAAAAGCCCTCTTTGCTTGGAAAATTATTATCCAGCACTTCTAACCAATTGCTTATGTCTAATTTAGACTTTTCAGAATTAAAAAATGCTAGATTAGCACTTAGTAGTTTTAGGTTTTTCTTTAATATAACTCAAATTATGAGAAAGATATTTCAAAACCCAGGTTCCCGGTCCATTCCTTCCCTGTCATTGGCTTCCCTGGCCCCTTTGCTTCAGTAACTCAATCCCTACTGGAGATGAGATTTGTTTAACAACTGAGCGCTTTAGAGTGTTTTAGTACTTTACTTTTGTTTGCTTTTGAAACAGTCCCACTCTGTCACCCAGGCTGGAGTGCAGTACCTCAATCCTAGCTCATTGTCACCATGAACTCCTGGGCTTGAGTGATCCCCCTCCCACCTCAGCATCTCGAGTAGCAGGGACTACAGGCATGCACCACCATACTCAGCTAATATTTTATTTTATCTTACTTTTTGTAGAGATGAGGTTTCACCATGTTGCCCAAGTTGGTCTTGAACTTCTGGCCTCAAAGGATCCTCCAGCTCAACTACCCAAAGCTCCAAGACTACAGGTGTAAGCCACTGTGCCTGGCCAGCACCTTACTTTTGCTAGAAATTTTATCTTACCTGTGAGAAGCTGTAAGCTGTATCCTCACTGTCTTGCCTAAAACGTGGTAGATATGAGTTGAAATGAAGTAACTGGTTTTATTTCTGTCTGCGTTTCCATTTCTGTCAGGAAAGGGTTCAATTTTTGGCATAAATTCCTTTCCTGGATTTATGCCCACAGTCCTGGAAGAGTTTAGCTATCAATCCCCCAAAATTTGATTGATTTGTCATTTTCTGATGCTGGAATGGGTTTGTTAGAGGAAATTTATGGACACGTTACCCTAACTGGCAAGAGCCTTGAGTGTGGAGGATTTCCTGAAGAGACACTCCAAGAACCTTCTGTGGCTTTTTGTTTTTCCTTTGGATGTGGTATGATTTTTATGGTCTATTTGTTATAATGCTTCCCTGACGTAAAATACTCATACAGCATAAATAACCTCTCCCTGAAATACTTAGAAACTTTCCAATCTGGAAGTCTGAGCTTAAGCTCCCTGCTTTAAATACACTACAGACAAATTATCCACTGGAAGAGACAGCAAGTTCCTATCAGGCCAAAACAGTACTTTTTACTATATTTACCCATTCTTAGGATGCCTAAGTACACAGACTTGGTGTTTATATATTTCGATGCTATGTTGTTTATTGCACAAAAATTAATTATTAGTATAACTTCTTGTTGGATTATGTCTTTCAGTCTTCTTTGTCCCATTTAGTGCTTTTTGCTTTGAATTTGATTTTGTCTGGCACTGATACTGTCCCTTCTGCATATTTTGGTAGCATTTACATGGTGTCCCTTTGTCTATCCCTTTATTTTCAACCGTCCAGTGTCATCCTGGTATATCTCTTATAAATGGCATAGACTTTTATTGTTTGTATTGTTTTACATCATATAAGAGTATCTTTCTAAGAAAATTCATTTTTCTTTCATTTTTAGGGTTCCAGTTCCTCCCCCCAAAAAATTTACTATCTTAACCATTTTAAGAGTATATTTCAATTGTATTAAATGCATTCATAGTGTGCATCCACCACCATTATCCATGTCCATAACTCTTTTCACTTTGTAAAACTGAAATTCTAAACTCTTATAACTTTCTATTTCCCCCTCCCTCCGGCTCCTGGCAATCATCACTCTACTTTCTGTCTCTATGATTTCGAATGCTCTAAGTACCTCATGTAAGTGGAATCATACAGTATTTGTCTTTTTGGTTTATTTCACTTAGCATAATGCCCTCAAGGTTCATCCATGTAGTAGCATATGTCAGCATTTCCTTCCTTTTTAAGGCTGAATAATATTCTATTGTGTGTAAATACCACATTTTGCTTGTTCATTCATCTGTCAATGAACACTTGGGTTTCTTCCATACTTTGGCTATTGTGAATAATGGTGCTATGAATATGGGTGTGCAAATATCTGTTCAAGACTCTGCTTTCAATTCTTTTGGGTATACACCCAGAAGCGGAATTGTTGGATTTTAAGAATATCTGTCTCTTTCTTTCTTTCTCTCTTTCTCTTTTTCTTTCTTTTTAAAGATGGAGTCTCGCACTGTTGCCCAGGAGGGAATGCAGTGGTGCGATCTCGACTCACTGCAAGCTCCACCTCCCGGATTCACGCCATTCTTCTGCCTCAGCCTCTCGAGTAGCTGGGGCTACAGGCACCTGCCACCACGCCCGGCTATTTTTTTGTATTTTTAGTAGAGTTGGGGTTTCACCGTGTTAGCCAGGATGGTCTCGATCTCTTGATCTTGTGATTCACCTGCCTCAGCCTCCCAAAGTGCTGGCATTACAGGCGTGAGCCGCCGCACCCGGCCATTATCTGTCTTTCAAAAGAGGCATTTAACTCATTCATATTTATTGATTTGGGTATATTCTGGCCACTTTCATATTTTATACTTATTTATTTACTGACATGTTCAGCAAATATTTTCTCCACATTTTTGTTGTTTCTCTGATGCAGGGTCTTTGAAAATTACAGATGAGTTGTGGTTGTAACCATGGTGATGAGGAATAACAGAAATACAGTTTTTGATGCCATGTCTTGAAAAAAGCATATTTGTCTTGAAGTTAACAGTGTCAGAAGTTGGTAAAGCCTCTTAGTAGTGATTGCCAAAGGGGTCACGCTTAGTTGTAAAGGCATTTAACTGCAACAAAGGTGCTGTGGACTTGGAGTCATTCTGGACTTTGAATTGGCAACCCTCACCCCCCAAGATACACACACATACATGCACACACACACACTTGCTATGAGACCTTGACTATTTAACCTCCACACTCACTGGTTTCCTCATTTGTATAAATGCCAGAGTGACTGAGGGGATTAACTGGAGCAACATGGGAAAGCACTCTCCACAATTCTAGGCTTATTGCAGTGTCTTAACAATGTCTGCATAAAAATAACACATCTCTCTTGGTTTGTGGTTTGTTTCCTTTTCAGAACTGGGGTCTGGTTGGTATGCAGGAAAAGAAGGCATGTGAGCTATGTTATCTGCTTGTCATCACAAGAGTAACAAAGTGGCAGGCCATGGATTGAAACACATCCGGAGCATTGGGGTGGGCCTTGGAATTCCACAGTGAAGACTCCTAGATAAGGAAATGCCAAGGGTGGGGGCTGCTGAAAGCACTGGCTTCCGCTGGGCAGCCACAAGGTTCTTTTGGGAAGGCGGATGAGGAGGGAATGTGGCTTCCAGAGCCACCAAATAAGGAAGGACATCATCTTTCTCCACTTCATCCAAGTGTGAATGTCAGCAACCAGAGTCACTTACTCCACGCCTTCTCACTACCCACTAAATGTGATATTGGAAGGACCTAGGACAAGCGCTGAGCAAAGTGGCACAGTCAGGAAATTCTTATGGACAAATCAAACATTCCTTTAATTTTTCAATATGATTTCTAACCTCTATTTTTTTTCCTTTTCCTTCTTTTACCATACAGAACTTATCTGGAAAAGAGGACAGCTGTCTTTTGAAGGCAGGAGTTGCTTTAAACATCCCCAAGCTCTTGTAATCACAGCCCCGCCGCCCCTGCCCAGTGAGATTTGTCCAGGGTGGTGGGTCTGATCTGTAACTAACCCAAACTGATTCCCTGGGGAGCCATTCAGTTGTGCCTCCAGAAGTCATTTCCTTGCCAAACATTCCTTTTCAGGGAGAGGACCTTTTCATCCCCTGGTAAACAATCCCCAGCCTGCACAGAGCAGAGAAGGGTGCCTGTCCCTCTCCTCATTCTCCACTTAGTCCTGAGCTGATTCCAACCCCAGAGGCGTCAGTCTGCTCTATAAATTCCTTTGTGAAACCTGAGAGCCTTGGCTCTGAAGGAGAGCAAAGATCTTGGAGGGGTTACAGTTCCCCTCCTCCCTAAAAGATCTGCTTGTGTTGGCAGCAAAAGAGTATGTTTTTGCAAACAGGCTCTTCCCTTTCTTATGAGAATTCAGTTTAGAAGCACTGCCAGGCTCCTTCTCAGTGGGAATAAGATCACCTCCCTTGCAGGTCTGCACTGGAAAGAGATGACATGCCTGAGGGGATTATTCTAGCTAAAAGACTCTGAGCCTCTTTCTCAACCAGTCACTATTAGAAGGGGCATGGTTGCCAGGAGGCAAGGAGAGCTAACAAGTCCTCAGCCCTGAGGTGCGTAGGCCAGCTCTTTAGTTTCAATCACTGTGGTTTTTAAAATCGGGGGATGGAAGGGAGGAAGGTAGGAGGGAAGGAAGGAAGAGAAGAAAGAAGGGTGAGAGGAAGCAAAGAGGGAGGAAAGAAGAAAAGAGACATTGAAAGAAAGTGAGAAAAGAAAGATAAAAAGAAAAAGAGGAGAAAATAAAGAAACCTTCGGTTCATTGGCCTTCAGCTGGACCATGACCTCGCACACCCACCCTGGTACCCTCCTCCTCCTCCATCAGCCTCCCAGAGCATTTGTGCTTCATTCATATTTTAGCCATTTCTTAATATACATGTTTCCTTAACCCTGGAATTTGGAAATGAGATAATAAATCATCAACTAGTAGAATCTTAGAAAACTCGTCTTTTCAAAAACAGTATATTATTTTGGTGCCATTAAAGAAAATCAAATGAAGAAAGCAGTCAGCTCTTGCCTAATTGTAAGACCTTCAATCTCACCATTTGCATCATAATATTAAGTGGGTTCTAATGGATCTCATAATCCCTGAGGTTTCACATATATTCAAGCTTTCCCTTGTATACATAGGATGGCTGAACCAGTGCGAGCTGACGGATGCCTACATTTTTATACTCTCATCAGAAACATCTCCATGCCATTTCCAGATCGATCGTGGTGGGTGGGGACATGGGTAAGACATTCTGGCTGGGTGAGTCTTCTCTACCTAATCTTCTGCCCAGCTGCCTGCACCAAAAGCAGGTGCAGCTGAGAGGGCACTGTCCACAGGAGCCTTATTCTGTAGCATTCCTGTGGCTCTAGGGAAGCCTCTGAAAAACACTGATGTCAGGGTGGTGTGCCAGCAGACTTGCCCACTTCTTGGCTTCTGTCCCTTCCCTCCCTCTGACCCCATGCTGGGGCCACCTCCTTTTTTGCTTTCCGTTTAAACACGTTTTTACTGAGTGCCTACTATGTGCTGGGGACTGCTCTCAGCACTTGGTCTACATCAGTGGGAGAAACAAACATCTCTTGCTTCGTGAAACTTACGTGCTAGGGTGTCTGTTTTACTAAAATGTTTTATTCATGTTTAAATTTTGAGATATACAGAAAGTTGAATGAATAGTAGAATGAGCACTGTCACCTAGATTCGCTAATTGTTAATATTTTACAGTTGTACTCTCTCTCATCTTTCTCTCTTTCTACACACATGCATACCTCTTTTGCTGAACCATTTGAAAGCATCATAGGTCATTCCTACATACTTCAGAATACATCTCCTAACAATAAGGACATTCTCCTCCATTACCACAAAACCATCATCATGCATAAGAAAATCATCACTCAGTTAATAATATTGTCTAAAATACCTTCCATACTTCTCCAGTTGTCCTCAAAATGTATTTTACAGCTTTTGTGTCTTGAATTACAGGATCCCACCAAGGTTCATGCTCTTTCTTCTCTTTTAATCAAAGAGAGAACAATTCCTCACTTCTTTTTTGTTTTGTTTTTCTAGTCATTTACCTTTTTGAAGAGCCCAAGATAGTTGCCCTGTTGAATGTCCTACATTCTGAATTTGTCTGAAATTGGATTCAGGGTAAAATTTTTGGTAAGAACATAAGTGATGGTGTGTACGGTATTTCTTGTTGCAGCACTTCAGGAAATGGATAATGTCAAGTTGTCCCACAGGAACAGACTAAACAAACGTATTGAATGAGTAAGATAATACATATGTATAGAACCTCTTCAGGTGTCATTTGCTCCAGTGTGTACAGTTACAGAACTGGACTAGACGATGTGAAAGCCCTTCTAATGGTCCAAAAGCCTATGTTCTGAAGAGCTTAACAATACCCAGTTATGAAAATGGTTTTGATCCAGTGGATGAAGGTAGTTCAAGTAATGGCAGTTCAAGTAATGGCAGTTCAATGGCAGTAATTTCACCTTTTAGCTTTTTTCCCTTTGACTAGCAAAAGTCATCGGAAAAAATGCTCAATACGTGTTTTTGGTGATGATCATTCCTGAAGCTAGAATGAGACAAACAGACTAAGCTGCCCAGCTGTAAGTAAGCCACAAGAAACTGTATTGCAGTAAGATTTTTAAATATGAGGATAACGACAAAGGGAGGTTTTAGTTTTTAAAGTAATAGGGTTCTACCTGCCTAACTCTGGCCCTTCCTGGTCAGGGAGTGGACTCAATGACCACTCAGTGTGTTACTGGCCCTAAATTTCTCTGATTCCCAAGGAATCCATAGTGAAGATATTCTGTGGCATTTGCCCTTTATTAGGAAACTCCAAACTACACCAAGAAAATATTTTTTTCGGTACTTCTTCTTGAAGTCAGAAATTGCATTTTAAAAATAATTTTCCTCTGCTTTAATAAATGGCTAAAAAGGTTAATGGATTTTCTATCTATGTTTGCAGTCACAGAAGCACTTATCTCTCATTCCAAGTAGATGTTCTATGTAATTGGGTGTGAAGTAATTCCAAAGTTGCATCAAAATCTTTTCAGAGCGTTACTATGACAATCAAACTTCCTTTTAAAAAATCATCTCAACGCAAACTCTCCATCATCCCACCGTCCATTGAGTGAAATTTAATCTCATGAAGTAAATTTGGCTTTTGAGAAAGTTGAGGGGTGGGAGGGGAACCATTATGCATTCACATTTTAACTGATTCTCCCACTCACACCCATTCTTCTTGAGGTTGTAATAGACAGGCCAGTTGTCCTTATCACAATCCCAGAATGTTGATTGTTAGAGGCTCTGCCTTCCTAATGTTCTGGGAACCAGTGTAGGGGGCCTAAACAAGAACCCATTATTTGGGGAAATAAGAATGTAATAGAAAGTCACTGAGATCCCTTCCTGGACACTTATCACTACCTTTTCTATGGGGACAGATGTCAGCCTAGGCAAGAGCTTGGGCAGGGATTCTCAGAAGGGGAAGAAAGAGGATGAGGCCTTATAAAAATCTCTGCGGTCTTAGAAGGTTTGAAGAGGCATAATCAAAATTACCACTACTTTTATTTCATCTTGACCCCAAGTTGATCTTCTTGAAATTTCTATCCATGTAACAGAGAGTGTGAAATTTTTATGTTTATCAAGTGGGAGAATGTCTTAAAGATAGTGGAAATATCCTGGGCTAGTGAAAGCTTTATGGACCGTTTCCTCTTTTAGAGGCATTGGAGAATCAACTTCACTGTCCGCACGTGATGCTGCAGTTATGAATGTTTATTTCTACCTTTTGATTCAGTGACTTTGAGACCTCAGTAAAACTTTAGGGCCCTAGAAATCATTTTGTTCTCAGCTCTCCTTTTATAACTTCAGGATTTGAGATGGTAAGAGGTGAGAGGACTTGCTCCAGTGAACACAGGGCAAAGCCAGGATTTAGAGGTAAGCCTCCTGATTCTTCATCCCATCCCCACCAGACCCACAAAACTACTGTCTCGCCTCACTCTTCTTGATTTGTGGCAGAAGAAGCATGTTATATTGTCTGTAGTTTTTGTTAAATACTTCAGTAAAACTGTGTGAATGCCGTGAGGGCAGAGTCGTGTGTCTCTTGAGAGCATAAGTATATCTCAGCTCTAGAAAAATGCCTGACACAAAGTAGAGCTAAATAAATATTAAATGAGTAGGCCAGGCACAGTGGCTCATGCCTGTGATCCCAGCACTTTGGGAGGTCAAGGCGGGAGGATCACTTGAGGCCAGGAGTTCAAGACCAGCCTGGCCAACATGGCAAAACCACATCTCTACCAAAAATACAAAAATTAGCTGGGCATGGTGGCATGCACCTGTAGTCCCAGCTGCTCAGGAGGCTGAGGCAAGAGAATTGCTTGAACCCGTGAGACAGAGGTTGCAGTGAGCCAAGATCGTGCCACCGTACTCCAGCCTGGACAACAGAGCAAGCCTCTGTCTCAAAACAATAAAATAAAATAAAATAAAATAAAATAAAATAAAATAAAATAAAAAATAAATGAGTAAATTGTATGTGTGTGTTTCCCATGGTCTTAGCATAGGCAAGAGTCTTCAACAATCAAAATTCTGAGACCAGAATAACAATAGCTTGACTGTCCACTACAACTTGGAGAAAATACACGTGTATTTAGATACATATTCATTTAATTCTACACCCTCGAGCAGTATTCTCAATGCTGGGAGGAAATTAGAATCAACTGGAAAACTTTAAAAAATACCAATTCCTTGGATCTTTGAGCAGAGATTTGGATTTCATGTGCCTGAGCTGAAGCCTGGGCATCAGCATTTTTTTAGAAGCTTCACAGAGGATTCTAAGATGCACCCAGCTTAGAGAATCACTGCTTGAAGAAATGTTAGTTCACACCTGAGAAGCCCTGACTCTGCGATTACAACTGTTGGGGTTAGTTAGCATTTGAAAGACACTAATGAGCTGCCCCCACTCCAGTGGAGGTAATCCCAAGTACTTTACCTATCTTTACCTTTGATAGTATTGACAGATTAATGGTTAATTAGCATGAGAAATGTTACCAATTATTTCTCATTGAAAGGAGAATTTGAAATATGTGGTTTGGTTAGAAAAGAATATGAGCCCTGCTGGGTCTCAGGTAAATATTTATTTAGCCCCACTATGTGTCAGGCACTTTTCTATGCAGTTGGAGTCCTAGGCTTATAGTGAGTGCTAGGACTCCATCCTATCTTGTGTTAGGCCATATGTGGAGGAGTCTGTAATCACCTTGAGTGGACTAGAAAATTAGCTGAAATATGCTGCCAGAATGTGGTTGTGGTTTCATTTGCTTCAAGTGAAACTTTTTCTTTTATTTTTTTTTAAATAAAAAAACATAGAGCCAGGATCTCGCTATGTTGTCTAGGCTGGTCTCGAACTCCTAGGGTCAAGTGATCCTCCTGCCTTGGCCTCGCAAAGTGCTGAGGTTACAGGCATGAGCCACCATGCCTAGTCAAGCGAATCTTTTGTGCTGGACACTGTCCAAGGGCCTAAATGGACAAAGGGCTGGGCTTCATGAGTTTACTGAATAGTGCATGTGGCCCTTTGTGCCTGTTGGCTGGTGTGAGTTCATATGTGTGGCAGAATTTGCACTGAGATACCTTATTTACTGTAACAAGGCACCTGCTGTAAGGTGTGGAGGTGAGACCTACAGCCTTCACCTACCTCTAACGTCAGGAGGCCACCGATATCCGTAAAAAGTAACCTACTGTGGGCAGCCCAACTGTGTTAGGGCAGTTTGTGCCCTTTCTATCCAGAGTCCTGGGCAGAAGGACTTTAGTCTTGATTCTGCCTTTCGAGAGGCAAGGAAGGCAGGTGCCACAATCCTGCTGAAAATGTTTCCAGTACTTTTCTGCTTTTCAAATACAGGTTATCCCATTCCTGGCAGGGGAGGGGAAACAACATTAAACCTTATTTGCTTCACTTTTATGACCTTCCTTTGGCATTTTCAAACACGTAACTGAGCCATGGCTTGCTGGTCAGGCTAAGTCAGCCACTTCTCTGGGCCAAGGAAGGTGCGTAACAGCTGGGACTGGGAAGGCTATTAAAAGGGATGGCAAAATGAGCAATTGTAAGTACAACAGTGGAACAAGGAGGTTTCCAAGTCAGAATCTGGCTACAGTCCTTGGAGCACTTCCTTTTAGTATCAAGTTGGGTGTTCTAAGGACAAGGAGTGTTAATAACAATAAAATTTTATGTGCTATAAAATGCCTTTTTAGAAAATAAAAATGCCCATTTTAAAAAAACAGCCTACATGTCCACAAATGAGAAAGTGGTTAAATAAGAAATGGTAGGTCCGTGCATGGAAATTCATGCAGTTGTTTCTAATAGCAAGATAGATTTGTTTGTGCAGATAGGAGACAATCTGTAAGACACGGTTACTGAGCGAAAAATAATCAAGTATCAAATCGACAGTAAGATCTGAACTAAATAACATTCTCTGTGCTATTTTTAACAATAATGTGTCTATTATATAGTTAAAATATAAGAATGAAAAGTTGGAGTAGAAGTAGAACGTCTGGAACTTCATATTTTATACAGAAAGATAAAACTGCCCTTGGACTTGGAGCTGAGCTATGGCACATGGATCTGGGTGGGGTCCAAGCGCCTCTTTTAATCCCTAGGTGACAGCAGTAATTGCTTTAGGTGCTACTTCTCTGCTTCTCACTTTCTCCAGCTATAACCATGGTCCTAATTCTAGTCACATGTCATTTCACCCATGGAAATGCATAAATCCTGAGGGGAGTGGGAAAAGGCTCATGGGGTGACACTGGAGAAGCTCAGGGATGCTTCCTTTACTCTTTCTGGTTGGAGATGGGTGATGCCAAGTTGCTTTATGATTGTAGAACCAACTAGGACCTTTATTGTTTTAATTCATCTTAGTAAGGATAGATTATGTCCAGATTGAGGCTATGATAAAGCCAAATACACAAATATAAGAATTTACACCACTGGGTGAACTTTTATGGGAAGGATGCTTCTGAAAAACAAATGACAGAAAACTCTCCGCCAGGGGAATTTTTTTCTCAATTTTGATGAATAAGAACGATTTGAAAATACAATGGTTGTTGTTTTTATCTTTTTAGAGAGCTAAAGGTGCCTAGAATCTCTTTTCAAAAAGCAGATTCTCTCATGTTTTTTTTCTTTATTTGTTGTCATATTCTTTTTACATCTTCTGACCACTTATCCTCAAGTTGTACCTCTCATGTTTTATAATGACAAGCTGGATCAACATGGGAAAAGGTTGAACTGGCAGTGATTTCACCAGCCCTGACATCCTTGCATCCACCAGCGTGCTCCTTTAAGTTCAGCCCATTCCATCAACTCATCTTCAAGTGTCATCCTCTGCAAAGTTTTCTTCAAGACTTCCTGGAGCCTCTCTATAGAATCAGCTAGGTTTCAAGGGATAATTAAATGCCTGGAGAAAGAAAAGGGCTTGGTAAGCCTCCCTGCCCACTTTCACTTGCATTCTTTGAGGTGATTGAAACAGTAAGGAGCCATTTAATCAGTTTTGGTTGCATCCTGAGTGGGTCTAGGTGAGACTTGCCCTAGGAAATCTTTTGGGCTCAATGATTGTCTGCTTCTGTTGGATGGAATCAGGACTCTTCAACCTAGCATTCACCAACTAGCTGTGCATCTGCAGCAAGTTACTTAATGTTTCTTTGCCTCAGCATCCTCTCTGTAAAATGAGAGCATTAGTCTTGCTCCAACTTCGAGGGCATGGACAGCTCTGGGATTTCATATCCAAGACCCTTAAACATCCCACAGTCCTTCCCCCAAACACTTCTCCTCCTAATACCTCCCTCAGTTTGGGTCAGGCCTGGAACAAAAAGGCATACGAAATGGTAGAAAAAGTGTCCATGACTACTTCTGACTTAGATGAAGAGACCAATGAAAATAGTAATGACTCTGTTTGCTTCAGCAGGACATATACTAAAATAGGAGCTATACAAAGAAGATTAGCATGGACTCTGTGCAAGAATGACACACAAATTTGTGAAACATTCCATATATTAAAAATAAATAAATAATAAAGAGAAAAGGAAAAAATTAAAAAGAAAATAGTGATAGCTGTGTCCATCTCAAAGAAAAGCCCAGGAGATTTCCTTTAATTAACCCCCTTTTAAGATAGAATATTAGGAGACCGGAACATATGATACAGGAGGTACTGGGAGGGTCCCTCTTTGTCAATGTTTTGTCTTGGGGTGGGGAGTCGATGTCTTCTCAAAGTTTCAGAAACACCATCCACTGACTGAGCATTCAAGGGGGAAGAGGAGAATGGCAGCCACATTTGTTGATTGGGTGAGTTTGGGGAGAAATAGACACACAAAGGTCAAACATAACTTCCTAATTAACACTTCCCTCCATTCACAATTCCCTTCTCCCATTCTTCTCTCCTTTCTTTTACTGAAAAAAACCCAGTTTTTCCTGAAACTATAAAAAGACCCCAGTATTTTTACATAATTTACACCTCAAAGATTAGAAACCAGAAATAGAGACCTTTTTCAACCCTTCCGGAAGCAAAGTGCATTATCCCTCCAGCCACGTGTCTCAAATCTTGATGCATCAGAATCATCTGGGTGCTTTGAAATTCAAGATGATTCCTACGAGTTACCATAAATCAACTCAGAATTCCCTGGAGTGGGGCCCAGGGATCTGTATTTCTGACAAGCTCCCACAGGTGATTCCTTTCCCCACAGCATTTGAGAACTTCAGCTCAATGACCTAATCAGAGTCCTGCCATTGCTAATAACTGGTCTCATTTTTTTCATATATATATATAGTATTTTTGGTAGAGATGGGATTTTGCCATGTTGCCCAGGCTAGTATTGAACTCCTAAGCTAAGCAATCTTCCTGTCTCTGCCTCCCAAAATGTTGGGATTACAGGTGTAAGCCACTGCACCCGGCTGATAGCTGGTTTCATTTACTCTATTTCTTGACCACTCTGATCCATTTTGAAGTAAAAATGCTCCAATTATTATGCTGTTTTAGAACACGGTAAGCATGTCATGTGCTAATTATGGCCAGTGACATCATAAAAGAAAAGTGCATTACTGAATGCTTTCAATTTCTTATAATGATGGTAAGGTGGCATGTCATGGGGCCTATTTAGCCCCAGACATCACTCCAAAGAATTCCAAACAGATATAGACAAGTGCCTTTAGGGCCCAGATCCCTTCCCCTCAGGCTGTTTACCCAGGGAATAGGATGTCCTGGGACAAGTTTCCCCTAAGTGAAGTGTTGATAAGTCTGCTTATCAGAAAGATATTACTGGGGGTGTGATATGTAGGGCATCTACATTTTCTTGATAGGTAGTCATATGAAAGCTGACAAAGAAAAAAAGGGCAGTGATGTGGTGCAATGTCAACAGACAGCTGTCCCCTGACTCTTGACAAATAGGATGACTTGCATTGCTGAGCGATGTGATCACCACCAAAGGAATGGCCCTCTCACATTTCTTCCTGATTCACATATTCAGCAGGGTTAGCTTGTCCTCCCCTCCCTCTTCAGCTTCCCAGACACTGAGTCTGGAATGAAAATTCACCTGCCTCTGAGTTGGCTCCTAATGGGGGTGGGAGTGTTACTTCGGTTCCCAGGTTGGAAGATTATCTCACCCGGCCCCAGCTATATAAGCTGACCGGTGTGGAGGGGCCCAGCAGGGCCAACTCCAGGGATTCCTTCCACGACAGAAAAACATACAAGACTCCTTCAGCCAACATGATGGTACTGAAAGTAGAGGAACTGGTATGTAAGATGCATTAATTTTATAAAATGAAAACTGGTTCATCTTGGTTTTTATTTGAAAATTGAAATGCCCTTTGCTTTCAGGTGTAATGCAAGGGAACTCTGAAAATGTCATATATGGAAAAAGGTTGATGTGATGAAACAAGTGAAATTGGAAAAAAAAAATGGAGCTACCAGTAATGAATTCTCTGCATATTTCCTATTTAATATCTTCTCCTTTGGTTTTATTACTACAGTGTGGAATCACGTGTAGTTATCAAAATGTCTTAGGGAAGAAGTGTTATTGAAAGAATGTAAGCCCGGAAACTTTACAATAAGGCGAAACTCATCAAAAGTACCTAAAGTTGAGTTTTAATTAAGCAGAGAAGGTTTTTGATTTTCCTAAAAGAAATGTGATTAAGCAGATTAAAAGTAGATTTAATCTGTCAACCTAACCCAAGCTTTGATTTAACCAAGAGAGTAGGACAAGCATCTGAAGGTAATTCTGGGACAATTGTAGCAGTGTGCATCGCAGCTTGAGATCTGAGAGTGCACTGCTCAAAGGTGGCTGTTCCCAGGGGAGAAGGACCAAGAGCCTCCTGCGGCATTGTCTGTGAAGAATGACCCAGGACGAGGCTGCTGCTTCTGACGCTGCCATCTTCTTCCCTCATAGGTCACTGGAAAGAAGAATGGCAATGGGGAGGCAGGGGAATTCCTTCCTGAGGATTTCAGAGATGGAGAGTATGAAGCTGCTGTTACTTTAGAGAAGCAGGAGGATCTGAAGACACTTCTAGCCCACCCTGTGACCCTGGGGGAGCAACAGTGGAAAAGCGAGAAACAACGAGAGGCAGAGGTGAGAGCCATCTGTGGAATCCACTAGTAGGATGTTGGGGCTGGGGTAGGGAATGGAAATGTCAGGGAAGGAGAAGAGAGAAACAAACCCAATCATTAAGATGTCTCTTTACCAGATTCTAACCCGTAAAGAGGCAACTTGTATGGAACAGGTTTTGGGAAATAACTCTTTGACAAGACTATGACCTCTGAATTCTGAATCAATGAATAAATGTGCTGTGACCATGTTTTGATTGAAAGATACACATGTCCAGTGAATTCCTGATGTTACACACCATGTAGTTAATCCCAAGCAACGGAGATCTCTTTTTCTCAATAACATGGTCTGTGGTCCATAGATCATTGTTTAACTGTCTGCTATCTGTGTTGACACAATCTGTGTTTCTGGGTGAATTTTCCTTAATTACTAACACAGATAAAATTTGCTTTAGTTAGCTGTGGTCCCTGGACAGTCTGTTTTAGAAGGCTCTGCTTAGTGAAAGAGAATGACATTGATATTTCAGAGCTTAACATTTATTGTTAGATTCTTTTTATCATGCTCAAAAATTAAACCAAGTTTTGAGCATAATTTTAAAAATCCTTTAAAAATCTAAGACTTGCTTATGGCATTAATTACAAAGTCATCACTTAGAGACCAGATCGTGTCCTCAATTGGTCAAGGGCTGATTCTACAAGCAACAGAAGTAAAGATGATGGCAATTAGCTGAAAATTAGACTCCCAGATAAATATCTGAATAAGAAATCCCTAAAATGAAGTCAAAGATTTATATAATTTTTAAAAAATGTTTTTGCTCAAACTGTTCACATGTTTATCTCAGACCTTGCAGATTTAGTTTAGACACAACCAGAATGCTTGTCAGTAGAACTCACCATATTTTTGAAATACGAATTTCTTTTTTAGCTCAAAAAGAAAAAACTAGAACAAAGATCAAAGCTTGAAAATTTAGAAGACCTTGAAATAATCATTCAACTGAAGAAAAGGAAAAAATACAGGAAAACTAAAGTTCCAGTTGTAAAGGAACCAGAACCTGAAATCATTGTAAGGGCTTTTTTTTTGGTTTCCAGTAATACATGTCCAGTGTTGTGCTACAGGGGAGCAAATATCTGTGGAGGGTTTGATTGAATGCTGGCAAGCTCACGGTAACTCTCATGCTATATATATATATATATATATATATTTATTTATTTTGGCTTTAGACGGAACCTGTGGATGTGCCTACGTTTCTGAAGGCTGCTCTGGAGAATAAACTGCCAGTAGTAGAAAAATTCTTGTCAGACAAGAACAATCCAGATGTTTGTGATGAGGTAAGACTCATGCAAAGCACTGCAAAATCCAGCTCATTAATTTTATGTTTCTTATGCTTTACTCCAGTCTTGCTAATATAGTGCCAAAGTCCTTCCACCTGAAACAGTTTCCCCAGCTGTTGCTGTGTATGCCAGGAGCCTAATAGGAGAGTTCAGTGGTCCAAAAAATAAATAGATATTAGATCAGTGATACGGATTGCATTGTTTTTTGCACTCATATACATCTGGCTGATTTTTCAGTTTTTCTTTAACTTCTTAGATTCTTGGGATAAGACTTTTAATGTGGGCCAAAAAGTCACCTTTAGAGATATATTATTAGCATCATCTTTGATTAAAACCAAGCACGTCAACACTAGATAAGAAATCTGGAGATTGGAGTTCAGGGGCCAGTTGTACCACTACTTGGCTATTTGGTTTTGAGCAGCTAATTTGCATCCTCTGGGCTGTGGTTTCCTTATCTGTAAACATGGGGCATTGGAGTGAAATAACGCCTAAAGTTGTTCCAGCTCTAATAGTTCATTAGCCCATTCAAATAAAGCCAATTTATCAGAAATCACTAATCTTTTTGTATTCTTTCCCCCATGAAGTGAAATTGGGGACCGCTTCTGAAGTTGAACTAAAAACATGTCTCCCATTCTCCTAAAAATGAATGGAAACTTTTTGATAGTCTAGCAACAGTCCCAGATGCAAGAAAGCTGTCTGATCTGCATGGTAATGCTACATGAACAAGGAAGGTGCAAGATAGAAGAAACGGAGATGTCAGCATTTAGATAGTTTTGAGCCTTTAAGTTCACACTCCTCAACGTAGGCCTTTGAGCCCTTGGAAATGTATATTGGAGGAAGCTCAAATATTAGTTGCAGGATAATTGTTCTGATTCTGCAATTTTAGTTAACTTTGACATTTCTATTCATAAAGAAGCACTTGAGTTTCTATCAGTTAGGTCATCAGAATCTCCAGCTTCATAGCTCTTAAAAGGGTTTACACACATTTTTATATTTATTGCTATCTCTGTTTAAAATCTCTGTTCTGATAGTATAAACGGACAGCTCTTCATAGAGCATGCTTGGAAGGACATTTGGCAATTGTGGAGAAGTTAATGGAAGCTGGAGCCCAGATCGAATTCCGTGATATGGTAAATATATTTCTTTGCTTGGGAATGAGCCAAAAGAAGTAGACTATATGAAGCTCCGGAAAACCTCCAATGCAAAACCGAGCTGATTGGATTGAAAATTGATCTGAGAGAACTAGGCAAAAGCTCATTTCTCCAAATAAAGGAAAGTTGGGAGATGAGAGTAGGTCATGTGAAAATATTTTCCATACATACTGAAAATAGAGGAATATTTCAGGGAAAAGAAGGAAGTGAAAGCTGTTAAACTGAATTCAATATCCTCATCAGCGAGTTAGTCATTCATTTTCGACACTTGCCTTTCAACAGCCTTGTCCCTCCATTGTTCACAGGGCAGCCTGCTTATGGTTGGCTGCCAGCAACATATACGAATTCTCTAGCTGCACACTTTATATGATAGATGCCAATTGCTACCAATGAGATTTGGGGCTAGACTGCATATGAAATGAATTGCATCTATGGAAAGTAGCTGCTATTCAGACCTCAATAATTCAATCACTGTGATTTCTACGAAGACCAGTATGCAGCATAATTTATGAACTGAAGATTGAGCTGGGAAAATTCTTTATGTATTTAAATGCAGCTCATTTTGACTTTATAGCAAAGCGGCAACGGGATATCAAAGAAATCCAAGGGACTTGGCCAAAATTGAATCCAAAACATAAACACATTGAAAAAAAAATCAAGAAACAAAATATGAAGTTTGCATGGAAACTAAAAATCATGAGTGTGGGATTAAGGCCAGGGGCATACCAACCACATAGATCAGTGAGGAGAGGGTCTCCTAGGGGTAACTATACACGTTACAACTGTAGACACAAGTGACTACAGTTGAGGTACAGAGGCTGTGCTAGCAAAAATGAGCAGAAAACCCACAGAAGTAGAGAAAGAGCGACAGGGACCCTAGATGAGGTGTCAGATCCAGATTAAAATATTTTGGAAGGGACTACTTTTATTCTGCCAAAATTTTTAAATACATGTGTTTAGAACTTTTGTGTACATTTGACAAAAGAAGTTAGAAGTTCCAGGCAGAGGGGAGTTTGACTGTGTATTCTGCCTCTTATTAGTTGTGTTTCCTTGGGCTAGAAACTTGAACTTTTTGGAACCTGGTTTTTCTTATCTGCAAAATGTGCATAGCAACACCTACCTCAAAATGTTGCTGGAAGAATCAAGGTGTCTAAAGTGTAGCACCATGTTGGCATGAGAAATGTCTCAATAAGTGGCCATTCTTATTCTTTTAAAACATTATTAGATTTATTAAGAGCCTCCTAATAAGACACACATATGCACACACACACACACACACATGTAATTTAGCTAACACATTTGGTAAGAACCTTCGACTCCAGTTAGAATTGTCAATCTAGATGGGGACAACTCATTATTTTCACGGATGCCCTAGCAACCAGGTTCTAATTCCCCAGACCACATTCTCCTTCACATTGTCGGGTCTTCCCTCCCGGTATAGCTTGAATCCACAGCCATCCACTGGGCAAGCCGTGGAGGAAACCTGGATGTTTTAAAATTGTTGCTGAATAAAGGAGCAAAAATTAGCGCCCGAGATAAGGTATTCCTTCTTCTCCTTCTCCCTTCATTCACCCCCTCCCCCTCCCTGTCCCCCATCCTTCTCCACTTCTCCCACTCTTCCCCCTCCCCCTCCTCCTTCTCCCCCACCCGCCCTTCCCTCCTCCCCCACCCCTCCATCTCCTAACCTCGCCTCTCCATTAAAGTCATCTGGAGGCCCATGCTGTGTGCAGGCACCCTAGTGACCACTTCTCCCCCTCGCACATGTCTTGGGGTCTGGGACAGCCTCTGTCCTCATTCCTAGCGAATCAGCAGCGTTTTCCAATTTTCCAGTTGCTCAGCACAGCGCTGCATGTGGCGGTGAGGACTGGCCACTATGAGTGCGCGGAGCATCTTATCGCCTGTGAGGCAGACCTCAACGCCAAAGACAGAGTGAGTAGCTGGACACGCTCGGGTTTCCCAAAGCTTCATTGCTTTTGTATTTGGAATCACTCCCCCAAGCCTGGGTGCCCTTGCAGGACCCACTTCCTGGCCTCAGACCCACCTTGAACCTGTTGACTCTGCTTCTCTAGGAAGGAGATACCCCGTTGCATGATGCGGTGAGACTGAACCGCTATAAGATGATCCGACTCCTGATTATGTATGGCGCGGATCTCAACATCAAGAACTGTGTAAGTACTGGAAACAAGAAACACCGCTTGCAAGCTTTCCAATTTCCAGGAGCATTTCTTAAATAGGTGAAACGACTCCCACAATGGCAGTATTTGAGGGGTCTTCGATGGTCTAAATGCCCCTGCCCATTTCCCCAAGGACAGTGTTTATCTTGGCTAGGACCCAGTTCACATGGCCAGAGATGAGGGAAGTCATAGATACTGCTATGACCTCAGTGCCTGATACAGTGCATAGTAATTCTTTTACAATTTGGTCTTGGAAATGAAAGATAGTCAAAATTTGCTCATCCCCACAAACACCTAGAAGTCCAATCTGCTTTGGCCATTTCTGTCTGTGCAAGGGCTGAGGAAGTTAGAAATAAAGGCATCCACCATTTCCAAAATGTCCTAAAATTCCACAAGGGTCAGTGCAGCCAGTGAACTAAGGTTAATCAATATCCAATCTGAGTAATTCAGAAAGTCCCTTTCCTCCTTACAGCAATGTGAAATGTCACCATTTTCTTCCAGGGGTAGCTGTGCTTTTGCCTGTATTTTTTTTCAGATAATTTCTATCCATTCTCCACTTGGATTTGTCTTCACATCTCTCAAAATAATTTCCTATATTTAGGCCCTGAAAATTCTTGTATAAGTACATATTAATTTAACTTCATCTGTAAGCAGGGAACATAACCAACTTTTCCTCATGGTCTCAATTTCCAGACAAACACCATCTAATATAAGCTTAAAAAATATTGCCCAGAGGAACAGGTATAAATTTCTGAAGAAATAATTTTAAAGAAGCTTTTGAAGAATCACTTTACAAAAAAGAGTGGGGGGGGGGGGAGGGAAACTCAGTCATCATATAAATGCAAATAATTTTCTCCCCTTATTTGTGTTGCAAAGACTGAGAGGAATATCTTATCTTTTAAAACAAATCTGGCTTGGTGACAGGATCAAAGAATGGTGATAAATGAAGATTGCTTGGGATGGGAAAGTGTTAACAGTAGGGCTTCCTCAGTCTAGATATTGGAATTGATCCTATCTAATATTTTTTTAAACTATCAGAAAAAGAGCAGGTTAAATGAAATCTTGAAAGCTGCAGAAAATGTGAAGATTTTTTTTCAGGCAGTGAGACACTACCAGCAGAGACAAATAGCATACAGGTTTAGGGAGACTGTGTAAGTAGCCAGAAAAATCACAATATAAATTTCAATGGAGAGAAGTGCAAGGAATTTATGGAAGAGTAGCCCAAAATATACAAATACGGCTTAGGGTTCTGAATTATCAGTTAGATATTAGCATCAGGTTTATGGAACTATTAATGTCATTGACCCAATGGATTGATGTTTCCCCCAAAGATCAATAACCTATTGATGCCATCTTAAGGAGATTGGGAGCAGCATACAATATTTTCTCATTATCCAAAACTGTATATTCATGTCTACTGATGATTGTTCCTAGAGAAAGACACTACAGAGGTGGGGAAGTTCCAAAATGAAGGTTATAGGGCCACTAATTTAAATACCTACAGATCTCATAATCTGACTGCAGACTGACCTCACTGTGCCGGGCAGATGGCCTAAGTGACTTCAATGTGTGGCTGTCAGGGTCTGTGCACATAACTCTTTTAAAGGTGGCCCTTCCCCAACCCAGTCTATGTTGCTCTGTGGAACCATGGGTACCATGTTTTTAACTCTTCTGATTTTTTCATAGAAGTCACAAATCCAGCTCTTGGTTTCCAACTGTTGCCAATTCATACTAATCTTAAAAAAAATCTAAGTTCTGTTTGGGTCAAAACAAAACAGGTCTCTATTCTGGTTTGCATCTCAAAGCTGCCAATTTGCAGTCGCTGGGTTAAAAAGAAACTTCTCAATGAATAGAGATGGAAAAATTTTGGACTTCTCAGATCTATAGATGAGAATTGAGAGATGACATGGTTTTAATATTTTTAAATCTTGAGACACGTGCATAAGGGAAATCAAAATTTCGTCTCAAAAATTATTTGTTCACATGTGTCATTGCCATCAACTCCAAGAAAAATACATTTCCTGGGAGAGTCCATTGAAAATTCTGACAAGTTATGAAAAATCTGCTCCCAGGAACAGTAATAGTACCCAAGCAGTACCTAAGTCCTTAAGCCAAGTTATTGATGCAGCTCATTTACCATCATTTCTTATCAATCAAAGAACTATCATTCAAATGGATAGGCACTGATTCTTGGTCCAAGAGGCATGCTCCCACCTCCGGGAGTCCATTCCACAGGATACTGGAAGATGTATGGAGACATTTTATAAATTTCAAAATGACTTGAGGTGCTCTTGACACATAGTGTCTAGGGACAAGGGATTTTACCAATACCTGGGATGGTCCCACGTGAAAAAGATTTTTGCTCTAAAATGGCAAAAGCATCCCTCTGAGAAACAGTGAAGGACTGGTTTGAGTATAAACTGCAGATCACTCCTGGTGGAAACCATAAAACACTGTTATAACATATACCTAATCCTTACCTCATGAAACACACACAGAGAATGTGAATTTACAGATGTCACCCACCTGAAAGTCAACTTTCCTTATCTCATTTGATTAGGCTGGGAAGACGCCGATGGATCTGGTGCTACACTGGCAGAATGGAACCAAAGCAATATTCGACAGCCTCAGAGAGAACTCCTACAAGACCTCTCGCATAGCTACATTCTGAGGCAAACGACAGACTCTTAATCAGTAAATGTTCACTGGCATTTTGAAGGCATGGCCCAAGAGAAGAGACACTAGCCATAAAATCTAGTTTCTATTTATCAACGTGTTGTGAAGATGTACCTAATGAAGTTTTGAGAAAGCACAGGGTTATAGGTGTTTAAATTTCCTTTAGTGAAACTCTTATTTATTTTTATGTATTCCTGTTTATTTATTTACTGCCACGCTACTGATATTCAGACCTTCATGATCATCCATCTGGTGAGCAGAGCTTCATTTGTATATAACACTTTCAGAGCCTTCCCACCCATAGGTAGTTCTTAAACCAGGTGAAAGAGCAAAGTTCAAGTGCCTACTTATGTGTCATTCGCTCATGTAAGAGTTTTTAAGAGAGGGCTGATTATCACAGCCCTCTTTTCTCCTGAATTTTTAATGCAGAAGTTTGAATGAAGCAAGGGAAGGCATGTAGGGACAGGAAAGGAAACAATGGAAGGAAAGTGATTCTGTGAAAAGGACAGTGAAGCCAGCTATTTTACCCCCAGGCTGGATTTTTTTTTTTTTTTTTTTTTTTTTTTTTTACCGAGTACACAGAGTACCCAAGTGAAGAGAACGTCATGAGTGTAAGTGCAAATCAGTGGAAGGAGCGGCAAACTGGGACATGCAGAATTGAATTTGCTCAAAAAAGATGAAAGGAAATGCAAACTGTAAATGTATAAATGTATATTGTATTGTATGTACATTTTATATTCATAATAAAGGCAATCAAACTCTAAACCTCTAAGTCCTTCTATAAGTGTGGTGGAAATGTCCTATGTGAAAAAAAAAGCTATATAGGAGGGTTTTTTTTTTCCATTGTTTTCCAAGTTTTGCAGATTAGAAATGTCCCGTACAACAGCACTCCCAGTATTTAATATGTATACAGATCACCTGGGGATCTGGTTAAAATGCAGATTTCTGATTCAGCTGGTCTCAGGTGGGGCCTGAGATTCTGCTTTTCTGACAAGCTCCCAGGTGACAGGCCACGAAATGCCACCACCACACTGAGCAGCTAGGCCGAGAGCCATAAAGACACAAAGGAATTCTAGCGAGCTTTCAGTCCCAGTGGTGTGTAGAAAGAGACCCCTGGTGGTCAGAATGATTTCTGCATGGTAAACCCGCATTTCTTACGAAGTTCCCATTAAGGCTTAACTAGTGACTTTTTTAAATTTAAATTTTAAGTTCTGGGGTACATGTGCAGGATGTGCAGCGGTGTTACATAAACGTGTGCCATGGTGGTTTGCTGCACCTATCAACCCATCACTTAGGTATTAAGCCCAGCATGCATTAGCTATTTTTCGTAATGCTCTCCTTCCTCCCACCCCACCCCCTATACAGGTCCCAGTGTATTTTGTTCCCCTCCCTGTGTCCATGTGTTCTCATTGTTCAGCTCCCACCTATAAGTGAGAACATGCGGTGTTTGGTTTTCCGCTCCTGTGTTAATTTGCTGAGAATAATGGCCTCTAGCTGCATCCATGCCCCTGCCAAGGACATGATCTCATTCTTTTTATGGCTGCGTTGTATTCCATGGTGTATATCTACCATATTTTCTTTATCCAGTCTATTATTGATGGGCATTTGGGTTGGTTCCATGTCTTTGCAATTGTGAATAGTGCTGCAATGAACATATGCATGCATGTATCTTTGTAGTAGAATGATTTATATTCCTTTGGGTACATACCCAATAATGGGATTGCTAGGTCAAATGGTATTTCTGGTTCTAGATCTTTGAGGAATCACCACACCATTTTCCACAATGGATGAACTAATTTACATTCCCACCAACAGTGTAAAAGTGTTCCTATTTTTCTGCAACCTTGCCAGCATCTGTTATTTCTTGACTTTTTAAGTAACTGCCATTCAGACTCCATCCATCTGACAAAGCTCTAACATCCAGAATCTACAAGGAACTTAAATTTACAAGAAAAAACAACCCCATCAAAAAAGTGGGCAAAGCACACGAACAGACACTTCTCAAAAGAAGATATTCATGTGGCCAACAAACATCTGGAAAAGAAAGCTCAATATCACTGATCATTAGAAAAATGCAAATTAACTGGAGATTTAACAATTCTTGTGGACAGGGACTGGCAATGTCAAAGACTTCCCAGGAGAGAACACACAGGTCCATGATTTTTGACCTCCAGACCACCATAATAAAACTAATATCACAATAAAGTGAGTCACAATTTTTTTTGGTTTTCTAGTGCATACAAAAGTTATGTTTACATTATCCTGTGGTTTAATAATTGTGCTATAGCACGATGTCTAAAAAACACTGTACCTACCTTAACTTAAAAATACTTTATTGCTAAAAAAAATGCTAATGATCATCTGAGCCTTCAGTGAGTCATAATCGTTTTAATGGCGGAGGGTCTTCCCTCCATGTGGATGGCTGCTGACTGATGAGGGTGGTAGTTGATGAAGATTGGGATGGCTGTGTCAATTTATTGAAAGAAGACAACAATAAGCTTACCACATCAATTAACTCTTTCATAAAAGATTTATCTGTAGCATCTGATGCTATTTGATAGCATGTTACTATCAATAGAACATCTTTCAAAATTGGAGTACATCCTCGCAAACCCTGTTACTGCTTTATTAACTAAGTTGATGTAATATTCAAAATCCTTTTTTTGTCATTTCAACAATGTTTACAGCATCTTCACTAGGAGTAGATTCCATCTCAAGAAACCACTTCCTTTGCTCATCCATAGGAAGCAACTTCTCAGCTGTTCAAGTTTTATGACAAGATTGCAACAATTCAGTCACATGTTCAGGCTCCACTTTTAGTTTTCTTGCTATTTCCACCACATCAACAGTTACTTACTCCACCGAAGTCTTGAACCCCTCCAAGTCATTCACACAGGTTGGAATTAACTTCTTTCAAATTCCAGTTAATGATATTTTTACCTCCTCCAATGACCCACGAATGTTCTTAATGGCATCTAGCATGGTGAATCCTTTCCAGAAGGTTTTGAATTTATTTTGCCCAGATCCATCAAAGGAATCGTTATCTACGGCATATAGCCTTATGAAATGTGTTTCTTAATAAGACTTGATTCAAAATGACTCCTTGATCCATGGGCTACAGAATGGATGTTGTGTAAGCAGGTATGAGAATAACATTCATCTCCTTGTACATCCTCATCAGATGCACGTCTCCATCAGTCTTGGGTGACCAGGTGCATTTTCAATTAGCAGTAATGTTGTGAAAGGAATATTTTTTTTTCCTGAACAGTAGGTTTCAATGATGGGCTTAAAATATTCAATAAACTATGATGTAAAAAGATGTGCTATCATCAAGGATTTGTGGTACAATTTATAGAGCACAGGCAAAGTAGATTTAGCATAATTCTTAACAACCCTAGGATTTTCAGAATGGTCAATGAGCATTGGTTTCAACTTAAAATCACCAGCTAACAAGGGAGTCAAAGCTTTGAAGCTTTGAAGCCAGGCATTGACTTCTCCTCTCTAGCTATCAAAGTCCTACATGGCATCTTCCAATAGAAGGCTGTTTCATCTACATTGAAAATCTGTTGCTCAGTGTAGCCATGTTAATCAGTTATCTTAGCTAGATCTTCTGGATAACTCGCTGCAGCTTCTTTCTTCTATCAGCACTTGTGCTTCACCTTGCACTTTTATGTTACAGAGATGGCTTCTTTCCTCAAATCTTATGAACCAACTTCCGCTGCAGTTCTCCAACTGTTTTCAGCAGCTTCCTCACTTCTCAGCATTCATAGCATTGAAGAGTTAGGGCCTCTGGATTAGGCTTTGGATTAAGGCATTATTGTAACTGGTTTGGTGTTCTATCCAGACCACAAAAACTTTCTCCATTCAGCAATAGAGCTGTTTTGCTTTATCATTTGTGTGTTCACTGGAGAAGCACCTTTAATTTCCTTCAAGAACTTTTCCTTTGCATTCACAACTTGAGTGAGAGGCATAGTTTTCAGCCTATCTTGGCTTTCTACATGCCTTTCTCAATAAGCTTAATCATTCCTAGCTTTTGATTGAGAGAGATGTGTGGTTCTTCCTTTCACTTGAACACTTAGAGGCCATTGTAGGGTTATTAATTGGCCTAATTTCAATATTGTTTTGTTTCAAGGAATGGGGAGGCCTGAAGAGAGGGAAGGAAATGGGGAAAGCTGGTCGATGGAGGAGTCAGAACACACACAACATTCATGGATTAAGTTCACTGTCCGATATGAGTGCAATTTGTGGCTACCTAAAACAGTTATAATAGTAAAATCAAAGAACACTAACCAACAAAACACATATAATAATAATGAAAAAGTTTTTAATATTGTGAAAATTACCAAAATGTGACATGAGCGAGACAGGAAACAGGCACATGATGTTGAAAAAATGGCACCAATAGACTTGCTGGTTACAGAGGTGCCACAAATCTTCAACTTGTAAAAAATTCAGTATTTGCAAAGCACAATAAATTGAAGCACAATAAAAGGAGGTATGCCAGTAGTTCTTGGCCAGGTGCTAGGCCAGGTCCTAAGACCTGTGGTAAGAAAAAGAGATTGTCCATGACATGCCCTCCTGGAAGAGATGAATATTAAAGGAATAATGAGGAATAAATACATAGTCATGTGCCACAGAATGGTGTTTCGGCCAACAATGAACCACATATACAAAGGTGGTCCCATAAAAATAAAATGAAGCTGAAAAATTTCTATTGATAGCAACATCCTAGCTGTTGTAACATCATAGTACAGTGCATTACCTTTTCTATGTTTGTTTAGATACACAATATACTTACCACTGTGTTATAGTTGCCTACAGTATTCAGTACAGTGACATGTCGTACAAGTTTGAAGCCTAAGAGCAATAGGCTGTATTGCTCATATAGCCTAGGTGTTTAGTAGGCTGTATCATTTAGGTTTGTGTAAGTAACACTCTGTGATGTTCACACAACAAAACCGCCTAATGATGCACCTTTCAGAACGTATCCCTGTCGTTAAGTGAGGCAGTAAGTGCACAGTATCTGTCTGTTGTAAATACGATGAAGGAAACAATACAGAGTGTCTAAGATGATGAGGCTTCTATAAAGACTTCTTTGAGGTGGTAACCTTTAGGGTTTGTCTGAAAGGTAAACAGGAGTTATTCAAGAATCAAGTGTTCCAGGTAGCAGGAACACTGCTCTATGGAATACAGCAAGGATATGAGAAATGTTTGGCACTTGTGGAAATACATGAAAGCCAGTGAAGTCTGATGTAAAACACTAGCACCAAGAGACCCATTTTGGATAAGATCATATATGTTAACCTCTTAGATATGCCTCTAACTATCTGGGAGAGTGTATACGCATAGTCCATAACCAGAAGGTCTTCCAGTTATCTGGTCATAGACACATATAGAGTTGTGAGAATGGTTTGAAATATTTTTGTACCTTTTCTGTCTAGTACTAATCCAGGGAGTCCACCTCCCACAGGCATTGGGGATTTCATTGTTATCTCTCTGACTCCCAATCTTGTTTGTTGGCCCCTCTACCTTCCCCACAGGGGTCCTGGCTTAAGTTTGTCAGACTTTTAAGGCTCAGGGTCCTTCAATTTCTTCCAAGTGAAACATCTACAACACAGACATTTCTCTTGCCAGTGCTGATGTCTCATGTGGCATAACTTCAACGTGTTACCACCATGTGACCAACTTTTCTTTATGGTATCTGCCTCAAATCCACCTCCCCTAAAGAGCTGGGAGGGTACACGAGAGAAGAGAATAAAGAGTTAAAAAGTTTTATGTTGCCACATATAAATATTTGCACTAATAACTAGGTAGAGGGCATGAGAGACAATATGGAATAAATCCCATTAGAATTAAGACAACTCTTAGTTATTTCTGCTAATGGAAAAGATAAACACGTTGGGGGAAATTTTTAAGTTTTTAATCACATAGTCAATTTTTTTATAAGGTTCTCTCCTTGCCTTCTCACTGACTCAACTCTTTGCCCACAATCTTTCATTTTGTGTTTGCTCTTCAGTGAAGGGCACACCACACTGGCCAATGGAGAGTCCTAGAAGTTGTTTTTGACCTTCTTTCCCTCATCCTTCTCTTTTAAACAACCAGGTCTTACCAAGTATACTACATAAGTAGTGCTGTGATCTGTCCATGTTTTCCAATCCTAGGTGCCTCTGCCCTAGTTCAGGTCACCATTACTTCTCATCTGGATCAAATAGCCCTCCTAGGCTCCTGGCCTCCAGGCTTGCTTACCTCCAGAATGTTTTTCAAGTTGCAGATAGAGGGATTTTTCTAAAATGCAATGCTGATCAACTCACTCTCCTCTTTCAACCCTTCGATGGCTTCACATTTCTCTCAGGATGAAATAAAAACTCCTAAAAATGTCTTATAAAATCCTTAAAATCTGGCTGCTGTTAACTCTTTATTCTTATCTCTCATAACCTTCCTAGCCAAACTCTAAATTTCAACTCAACTAAATTTTCAGTTCCTTAAAAAATCCAGGCACTTGCTTTACTGTTTTCACATACTGTGCCAGCTCCCTGGAAGACTCTTCTTCCCACTACAGCCCACTCCACGCCATCACATCACTTCTCATTCCTCCCCTTTGTTCTAGCTGTATTTCCTCCAGGAAGCCATCCTTGAGTCCTTAGATTCTATTAGTTCCCCCAAGGTGTCTTCCTGTTGTACTTTGCTTTTTCCCCATAACATCTGTCATACTTCCTTCCCCCTCCTCTTGAACACCCAATACTCATTATGCCAATACAGAAATGAGTAACAAAGGAAGCAACACATCACCAATAATCCTGGTTTCATGACATTCTGATTATTTCTGTGCACATTATGGGTATTGTGTATTTAGCTTTACAACTTCAACTGAACAACTTATTCTAGACATCTTTATAGACAGTATTCTTTTAATGTACAATGAATTATTTAATCCTGTTATTATTGGGTATTTAGGTTGTTTCCATTTTCACATTTAAGACATTGTTGCAGTGAATATCCTTATCCATCCACCCTTTATAATTAACCAGTTATTTCTGAAGAATAAATTGACATCAAAAGTATAAGACTTGCATCAAATTGTATCTCCCTCCACACCATCTTGAAAATACCCACTTTATAAATCTTTTTTTCTTTTAACTTTCAACCTGATCAGCCAGATATATTTGTGGTGATTTCCCCCTAAATGACTAGGAAAGTTCAGCATCTTCATGTTACTGGACATTTAAAAAAATCAACTTTATTTGTCCAATTTTCTAAGTCAGGTCTCCTGGAAGCAGCATTTCAAATTAGGATTCTTGTGTAAGTGACTTACTGAGAGTCCTCTATAAGGGAATGAGAAAAAACAGAACAGGGCAGAAGAGGCAAATATGTGGTTTCAGGAGAAATCCACACACAGCGTAATCCCATGGGGTGCTCAGGAGCATAAATTGTACCACCGAGGCCAGTGGGCCAGGCTGTAATGTCCTGCATCAGTCACTGGCCATGGGCCAACCTCAGAGGAGACAAAACTTCCCAGGTATCTTCAGGTAAAGTGACTCTCATCAGCCCAGGACAATCCTCTGGAAAAGGGTGAAGATAAGTCATTAGTACCCAACATCTGAAGCACTGGCAATATAGGTACACCACCCTGGGAATGGGGATCTCTATGGATGCTAACAGCATGTCATGTTGGGTATTTAAAAAAAAAAAATTCTTAAAAGCTAAGCATATGAAACCTTCCTGGAATATGTATTGTAAATGTACTTTCCTACTTGTTGTTATGTAGAGACAAATCAATCAAACTTTGTTTTCTGGCTTTGATGACCATGCTCGGCAGGTCTATTGCAATCCAAGATTATTATTTTTTTAATTAACTTACATTTTCCTCTAGTATTTTACAAGTTTGTTAAAAAATTTAAATCTTTAATCTACCTGGATTTACTATGGGTGTGTATTGGGTGTGAGATAGAGATTTGACTTAGTTTTTTCCTAAATGATAGCTGACACTTCAATATTTAAATTAATATAATGAAGTAATAAATAATAAAATAGTTGGTACTTTCTTTTTTTTAGACAGAGTCTCATTCTGTCGCCCAGACTGGAATGCAGTGGTGCGATCTCAGCTCAGTGCAACCTCTACCTCCCGGGTTCAAGCAATTTTCCTGCCTCAGCCTCCCGAGTAGCAGGGATTACAGTCATGGGCCACCATGCCTGGCTGATTTTGTATTTTTAGTAGAGACGGGGTTTTGCCATGTTGGCCAGGCTGGTCTTGAACTCCTGACCTCAAGTTATCCGCCCTCCTTGGCCTCCTGAAGGGCTGGGATTACAAGTGTAAGCCATGGCACCCGGCTGTAGTTGGTACATTTTATATGACAGGCCCTGTTCAAAGTAAGCCTTCCACAAATACTAACCTACTTAATCCTTGCAATAATGTGACAGGTAGGGAGAACAGATGAAGCGAGGCACAGAGAGGTTACATAATTTGCCCAAGGTCATAGCTAATGAGTACTAGCAAGTAGGGCTTTAAATGCATTTAGTTTTTCTTTCCCCTATGCACTTAACTGGTATGCTGTACTGCCTCTCCCAAATAGATAACCAATTATTTCAGTATCACTTACTGAACAATCAATCCATCATTTCTTCTTATATCTAAAGTATGATCTTGGACTTCCTGCTCTTTTCACTGTTCTGAATTTCTGCACCAATTAGTTTTAATTACAGTACTAGAGTTTTGTTATACTCTGTAATATTCAGCATTGTAAGTCCCTCCCATTAGGTTTTTTCCTGAAATTTCCAATTCTCATATTTACTCTTTCAGAATACCAAGTCCAAAGACCAAATACATAAACAAGAAAACAAAAAATACTTATAAGCATTTTGATTTTAAATTTTGTTAAATGCGTAATTTGGGGGAGAATTTGATTTACAATTTGTCTTATTCAAGAAAACAGAATGTCTCTTTCCATGTATTCTAGTCTTTATTTTCCCTTTATTCTCTTATTACTTTCATTAAGTTTTCTTTATAGAGGCCCTACACATTTCTTGGTAATTTATGTCTTTGTGAATAGTGTCATCTTTTAAAATTATTTAACAGGTTATTAATCAAAATCTGGTTTTTGTGTATTTATACAATTGGCCACTCTGCCAAACTTCATCTTGGTTTGGCAGAGGTATTGGCATCTTGTAGCAATTAAATTAGTGGTTCATTCTAACGAAAGTAAATATTAGAAGGAAACTTGCCTCTGCTATTCACTGGTGATCAGCCATCATGCCCTACTATCATGAACAATGGCATAAACATGTATGAATAGAAAGCACGCACAACTGCAAACACATACTACACAAATGTGTAGTAAATGGACGTAAGCTGAAAGGTACCTGTATTTCTACTTTTTTCCCATTTATTTCACGAGTTTTCCAAGACAGTCGTATCTGCAAATAATTTTACCTCCTTTCTATAACATGAAAATCTTACTGTATCTGGTGCAACTGTAGCTGGTACATCACTAATTCATAAATTAAGGTGGGACGTCGCAAAAAATTGAACATACATCCTGTTAAGCATTTTAAGCTTAAAATAGATAAATGTATACTTGGGTACCAACCTTTTAAAGAAGGGTCAAAGCCTGTTCTTGGGAGTATGATCTCTCTGATGAGAGATCAAAAGTTGTCTTTGTTGAATTCTAGTTCCTTTAAAGCAGAAAAGGAACTTGACATTAGTGAAGCAATCCAAGTGCAGAGTTTTTACTGATCACCCCCAAATTTGTTATCCTTCTCATATCTAATTTGACAGCAGTTCTTTGTAATGACTCTTTTCCAAACCTTTCCAAAGTGTTGACTTAGTTTTCCCGGGAATTTTTCATTTGCCCCCAATAGCTCATCAATTTTCATATTTAAAAAAATAATTTACATACAATGCTAAACACAGCTGCCTTAAACAGATTTGTGAATAAACACAGCTGACTTTTGGTGAACTTAAGCAGGGTGAAGGAAAAAAGCAAACTGGCACACAAGGAAGTGGCAGACTTTTGGTGTGTGGCCTCAGCAGCACCAGCCTCAGTTTTACAGAAGGAATGAGTAGGTTAATCCATCAAATTGGCCAAGCGGTAGTCAAAAATGCTTTTGGAGCCATCACATTTAATATACACAAAAAACAGACACATATGAACATATATATGTATGCATACAATATTATTCTACTTTAATTTTGCCATGGGTTTTTATTGTTGTCATTTTAAAAATCAGGAGTGGATTTAACTTTATTAAATGTCTTTCTGGCATCTATTAAAAATATTCTGATTTTTCTCTTTTGACCTATGAATATGATAAAGGATACTGCATTAAAAAGAACTGGAAGGCCGGGTATGGTGGCTCATGCCTGTGCCTGTAATCCCAGCACTTTGGGATGCTGAGGCGGACAGACTGCTTGAATCTGCCAGGAGTTTGAGACTAGCCTGGACATGGCAAAACCCCATCTCTACAAAAAAATACAAAAATTAGCTGGGATGTGGTGGTGCATGCTTCTGGTCCCACTTACTTGGGAGGCTGAGGTGGGAGGATGGCTTGAGCCCAAGAGGCAAAGGTTGCAGTGAGCCGAGATTGTGCCACTGCACTCCAGCCTGGGTGACAGAGTGAGACCCTGTCTCAAAAAGAAGAAGAAAAAAAGAATAAATTTCACCTGGTCATGATGCACTTTTAATGTTTTTTTAATCAATATTTTATTTAAACATTTGTATTCATTGGTGAGGTTATAAAGCTTTCTCTTTTTAAAACTGTATTTTCTCGGGCCGGGCGCAGTGGCTAACGCCTGTAATCCCAGCACTTTGGGAGGCCGAGGCGGGTGGAATATGAGGTCAGGAGATTGAGACCATCCTGGCTAACACGGTGAAACCCCGTCTCTGCTAAATACATGGCGAGCGCCTGTAGTCCCAGCTACTCAGGAGGCTGAGGCAGGAGAATGGCATGAACCCAGGAGGCGGAGCTTGCAGTGAGCAGAGATCGAGCCACTGCACTCCAGCCTGGGGGACAGAGCGAGACTGTCTCAAAAAAAAAAAAAAAAATTGTATTTTCTCCAACCCGCAGAACAGTTGTCTTTCTCTTGCTTAAAAAAATTTCTTATTCAGTTATACCTCTGGCTCTACTCCATTGTTTTAGAGCCCTTACATTAATATTGCATAAATGCATGTATTTGCATAAAAAGCTACTTCTACTTAACATGATCCCATTATAAAAATAAATTATTTCCAAAGTTGGTTCAGTCCGATGCTTTGCTATTTTTAATACAGCTATCAGGAAAATCAATATTAGCGTTTTAGGGGTTTCTAACTAAAAGTAAGGAATCCTATTTCAAAGACCTTACGTAGGCATGAAGCAGTGAAGGAAGAGACCAGATGTAATTTTACATGTGTATCCTCTCTCCTTCCACAAATTCTATAGCAATTTCTTAGAAAAAAATGCTGATTTGAATACATGAAAGAAGCTTAAAACAAGAGGAACTAAAGTCACTTCTTCAATATAAGTTTGAATATCTTCAAAATAACTACTATTTGAGTATGAACAAGAAACTTTCGAAAGAAGCTCTTAAAATATTCAAACATCTGGCTGCATGTGGTGGCTCATGTAATCCCAGCACTTTAGGAGGCCAAAGCGGGAGGATGGCTTGATCCTAGGAGTTTGAGACCAGCCTCAGCAACATAGTGAGACCATGTCTCTACAAGGGAAAAAAAAAAAAAAAAAAAAAATAGCCAGGTGTGGTAGTGCACACCTGTAGTTCCCGCTGCTTGAGAGGCTGAAGCGGGAGGATCACTTGAGCCCAGGATTGAGGTTGCAGTGAGCTGTGATTATGCCACTGTACTCCAGCCTGAGCAACAAAGACCCTATCTCAAAAACAAAATGAAACAAAAATACCTGAAACATTTTATTCAAGTATATTTGCTGTTGTTTATCACTTACACAAAGGAGAAATAACCAGTCTTTCTCTCTTAAAGTACATCTAAATTCATTAAGCTGGCAGCCTTTTAAAAAGATGCTTCACTAGGTTTCGTTTGTTGTTTTAATGGATTGCAAGTAAAACTGTTTTTATAGACTATTGATTTCTAGCTCCAAATGAAAACAGTAAATCACACAAAGGTTTTATTTTTGTTGTGGCTGATGAACTATAAAAGGGAAGAAGGGAGTGCTGACAGAGACTGGGGCATTCTTTTCAGCCCT